>NC_000016.10:74865530-75168560 GCF_000001405.40 Homo sapiens | reverse complement strand
TGCTTTTTTTTTTCTACTGAAGTTGCTGGGAGAGTGAACATGTTTTCACTATCATATCCTACTTTTCTTCCATTCCTATTTAGAGATAGGGTCTCCCTCATTTGCCCAGGCTGGAGTGCAGTGGCACAATCATAGCTCACTGCAGCCTTGACCTCCTGGGCTCAAGGGATACTCTCAATATTCCAGGCATGAGCCACCATGCCCAGCCTACTTCTTTCAATGTGTTCAGCATCTTAAGGATAAAGTTACCCAGGTTCATTAAGTCAAACAACAGATACTGGCAAGGCTAAGATACACTGTTGGTGGGAATTTAAATTAGTTCAGCCACTGTGGAGAACAGTCTGAAGATTTCTCAAATAATTCAGAACTACCCTTTCACATAGCAATCCCATTAAAAATCATCTGGCCAGGCACACTGGCTCATGCCTGTAATCCCAGCACTTTGGGAGGCCAAGGCAGGAGGATCACTTGAAGTCAGGAGGTCTTATTTTTGTTTTTTTGAGATGGGGTCGGTCTCTGTTGCCCAGGCTGGAGTATAATGGTGTGATCTCAGCTCACTGCAACCTCCGTCTCCCGAGTAGCTGGGATTACAGGCACATGCCACCATGCCCGGCTTATTTTGTATTTTTAGTAGAGAGGGGTTTTCACCATGTTGTTGGTGCTGGTATTGAACTGACCTCAGGTGATCTGCCCGCCTCAGCCTCCCAAAATGCTAGGATTATAAGCATGAGCCATGGCGCCTGGCCTGGGGTCAGGAGTTCTACAGAGAACTTGTCTCTACAAAAGTAAAAAATAATTAGCAGGACATGGTGGTGTGTGTCTGTGATCCCAGCTACTCCAGGCTGAGGTGGGAAGACTACTTGAGCTCAGGAGGTGGACGCTACAGTGCACCGTGATGTCACCACTGGATTCTAGCCTGGGTGACAGAATGAGACCCTGTCTCAAAAAAAGATTCTACCAAAAAGACACATGCCCACTCATAGGTTCATCACAGCACTATGCATAATAGCAAAGACATGGAATCAACCTAGGTGCCCATTAATGGTGGACTGGAAAAGAATGGTACATGTACAAGACACAACAAAGTTTAAGATATGTTAGGAAAGTTTCAGGGTTCAAGTGTGAGAGGCAAATATCTATAAGATTAAACAGGAAAAAAAAAAAGGTAAGCAGGGAGAGACGGATATTTGGAGGTATGCTTCAGAGATTGAGGTACAGGTCATCTGTCCTCAGCTATACTTAAGTGTTAGGGATTTGAAAAACAGATTGCTGAAAAGTATTTCAAAGGTACTGAGCTGCTCATAATCGTCTGGATACTAATTCCACTGGCTTCTGCTTCTCCCTCTCTCCCGTCCTATCTCCCTTAGAATGTTCTGAATTGACAACTCTATGCTACCCAAAACTCTTCTGGTTGCTCCAACTTGAAAATTGCATATGGCTTGACAGCCATTTACTAATGGGACATAGCTCCTAATTGCCTGGACTTCAGAAGCCTTAAAGGAAAGGAGATGATAGAGCTTTAAAGGCTGCAAGATCTCTCAGGTTTAATACCTGAGGACTTAGGCCAAAAACATTTAGTAATTCAGAAGCTCATTTCTGGTCACTGAGACAGGACATAAATACCTCTAGGCACATGGTGAGCTGTACCTGAAAACCGTCCTTACCCACTGAAAGTAAGTTGCTATAATTCTCCAGCATCACATCCATGTATAGGATCCTCTGAGAGGGGTCCAGTTGTTCCCATTCCTCCTGGGTAAAGTCCACAGTCACATCCGTGAATGAAACTGATCCCTGAAATGGCATATTGTTATTCATCCTAAGATGATCATTTGGTGATATAGAAAGGATAGATGAAAACTTTATGTCATTCATCATGAAAATCTATATATTACACCAACGATACATCTTGTTCACTGTTTTTGTTCATGTCTTCCAAAATATATTTTTATAAATAGTTGAGATTTATTCAGATTCCCCTATATCTCTGGCACTGTCATATTTGATAGGTGTCTCAGATTAATAAAACACTATTGGCCAGGCATAGTGGCTCACACCTGTAATCCCAGCACTTTGGGAGGCTAGGTGGGCGGGGGAATCACTTGAGGTCGGGAGTTCGAGACCAGCCTGGACAACATGGTGAAATCCCATCTCTACTAAAATTTAGTCGGGCATGGTGGCACATGCCTGTACTCCCAGCTACGTGGGGGAGCTGAGACAGGAGAACTGCTTAAACCCGGGAGGCAGAGGCTGCAGTGAGCCAAGACTGCACCACTATACTCCAGCCTGGGCAACAGAGTAAGACTGTCTCAAAAAATAAACACTGTTTCTGCTCTCAAGATGTGTACTGTGAGACAAGCACATTAGATATTCATTGTTACCAGTGTGCTAATAAAGCTCACATAGGCATTATTTCTGTGACATCGATGTTTAAATAGTCAAAGTTTTAACTCTTTAAGGCAGAAGATGAACTTCCAACTGTAAAATACCAGGTACAAGTAAGGATCTCTGTCCTTCCATCCCCTCATTCAAGCCATAAAAATGGTAGAAAATTTTTTTAAAAAATACATGGTTGAATTTAACAGGCCAGAATGGCTGAAGAAATGATTAGTCAAAAAATGTCAGTAAATATCTAAACTGAAATGCAAAAGGTACATTAAGGAGCCTAAAAGATATGTGGGACAAGCTAAAAAGGTCTAATATACTTGCAGCAGGAGTCCCAGCAGAGGCAGTGGAAACAATATTTGAAGAGATAACAGCTGAGAATTTTCCAACACACCCCACACCAGGCTATAGTTTTAAAACCAGCAACCCCAAGTACAATAAGTACATTAAAAAAAAAAAATACTCAGCATATAACAAAACTGATTTAAAACCCCAGAGGTGGCCAGGCTCAGGCCTGTAATCCCAGCACTTTAGGAAGCCGAGGTGGGCGGATCACAGGTGTTCGGGACCAACCTGGCAAAGATGGTGAAACCCCATCTCTACTAAAAATACAAAAATTATCCGGGTGTGGTAGAGGGCGCCTGTAATCCCAGCTACTCGGGAGGCTGGGACAGGAGAATTGCTTGAACCTGGGAGGTGGAGGCTGCAGTGAGCCCAGACTGCCCCACTGCACTTGAGCCTGGGTGACAGAGCAAGACTCTGTCTCAGAAAAAAACCCAGAGGAAAAAACAGGTATTGCCTTCAGAGGTACAAAAAACCTGACAGCTAATTTCTCAACAAAAACAATGGAAGTCAGAAGACAAATCTTCAAAGGGCTGAAAGTATTTAGAATGAGTTGGTTGACAAACTTTTTCTATAAAGGGTCAAGTAAGTAACTAACTAGATTTTTCCTTTTCAGGCTACATGTAGTCTCTGCTAAAACAAACCGACTTGGCCATCATACCACAAAAACAGGCATAGGCAACACGTCAACAAATAGGCATGGCTGTGTTCCAATAAAACTCGATTTATGGAGGCCGGGCGCGATGGTTCATGCCTGTAATCCCAGCACTTTGGGAGGCTGAAGTGGGTGGATCACCTGAGGTCATGAGTTCAAAACCAGCCTGACCAAAATGGAGAAACCCCGTCTCTACTAAAAATACAAAATTAGCCGGGCATAGTAGTGCATGCCTGTAATCCCAGCTACTCAGGAGGCTGAGGCAGGAGAATCGCTTGAACCCAGGAAGTGGACGTTGCGGTAAGTCGAGATCGTGCCATTGCACTCCATCCTGTGCAACGAGTGAAACTCCGCCTCAAAAAAAAAAAAAAACTTATGGAAACTAAAATCTGAGTTTCATATTTTTATTTCAAATCATTTTCACAGCACAAAATATTCTTTTGATATTCCCCCCCTCAACCATTAAAATTAAAAACCATTCTTAGCTTGTGGGTCACATAAAAACAAGGCAGCAGCCCATCTGGACAACGAGCCAGAGTTTGACACCCCCGATCTAGAATGATGACTAGTACATAATAGATGTCAAGTATCAGGCATTATTACCACTATTCAAAGATGTACCAAAACCAAAATTAAGCCCAGCAAGAATCAGTTGGATGTGCAAAAAAAGCAACAGCAAACCAGCAAAACATATTAAAAGTATGCAAATATGGAATGGGAAAGGAAGTTGTTTTAAACTAATTTCTGGATGTCATCAACTTAGAAGTTGTGGCAGGAAGAAAGTACCATGTTTGGAAGAAAAATTCTGATTAACTTTTGTTTAAAATAGGAAAGTACTGAAAAAATATAAACCTTTAAAGGGTGGAAATAAGCAGAGAAGGAAAAGCAGATAAAATCAGTAATCAAAATAAAAATGGGATAAATGTCTGTTAAAAGACTAAGACCTTCAGGGTTTAAAAACCTACATATAATTTTTACAAGAGGCAAATTTTAAAAACAACACAAACTTCAATGATCCAGCTAAAATATAAACAAAGTAACAAAGCCTGAAAACAAAAGGCACAGGAAGCTGTCCACAGGAACATCAATAAACAGAATTCCAAAAAATGCACATAACATGACCCAAAATTCTATATAATCCTGTTCATGATATAAAAGTGATTAAACAAAGAGCATGGATACCCCACACAAAACATACTGGTTATCTCTATGATGGAAAGACTGGCTTTAATGGTCAAGAAAATTTTAGGATTGAGTGAGGTGACATAAACAGTGCCGGTGCTGTGGCTCATGTGTGTAATCCCAGCATTTGGGAGGATGACGCAGGAGGACTGCTTGAGCTCAGGAGTTTGAGACCACCCTGGGCAACATGGCAAGACCCTGTCTCTACAACAACAGAACACCTAGCTGGACGTGGTGGTGCACACCTGTAGTCCCAGCTATGTGGGAGGTTCAGGTAGGAGGACAGCTTGGGCCTGGGAGGTCAAGGCTACAGTGAACCGTGATCATGCCACTGCACTTCAGCCCTGGAGACACAGCAAGACCCTGTCTCAACAACAACAAAAAAAAAAGGCTGGGTGCAGTGGCCACACCTGTAATCCCAGCACTCTGGGAGGCCGACGCAGGTGGATCACCTGAGGTCAGGAGTTTGATACCAGCCTGGACAACATGGTGAAACCCCGTCTCTACTAAAAATACAAAAATTAGCCGGGCATGGTGGTGGGCACCTGTAGTCTCAGCTACTCAGGAGGCTGAGGCAGGAGAATTGCTTGAACCCGGGAGGCAAAAGTTGCAGTGAGCGAGATCATGCCACTACACTACTACACTCTAGCCTGGGCAACAGAGCAAGAATGTACTCAAAAAAACAAAACAAAACAAAAAAAACAACAATGCACGCTGGGGAGGGCAGATCCTCATATGATAGAGACAGTAAGAGACAACATTAATGTATGATTTTTGTAATATAAAAAACATTGGCCGGGCGCAATGGCTCATGCCTGTAATCCCAACACTTTGGGAGGCCGAGGCAGGTGGATCACGAGGTCAGGAGTTCGAGACCAACCTGGCCAACATGGCGAACCCCGTCTCTACTAAAAATACAAAAATTAGCCGGACGTGGTGGTGGGCGCATGTAATCCCAGCTACTCGGGAGGCTGAGGCAGAAGAATCGCTTGAACCCAGGAGGCGGAGCTTGCAGTGAGCCAAGACTGTGCCACTGCACTCCAGCCTGGGCAACAGAGCAAGACTGTTTCCAAAAAAAAAAAGAAAAATTACATTTTAATACATTTAAAATATAATACAAGTAATATAAATTTTAAAACCACAGCCATATAAAAGAATGAAATCATATCCTTTGCAGCAACATGGATGCAGGTGGAGGGTATTAACCTAACTGAATTAACACAAACAGAAATCCAAATAGCGCATATCCTCACTTATAAGTGGGAGCTAAACTCTGGGTACTCACGAACATAAAGATGGTAACAACAGACACTGGGATCTACTGGTAGGGAAGGGAGGGGCAAAGGCAAAAACTATTGGGTACTATTCTCACTACTTGGTGACATGATCAATCATACCCCAAACGTCACCATCATAAAAATATCTATGTAACAAATCTGCACATGTACCCCCAAATCTCAAATAAGTTGAAATTATATTTAAAAAAAATCTTCAACATACACAATACATGGAAACGTCAAAATGTTAGGCACTGACTAGACAGCAAAATAGGCGGATAATTAAGTTGACCTATACTTGGGCTGGACGCAGTGGCTCATGCCTGTAATCCTAGCACTTTGGAGCCAAGGCAGGTGGATCACTTAAGGTCAGGAGTTCAAGACCAGTCTGGGCAACAGGGCGAGACCCCCATCTCTAAAAAAAAAAATACAAAAAGCCCAGCTTGATGGTGCCTGCCTGTAGTCCCAGCTACATAGGGGGCTGAGGTGGGAGGATTGCTTGAGCCAAGGAGGTCCAGGCTGCAGTGAGCTGAGATTGCACCACCACACTCCAGCCTGGGTGACAAAGTGAGACCCTGTCTCAAAAGCTGCACCATACTGAAGTTACTTTCAACTGTTTTAATACATAAAAATATTTCGGCTGGGCACGGTGGTTCACGCCTGTGATCCCAGCACTTTGGGAGGCCGAGGTAGGCGGATCACATGAGGTCAGGAGTTCGAGACCAGCCTGGCCAACATGGGGAAACCCTTTCTCTACCAAAAATACAAAAATTAGCCGGGCACAGTAGCGGGCGCCTGTAGTCCCAGCTACCTGGGAGGCTGAGGCAGGGGAATCGCTTGAACCTGGGAGGTGGAGGGTGCAGTGAGCCTAGATCGTGCTACTGCATTCCAGCCTGGATGACAAGTGAGACTCCATCTCAGGAAAAAAAAAAAAAAAAAAAAAAAAAATATATATATATATATATTTCATAAAACTACTATGCTTTATTTGTATTTCTGTGAAATAAAGAAATCTTATAATCTACCATGCATAATGGAAGAAAAAAATTCGAAGGAAATTTCAGAACACCAGCTGCAAAGAGAAAAGCCTGTGAGTTTCAGGAGAGAATAGGTTACAAGTAAGAAGACTGAAAGCCTTCAGACCTCTTGACTACACCAGAAAGCAGTATCTTCAAAATTATCAGACAGGCAAACCATAAAAACTGGACAAAATAAATAATTACTTGCAAGCACAGGAGAGCAATCACTGTAGGGCTACAATTACCAAAAGGCATCTATGAGGAGAGCCACACATTTACGATCATGCTGAACCATGGCACAGAACAACAAAGCCCAAGCAGAAGTGAGTGTTGTTGGCCGGGCGCAGTGGCTCACGCCTGTAATCCCAGCACTTTGAGAGGCCGAGGCGGGGAGATCACTTGTAGCCAGGAGTTCGAGACCAGCCTGGACAACGTGGAGAAACCCCGTTTCTACTAAAAATACAAAAATTAGCCAGGCGTGGTGGCGCACACCTTGTAATCCCAGCTACTCGGGAGGCTGAGGCAGGAGAATCGCTTGAACCCGGAAGGCGGAGGTGGCAGTGAGCCAAGATGGTGCCACTGCACTACAGCCTGGGCAACAAGAGCAAGACTCCATCTTGAAAATTAATTAAATAAATTAAAAAAAAATACAAACTGGTGTTTGGGTCTGTAAAGCAACTAGGATCTAGGGGCAATGCTATGGTTTGAGTATTTTTGTCCTCTCTAAAATTTCATGTTGAAACTTAATCCCCAATTAAGTATTGGGAGGTGTGGCCTTTGAGAGGTGATTGGATCATAGAGGCTCCTCCCCTTGTGAGCGGGGTTAGGAGCCCTTCTAACGGGGCTTGATGAAAGGAGTTCATCTCCTTTTTTGCCCTTTTGCTTTCTGCCATGCCAGGACACAGCACTCCTCCCCTCTGAAGGATGCAGCATTTCAAGTGCCATCCTGGAAGAAGAGACCAGGCCTTCACCAGCACCTTGATCTTGGACTCTCAGCTTCTAGAACTGTGAGAAAATAAATTTCTTCCTTTTTTTTTTTTTTTTTTTGAGGCAGTCTCGCTTTGTCACCCAGATTGGAGTGCAGTGGCATGATCTCAGCTCACTACAGCCTCCACCTTCCAGGTTCAAGTGATTCTTGTGCCTCAGCCACCTAAGTAGCTGGGGTTACAGACAAGTGCCACCACACTTGGCTAATTTTTGTATTTTTAGTACAGATGGGGTTTAGTACAGATGGGGTTAGCCACCACACTTGGCTAAATTTTGTATTTTTAGTATAGATGGGGTTTAGTACAGATGGGGTTTAGTACAGATGGGATTAGTACAGATGGGGTTTAGTACAGATGGGTTTAGTACATGTTGGCAAGACTGGTCTCAAACTCCTGCCCTCAAGGGATCCACCCACCTTGGCCCTTCAAAGTGCTGAGATTACAGGCATGGCTACCTTGCCCAGCCAAGAAAATAAACTTCTGTTCTTTATAAATTACCTAGTCTCAAGTATTCTGCCATGGCAGCACAAAATGGAGTAAGACATAGGATGATGGCGCTACAGAAGCCATAGAGAAGCCTTAACATTCTGCATAAAGATTCACCTCAAATCTTTGGCTAGTTCCTAATATGTGTAGGTGGAGGGCAAGCCTCCAAGACAACTAGTGGCATCGACTGTGAGACTGAGAGCTGACTAGAGATTTCAGAGGTTGCATAGTGCTGAGGAGCTGGGACAGTCTGAATCCAGAAAGATAGAGATACTGGCAAACAGTTGAGATGCCACAAAAGCCATGCCCTAGAAGGATGGAGCACACCCTAGGAGAAAGGAGTATGACCAAACCGATACACCCACACCTGCAAATCTTAAAACATGCCCCAATGGGATCAGAATCATCTGCCAATAATTTAGCTATCTGGCAGACAAAACTTAACATTTTTTAGAAGGAGCTATGTATCATACAACATATCCAGCATACAAACAAAACTGCTAGACATGTGAAAAAGCAAAACCAGGGCCAGGTATAGTGGCTCATGACTGTAATCCCAGCACTTTGGGAGGCTGAGGCAGGTGGACAAATTGAGCCCAAGAGTTTGAGACCAGCTTGGGCAATATACCAAAACCCTGTCTAAAAAAAGTACAAAAATTAGCCGGGCATAGTGGCACATGTCTGTGGACCCAGCTTCACAAGAGGCTGGGGTGGGAGGGTTGCCTGAGCCCAGGAGGTCACAGCTACAGTGAACTGTGAGCGTTGTCACTGTACCCCAGTCTGGGGGTAACCAAGACTCTGTCAAAAAAAAAAAAAAAAAAATGAAAAGTGAGAGAGAGAGAGAAAGGAAGGAAGGGAGGGAGGGAGGGAAAGGAAAGAAGGGAGGGAGGGAGGGAGGGAGGGAGGGAAAGGAGGGAAAGGAGGGAAGGGAGGGAAGGGAGGGAAGGAAGGGAAGTGAGGGAAGGAAGGGAAAGGAAGGGAAGGGAAGGGAAGGAAGGAAGGAATGAAGGAGAAATCAAGCAAGCCAAAACAACGAGGCCAGGCATGTGGCGCATACCTGAAATCCCAGCACATTGGGCGGCTAAGGTGGGTGGATTGCTTGAGCCCAGGAGTTCGAGACCAGCCTGGACAACACAACGAAATTCCATGTCTACAAAAAATACAAAAATTAGCTGGGCATAATGACATGTGCCTGTAGTCCCAGCTATTAAGGAGGCTGAAGTGGGAGGATCACTTGAGCCTGGGAGGCAGAGGTTGCAGTGAATGGAGATCAAGCCACTGCACTCTAGTCTGGGCAAGACTCTGTCTCAAAAAAAAAAAAAAAAAGACAAGACAAAAACAATCAAGAGATAAACAACCCAAAAGGAGCAGATGTAGACAGTACCTATATATTAGTTTTAACCCATAAACACTTCAGACGAACTGTAAAGTAATATGCAAAATATTAAAGAGGTGGTCAGTTAAGATTATAAGCTGTAATCTCTACAGCAACCACTTAAAAAAAAGATAAAAGGGAAAATAGGAACACACAGGACAACTAAAAATAAATAGCAAAATGACACACTGAAATTCACCTATGCCTGTAAAAAAAAAAAAAAAATCACAAATAAAATAATAAACCAATTAAAAGACAGAAATAGGCCAGGCATGGTGGCTCACGCCTATAATCCCAGCCCTTTGGGAGGCAAGATCTCATCACGACAAAAAAAATAAAAAAAATTAAAATTAAAATTAACTGTCACAGGCCTGTAGTCCCAGCTACTCAGGAGGCTGACGTGGGAGAACTGCTTGAGGCTGCAATGAGCCAAGATCACACCACTTCACTCCAGCACTGCAGCCTGGGTGAGAAAGAGAGATCCTGTCTCAAAAAATAAAAAAAATTAAAAAAAAAAAAAAATAGACAGAAATAGGCTGGATCAAGGAACTTGAGGCTGCAGTGAGCTGTGTTCATGCCACTAAATTCCACCCTGGGCAACAGAGGAAGACCCTGTCTCAAAAAAAGAAAAAAGAAACAGGCTGGATCAAAACCACGACCAAACTACAAGCTATTTAGGGGAAATATACTATAAACATATGAACATAAATAGGTTGAAGCAAAAATAAAATATATACCATAACACTAATCATAAAAAAAAGGAGGTATGGGCCAGGCATGGTGGTTCACATTTGTAATCCCAGAACTTTGGGAGGCTGAGGTAGACAGATCTCGTAAGCCTAGGGGTTTGAGACCAGCCTGGGCAACCTGGCGAGATCCCATCTCTACCAAAAACAAAACTACAAAAATTGCCTGAGCATGGTGGTACACGCCTGTAGTTCCAAATACTGGGAGGATCACTTGAACTCAGGAGGCAAAGACTGCAGTGAGTGAAGATCAAGCCACTGCACTCCAGCCTGGGTAACAGAGCCAGATCCGGTCTCAAAACAAACCAACCAACCAACCCAGAAGAGGTAGGTATGGCTTTATTTTTATCAGAAAAGCAGTATTATCAGGGATAAAGAGGGGCATTTCAAAATGATAAAAGGATAAGTCCATCAGGAAGACAGAATCATATGTGTGCACACATCCATAACCATATATGCAATGACTAACACAGCTTCAAATTATATCAAGCCTGACAGAACTAAACTGAGGAATGGACAAATCCACATTCATACCTAGCTATCAATCAAATACCAGAACAGAATGAAGGCCAGGTGCAGTGGCTCTCACCTGTAATCCTAGCATTTTGGGAGGCTGAGGAGGGCGTATCACTTGAGGCCAGGAGTTCAAGACCAGCCTGGCCAACAGGGTGAAATCCCGTCTCTACTAAAAATACAAAAATTCACCGTGTGTAGTGGCACACACCTGTAATCACAGCTACTTAGGAGGCTGAGGCGGGAGAATTGCTTGAACCCTGTGGTAGAGATTGCAGTGAGCCAAGATCACACCACTGCACCCCAGCCTGGGAGACAGAGTGAGACTGTCTCAAAAAAAAAAAAAAAAAAAAGACATTTTCAGAAATTCAGCCTAAAAAACATACCTCTCACAAACCCTTTCTCAAGAAGCTGCTGAAGCATGTACTTCAATAAAACAACAGTAATCCAAAAAAGAGACGCTGCAAACAAAAGATCAACATGAGAGAGAGGAAGGAAATCCCTAGGAGTGGGAAGGAGACAGCGGTGGGAGATGGTGAAATAGCACTGATTCTCTACTAACACCACATTACTTGTAGTTACGGACTGGAACACAGTGATTCAAAAGCTGGCATTCTGAGGGTTGTCATCAACAAGATACCTGCGGCCACTGTACCAACTTTTTATTAACCTGAGGGCAGAATGCCTGGGTGAGCCTGGCCCAGATTCTTAACTGTACTTGGTTTGGCTTATCTTGAACATGTTCTGATGACATCTGTCTTTCCCCTCCATACCAGACTGCCTTGGATCAGATGAGAACAGTCATTTCATGTCACAGAAGTGTTCTGCTTTAATCTACTCCTGAGTGGTGGCTATTCACCAGTGAACCAAGATGCAGAAAATGCATAGCATCCCACTCCCTCTAATTATATTCGTACCAAAAATTCAATACCTAGTCTACACTCTGACCCTGTCACACGGCCCAACTATGTTGAGCCCCATGCTTCTCATGACCTTGCCAATAACCTCCCCAAACGGGACTTCTGTAAACTCTCAGGAAAGTCAAAGCCAGGCTATACCTGGAAATTCAATTCAGCTCATCTTTTCCTGGGAGGCTTTGTCCAACAGTAGCAAAATTTCTTTTCTTTTCTTTTCTTTTTCTGAGACAGAGTCTTACTCTGTTGCCCAGGCTGGAGTGCAGTAGCATGATCTCGGCTCACTGCAGCCTCCACCTCCTGGGTTCAAGCGATTCTCCTGCCTTAGCCTCCGAAGTAGCTGGGATTACAGGCGCATGCTACCACGCCCGGCTAATTTTTTTTGTATTTTTAGTAAAGACAGGGTTTCGCCATGTTGGCCAGGCTGGTCTCGATCTCCTGACCTCAAGTGATCCACCAACCTCGGCCTCCCAAAGTGCTAGGATTACCGGCGTGACCCACCACACCTGGCCCCAACAGTAGCCAAATTTCTAGACACAGCTGCTTTACACTGCTAAATTTGCTTGGTGTTGCCACATTGCTCCCAGTAAGGCTGTATCATTCTATACTATCTCCAGCAATACATGAGTGGTTTCATTTCTTCTTAGCTAACACTAGCTAGTGTAATTTAAAAAATAAATGATAACCTAAGTCTTGGCAAAGGGCCCACGGATGCATCTTTTAGATCTCACATGTCTGAAAGGAAAAAAAAACCTCCACCAATTAGACAAAAGATTATGCAAACCAAGGCAATATTAATTCCAGTTATAGTTTGTTAACTAAATTTTATATTAAGACTATAAGTGATATTAATCCCAGTTATAGTTTATCAACTGAATATTACATTAAGAATATATCTAAGTGGTAAAGTCTTTAAGGAAAGCAAGGGAACTATTAAGAAAAATGTCAAGATAGTGGCTATCTACTAGGTGGATTCAATCAGAAAATTTGTCATAAAGAACAGATAATGTTCTATTTCTTAACTTGGGTGCCTACATGGGCACCCATTTTATTATTATTCTTTAATGCATATATATTTGTTATATATGTTGTTATAACACATTTAAAGAGTGTTATGTCTTAATACACTATTCTGTACATGTGTCACACAATTAAAGATTAGGAAAAAAAAGAATGAGCAACCTCTATGCTCTGATATGGAAATACTTCAAAGATATGTTACTGAATGATTTAAAAAACACATAATTGGGCTGAGCACGGTGGCTCACACCTGTAATGCCAGCACTTTAGGAGACTGAGGTGGACATGGATTGCTTGAGCTCAGGAGTTCAAGATGAGCCTGAGCGACAGGGCAAAACTCCATCTCTACAAAAAAATACAAAAAATTAGGTAAGCATGGCGGCATGTGCCTGTAGTCCCAGCTACTTGCGGGGATTTAGGCAGGAGGACTGCTTGAGTCCAGCAAGTCGAGGCTGCAGTAAACCGTGTTCACATCACTGCACTCCCACTTAGGTGACAGAGCGAGACCCTGTCTCAAAAACAAAACAAAATCAAATCACATAATTAAGAGATTGAAACACAAACCATAACCAGGCACAGTGACTTACGCTTGTAATCAGCATTTTGGGAGGCCAAGGTGGGTGGATCACTTGAGCCCAGGAGTTCGAGACCAGCCTGACCAACATGGTGAAACCCCATCTCTACTAAAAATACAAAAATTAGCTGGGCTATGGTGGTGCGCACCTGTAATCCCAGCTACTCGGGAGGCTGAGGCAGGAGAATCACTTGAACCTGGGAAGGGGAGGTTGCACTGAGCCAAGATCACGCCACTACATTCCAGCCTGTGTGACAGAGCAAGACTCCATCTCAAAAAAAATAAAAATTAAAAACATAAATAAATAAAATGGCTAAAATCCAGAACACTGACAACACAAAATGCTGGTGAGGATGCAGGGCCGTAGAAACTCTCATTCAGGAGGTTCCCTCTCTCGGCTTTGGAGCCCCCCTCCCTCTGTCTCTGTCAGGGGAGCCTCTTCCTTCTGCCTTCTCTTTTCTTTCTTGCCTATTAAACTTTCCGCTCCTTAAAACCAAAAAAAAAAAAAAAAAAAAACTCTCATTCATTGCTGGTGAGAATGTGGGAATGTAAAATGGTACAGCCACATTGAAGGGAGTTTGGCAGTTTCTTACAAAATTAATTATATTCTTAGTGTATGATCCAGGGGCCTTGGTATTTATCCAAATGAGTTGAAAACATGCCCCCAAAAAACCTGCACACAGATGTTTATAACAGCTTTATTTATAATTGCCAAAACTTAGAAGCCACTAAGTTTATCTGTTCCTTCAATATGTGAATGGATAAATAAACCGTGGTACATCACATCATGACATATTCAGTACTAAGAAGAAATGAGTTATCAAGCCAAGAAAAGACTTGGAGGAACCTTCTCTTTTTTTTTTTTTGAGACAAAGTCTCGCTCTGTTGCCCAGGCTGGAGTTCAGTGGCGCGATCTCAGCTCACTGCAAGCTCCGCCTCCTGGCTTCACGCCATTCTCCTGCCTCAGCCTCCCGAGTAGCTGGGACTACAGGCGCCCGCCACCACGCCTGGCTAATTTTTTGTACTTTTTTTTTTACTAGAGACGGGGTTTCACCGTGTTGGCCAGCATTGTCTTGAACTTGGAGAAACCTTAAATGCATATTTCTAAGTGAAGGAAACCAATCTAAAAAGGCTACCTACTGCATGAATCCAACTATATGACATTCTAGAAAAGACACGACTAGGGAGATGAGACAGTAGAAAGATCAGTGGGTGTTAGGGACTTAGGGAGACAGAGGGAGAGGTGCATAGGCGGAGCACGGGATTTTCAGGGCAGTGAACCTATTCTGTATGATGCCATAGTGATGGATACATGTCATTATATATTGGTCAAAATACACAGAATGTACACAGAGAGTGATCCCTACTGTAAACTATGGTCTTTAAAGTATCAATATTGGCTCATCAACTGTAACAATATACATTAATGCATATATTAATAATAAAGGAAACTGGGGGTAGGGGTTGGGAATGAGGGGGTATATGGGAACACACTGCATTCCCCATTCAATTTTTCTGTAAACCCAAAACTGCTCTAAAAAAAATGAAATCTATTAAAACAGAACGCATATAAACAGAACAGTATGATTAACATGCTATCTTACGTTTGTGCTTTTATTTGTACTTGTGTAATTATGTACAAATAAGCTCTGGAAAGCTACACAAGAAAGTAATGACAGTGGTACCTGCTTGGGGTGGAGGGATTTAAATACAAACCCACATATTTACTGCATTCTCTGGCATTAGGCTAATCTGACTGGAAAAACCAAATACATACAATAATCTTCTGCACTTGCACTGAGGAATGTTATATGAAACAACCACAGATAAAGTGATAACCCTTTCAAAGTTGGTTGTTTCTGGGGGTGCTGTCCAAAACACCATCTATATGAAGGTCCATAAAATTTATTCAGACCTAATGTACAGAACCAAATAATTGGTATTCATAACCAATGCAAGACATTTAATTAACTCAATTTGCTTTTTGGCTGCTGGTATTGATTAGTTATTCTTGCTATGTTTCCTTTGTGTCTTATTCATACTTTTCTATTTCATTTTCTGGATCCTTATAAACTTCCTTAAATGCACTGAAAAGCAAAATGGGGAATAAACAAACAACTCACCTGGGATTTGTTCATTTTCTGCAGTTTTGGGCAAAGGCAGAGAACTATGAAGGCAGAACTGGAATAGAGGAAAAAGGAAGGCATTGTTATTAAAGGTCTGACCTGCCTTACAACTCCTAGAATGACTTGTTTAGAAACCCCTAGAGACCACCTGGGAAAATACCACCTCCTGGGAAAGTCCCTTTGCCTCTTCAGAAGGGGCAGAAAAGATCATACTAACAGCACCTATCTTCAATCTAACATTATCAGACACCCATAAAGGCAAGACTAAGATAATCCACTATCAAAAGAGGCAAAACAATCAACAGAACCCTCAACTGCTGAAATTATCAGACAGGGCATTTAACACAACTATGATTCATATACTAAAGGCTTTACTAGAAAAGGTGGACAACATGAATAAACAAATAGGGAATTTCAGCAGAGATGGAAACTGCAAGAAAAAATCAAATGGAAATGCTAAGAAAAGTACAGTAACAGAGTTGATCTTTCAGCAGGTTCATTAGTAGACAAAGGAGCTAAGAAAAGTTTCAGTAAACTTGAAGATAGGTCAAACTGAAACTCAAAGAGAAATGGAAGAAAAACATAAAAGGATAGAGCATCCAAGGGCTGTGAGACAATATCAAATGGTCTAATAAACATGTAACTGAAATTCCAAAAGGAGAAAAGAAGTATTTGAAGACATAATGGACAAGAATTTTCCAAAAATAATAATATGAAACCACAGGTCCAAGAAACTCAATTTATCCAAACAGGGAAAATACCAAAAACTAAACTCAAACAAAAACACACATGGACACATCGTATCCAAACAAATGAAAACCAAAGTTAAAATCTTCAAAGTAGCCAGAGGAAAAAAGACATATTATATGTAGAAAAATCAAGATAATGAATCATAGCCACCTTCTCATCAGAAACTAAGCCAGAAAACAAAGTAGTGACATCCTGAAAGTGCTTTCACAACAACAAAAAAGCAACTAAAGCAAAAAACTATTAACTCAGAATTCTATACCCAGCAAAAATATCTTTCAAAAATGATAATGAAGTAAAAAACCTTTTTCAAACAACAAAAACATAGCGAATTCATTATCAGTAGACCTGCACTAGAAGAAATGTTTAATGAAGTTATTTAAATAGAAGAAATATGATATCAGACAAAAACCTGAATCTACACAAATAAATGAAAATCTCGAGAATCGTTAAAATGAGGATCAACACAATAGATACTTTTTCTTGCTTTTAATCACTGTGAAAGATTATCTAAAGCAAAAATAGTAGCAAAGTTTTGTGGGTTTACAGCATATGTCAATATTCTGCAACATGTATGACAACAATAATGCAAAAGACGGGAGGATGAAATTGGGAGTATAATGTTCCAAGTATATTGACATAAAACAGTATGATATCTTTAAAGTTCCACTAAACTTTAGGGTAACAACCAAAAACTCTGTTAAATTTTTACAAATATACAATAAGACAACAGTGGAGATAAAATGTAATTATAAAAAAGACCCACTTAAGACAAAAGTAGACAGAAAAAAAGGTAAACAGAAACAAAGACCAAATAAGAAAAACAGAAAAAAACCAGCAAGATGGTAGACTTTAACACAACTATATCAATAATTGGCATAAACACACCAATTAAATAACAGAGGTCAAATTATATAAAAAAAGTAAGACCAAACCATGTGCTGTCTATAAGCAGTTTGTTTAAAATATAAAAACATAGCTACATTCAAAGTAAAAGGATGATCAGTTGTAGGAGTCAGGAAATTAAAAAAAAAAAAGATAAAAGAATGGAAAAAGAGGGTCAGGCACAGTAGCTCATGCCTGTAAACCCAGCACTTTGGGAGGCAAAGGTGGGTGGACTGCTTGAGCCCAGGGGTTTGAGACCAGCCTGGGCAACATGGCAAAACCTCGTCTCTACAAAAAATACAGAAAATTAGCTGAGTGTGGTGGCTCACACCTTGAGTCCTAGCTACTCCGGAGGCTGAGGCAAAAGGATTAGGGCGCACACCTGCAGTCCTAGCTACTCGGGAGGCTGAGGCAAAAGGTTTGAGGTTGCAGACAGCTGTGACTGAACCACTGCACTCCAGCTTGGGCAACAGAGACAGACCCTGTCTCAATCAATCAATCAATCAAGGAAGATTCTACGATCAACAGCACAATATTTATTCAAATACACACGAAACAGTTACCCAGAGAGATCATCATATCCTCGACCTTAAAACAAACTACAACAGGCCTGGTGCAGTGGCTCACGCCTGTAAAGCACTTTGGGAGGCCAAGGTCAGCGGATCACTTGAGACCAGGAGTCTACTAAAACAAAATGAAACAAAAATACAATACAAAAACAAACCACAACAAATTTAAAATAATTGAAATTCGTAACACAGTATTCTGACCAAATCAGAATTAAACTATAAATCAATAATATAAAAAGATCTGGGCCGGGTGCGATGGCTCACGCCTGTGATCCCAGCACTTTGCAAGGCCGAGGCAGGTGGATCACCAGGTCAGGAGATAGAGACCATCCTGGCTAACACGGTGAAACCCCGTCTCTACTAAAAATACAAAAAAAAATAAAAAAATTAGCCAGGTGTAGTGGCGGGCGCCTGTAGTCCCAGCTACTCTGGAGGCTGAGGCAGGAGAATGGTGTGAACCTGGTAGGCGGAGCTTGCAGTGAGCCGAGATCTCGCTACTGCACTCCAGACTGGGCAACAGAGCGAGACTCTGTCTCAAAAAAAAAAAAAAAAAGATCTGGAAAATCTCCAAAAACTTGGAAATTATGCAATACAATCTAAATAAATAAGGGTAAAAAATGAAGTCACAAGGGAAGTTAAAAAAATTTGAATTGAATGGTAATGAAAACACAATAAAAAGGCTGGGTGCAGTGGTTCATGCCTGTAATCCCAGCACTTTGGGAAGCCAAGGCGGGAGAATCACTTGAGGTCAAGAGTTCTAGAGCAGCCGGGCCAACATGGTGAAACCCCGTCTCTACTAAAAATACAAAAATCAGCCAGGTGTAGTGGCGGGTGCCTGTAATCCCAGCCAGGAGGACTGCTTGAACCCGGGAGGCAGAGGTTTCAGTGAGCTGAGTGCCACTGCACTCCAGCCTGGGTGACAGAGTGAGACTCAGTCTCAAAAACAACAACAACAGAAAAGAAAATACAAGATATAAAAATTTGAGTGATGTAGTTAAAGTAGTATTTAGAGGAACAGTTACATCAATAAATTGTGTCTGGCCGGACGCGGTGGCTCACGCCTGTAATCCCAGCTACTCGGGAGGCTGAGGCAGAGCACTACTTTAACCCAGGAGGCGGAGGTTGCAGTGAGCCGAGATCAAGCCACTGCACTCCAGCCTGGACGACAGAGCGAGACTCCGTCTCAAAAAAAAAAAAAAAAAAAAGAAAGTAAAGAAAAGAAACGGTACAATACAAAAATATAGTATTACAATCACATAGGACCACCATTTTACATGAGGTCCCTCGTTGACAGAAACACTGTTACGCAGAGCGTGACTGCACCAGAATCATGGGAAAACTTTCGTATTTCAAAGTAGTGAAGAATTTTGGGTGCCCCAAACGGAAAGAACAGTAAATTCCACCCGAGAGAAATTTAAAACGTCAAAACGTATACATGGCAAAATCTACCAGCGAGTAAAATCAAAAGATAAATGAAAAAATATCTGCTGCTCACATAAAGTACCACCGGGTTGTGAGACCTTAGGGAAATCACTTTCCCCTTCTGAACCTCCCGTGTTCCTGGGATAGCGACGGAGATGATAACGCTGGAAGTCACGGGGTGGATGCGAGGATCAGGGGAACACCTCACTGAAGACCCTCTGACAAAGGGATCACGGTTCTCCTTCACCACCGGCAACTGACCAGGCTCCAGTCCTTCCTCCACCCACGAGGCACCGGGCATCGGGGCGTGGCCAGGTGTGTCAGGCCACGCCCCCACCACGCCCCGGCGGGGCCTCGTCCCGCGCGCGCGCGCCCGCCGGGGCTCCAGAACTCGCTCCCGCGCGGCCCGAGCCCTTCGCCGCCCGTCTGAGGCGCATCTCCTGACAAAGAGAAGAAGGCGAAGCCTCATAGCCGCCCTTCCCTCCGCCGTCCCCGCCCCCGCACGTTCGGCCAGGCGTGCCCCGCCGGCCCCGTTCAGAGGCGAGCGCCGGGCAACCCCGGACGCCGCCCTGAGGGTCACTGCCGCCTACGAGTAGCCGAAGTTTGGGCTCCCACCCTGCGCGGGCACGAGCCCATCCCTCATCTCCTTCCCCTCGGCCCCAGGCCGCGCGGAGCTACCTGGAAGCCCCTCTCGTACCTGGAGGGGCGCAGCCTCCACTCGTGGCCCAGTGCCACAGCGGGTCACGGCGCAGGGCGGCGAAGACGCGCGGAGACGGGGGCTCTGTCACCCACTCGCCGCTGGTGGTGGGGGAAGGGCGGCCACCGGCGCGCTCGCAGCACTGCACATGCGCAGAAACAGGGGCGCGGGCCGTTCCCAGGGTCCTCGGAGGGGTGGACCATCCACGTTCGGGACTACATTTCCCACAAGCCTCCGGGGCCGCGGCTTTAGGGACTCTCAGGAAAGTCTTCGCCTTGTTAGGCGGTCTGATGAGCCGACCAAAATAATCTCCTTAGCCTGCACTGTTTTCTTTTTTCCCAGAGTGGGTCGTGAACTACAATTCACCACCTCCCCCTTAAATACAACAACTTGGCTTTTAAACATTACACAAATAATCTATAACTGTATTTAATTAGAATATATGTACAAAATAAAGTATCCATAATCTCACTTTCTAAAGATTAACTGCGTATAACATTAAGTTCGCACTTTGATTTTTTTGTTGTTGTTACAAAACTGGCCATAAAGGTATCATGTGCTGCAACTAGCTTTTTTCCCTTTTTTCCCAGGCCACTTTGTTGAGGTATATATATTTGTTGAGATCTATATATTTAAGATGTACAACTTGATATCTACATTTGTGAAATATTCACCATAATCAAGCTAATTAACATGTGCATCACCTCACATAGTTATTTGTCTGATGAGAACACTTAAGATCTATCTTCTTAGCAAATTTCAAGTACACAATATTGTCAACTATCGTCACATAGCTGTGCATCTCCCCAGAACTACTCATCTTGCATAACTGAGACTTTGTACCCCTTGACCACCATCTTCCCATTTCCCTTCACCCTCAGTTCCTTTCATCCTTTAGAACAGTTTTAGGTTCACAGCAAAATTTGAGCAGAAAATACATTGAATTCCCATATAACCCATGTCCCCCCAGCACACACAACCTCCCCAAAGTTGATATCCCACACCAGAACAGTGTATTTGTTACAATTGGTGAACCTACAGTTAAATATCAGCACCTGGCCAGGCTCAGTGGCTCACACCTGTAATCCTAGCACTTTGGGAGCCTGAGGCAAGCAGATTGCTTGAGCCGAGGAATTTGAAACCAGCCTGGCCAAAATGGTGAAACCTCATCTCTTAAAAAAAAAAAAAAAATACAAAAATTAGCCGGGCATGGTGGCACGCACCTGTAGTCCCAGCTACTCGGGAGGCTGAGGTGGGAGGATCACTTGAGCCTGGGAGGCTGAGGTTTCAGTGAGCCAAGATTGTGCCACTGCACTCCAGCTTGGGTGACCCTGTCTCAAAAAGTATAAATTAAAAAACAAAATCATTGGCACCCAAAGTCCATAGCTTACATTAGTGTTCACTTGATGTTGTACATTCTATGGGTCTTGACAAATGCCTGTAACCATTACAGTATCGTACAGAATAGTTTCACTGCCCCCCAAAAAATCATCTGTGCTCCATTTATTCATCCATCCCACAACCCCTGGAAATCTCTGATATTTTTACTGTCTCCATAGTTTTGCCTTTTGCAGGTTGTCATATAGGTGGAATCATACATATGTTGCTTTTTCAGATTGGCTTCTTTCATTTAGTAATATACATTTAAGTTTCCCTCATGTTTCCCTCAAGTTACCCTGGCTTTTTTTTTTTTTTTTTTTTTTTGACACAGGGTCTCACTCTGTCACCCAGGTTGGAGTGCAGTGGTGCGATCATGGCTCACTGCAGCCTCCACTTCCTGGGCTCAAGTGACCCTCCCAGTTCAGCCTCCCAAGTAGCTAAAACTACAGGCATACACAGCCATGCCTGGGTAATTTTTTGTATTTTTTGTAGAGATGGCATTTTGCCATGTTGCCCAGGCTCGTCTCAAACTCCTGGGATCAAGAAATCCTCCTGCCTTGGCCTCCCAAAGTGCGGGGATTATAGGGATGAGCCACTGTGCCCAGCCTCAGTTCGTTTTAGTGCTGCATAATATTCTACTGTCTGCATGTACCAGTGTTTTAAATCCATTCACCTACTGAAGATACATTGGTTGCTTCTAAGTTTTGGCAACTATGAATAAAGCTGCTCTAAACATCTGTGTTCAGGTTTTGTGAGGATATAAGTTTCCAGTTCATTTGGGTAAATCGTATGGTTGCGGCCGGGTGCAGTGGCTCACGCCTGTAATCCCAGCACTTTGGGAGGCCGAGGCGGGCGGATCACGAGGTCAGGAGATCGAGACCATCCTGGCTAACACAGCGAAACCCTGTCTCTAATAAAAATACAAAAATAAAAATTAGCCGGGCGTGGTGGCGGGCACCTGTAGCCTCGGCTACTTGGGAGGCTGAGCCAGGAGAATGGCGTGAACCTGGGAGGCGGAGCTTGCAGTGAGCCGAGATTGCACCAATGAACTCCAGCCTGGGCGACAGAGCGAGACCCCGTCTCCAAAAAAAAAAAAAAAAATTAGCATGGTTGCTGGATTGTGTGGTAACAGTATGTTAATGAGACAGGAGAGTTCCCTGGACCCCTTCGCGGGACTTGTCGTGGCTAGCTTACTCAGCCACTGTGCTAAAACCCCTTATGGGAGGGGGAGCACAGAGGCAAGTGGGTGCCAGGGCCAGGGTGAGCACCTTTGGGCTCTGGCCCCATGGTAGCATCTAGGGGTGTGTTACAATTAATGCTCTTCTAGCAGTTGCCATCCATGGACAGCTAAGCGTTAACCAGCTCAGTGGAGAGTGAGGGTGACAGCCTTTTACACCCTGCCCTCTTAATACCCAGGTCCTTGTCCAGCATCCAGAAAGGATCAGGTCACATGGACTTGAAGAATGGTAAATGCAGAGGTTTTATTGAGTGAGGGAGGTGGCTCTCAGCAGGATGGGGAGCTGGAAAGGGGATGGCGTGGGAAGATAATCGTCCCCTGGAGTTCTGCTGTCCCTGGCCAAATTCCTCTCTGACCATCCAGCTACCTCTTCAATGCTCAATTGCTTCTTCTCTTTTCTCCTTCTCCACCACCTTGCTCTGCAGCTCTGCCCCTCTGCCCCTCTGCTGCTCTTCTGTTTGTGGAGCCTGGGATTTGGGGTTCTTATGGGCACAGGATAGAGAGCAGGGTGGGCCACAATGGTCTTGGAAAAGGCAACGTACAGGCGTGAAAACAGGAATGCCTGTTCTCATTTAGGGCCATGGGTCCAAGCTTGAGGGTAAGAACCCTCACCAGGAATCCCGCCCTCCTGCCTCCTGTCCATATCATTAGTTTTGTAAGAGACTGCCAACACTGTCTTCCAAAGTGGCTGCATCATTTTGCACCCACCAACAATGAATAAGAATTCCTGTTGCTCCAATTTCTCACCAGCATTTGTTGTCAGTGTCTTGAATTTTGGCCATTCTAATAGGTATGTAGTGGTAGCAGCTTGCTTTTAATTAAAACAATATCCTCAAACAGGTTCATAGAAAGGTGTTTACACCAATGTTCATAGCAGCATTATTCACAATATCCAAAGGTGGAGACAATCCAAGTGTCCATTAGCTGATGAATGGATACAGTGGAATATTATTCAGCCATATCAAAGAATGACGTTCTGGTACACGCTACAACGTGATTAAAACTTGAAAATACACTAAGTGAAATAAGCCAAGCTGGAGGTAGTGGCATGTGCCTGTGGCCCCAGCTACTCAGGAGGCCGAGGCAGGAAGATCACTTGACCCAGGAGTTCGAGGCTGCAGTGACCTATGATTGCACGACTGCACTCCAGCCTGGGTAGTAGAATGAGACTCTGTTTCTTAAAAGAAAAGAAAAGAAAAAAAGAAAGAAGGCAGACACAAAAGGACAAATACTGTATGATTCCATTTATATGACGTACCTAGGATAGGCAAATTTATAAAGACAGAAAGTAAAACAGAGTTACCAGGGACTGGAATAAAAAGGGATGGGGAGTTAGTGCTTAAACGGTATAGCGTTTCTGTTTGGGATAATGAGAAAGTTCTGGAAGGAGAAAGTGGTGATGGATATACAACATTGTGATGTGAGTGTACACATCAAATTTTTCTGAAGATCTTATTATACCAACATTTAAAAATTATAAATTACCATAACCTATAATCTTATGGAAAGATGTATATACAAGAATGTTCCTCACATTGCCATTTATATTTGCAAAACCTTGGGAAGGATCTAAAAATCTTTTAGTAGGTAAACGTAAAATAAATTGTGGTGATATGTAAGGAGAATTTGGGGAAACACTAAAAAGGATAATGTGTATTACCCACGTGGGGGTTATTTCATTGAGAAATGAAATAATACTGATCACACAAGAATATGTGCAGCGTAATCCTATTTTTGTAAAAAACTATGCATATTTTAAAAAGACTAAACACTGAACTATACGAAGAGAATGGAGAACTCCCCCCACACACACATACACACAAGATAAATTCCCCTTACCGCCTTATGTGTAACAGCACTGAGTAAGCACCACGTGTGTGGGCTGTACTTTTCAAGACCTTCTAAAATTCACAACCACATTGTCCTCTATTAATTTTCCCTGAAAAATAAAGAGAAAGTGTAGCGGGTGTTTCTGAGAAACACATTGCTGACCTGGCCAGCTCATGCAGAGGTTCTAAATGTTGACACCTTTTATTATACAGTATCAAACAACTACATTAATATCACCACTGGTGGCCGGTGCAGTGGCTCATGCCTGTAATCCCAGCACTTTGGGAGGCCAAGGCAGGCAGATCCCTTGAGCCCAGGAGTTTGAGACAAGCCTGGGGAACATGGCAAAACCATCTCTACCAAAAAAATAAACAAAAATTAGGTGGGCGCAGTGGCATGCACCTGTAGTTCCAGCTACTCTGGAAGCTGAGGTGGGAGGTTCACTTGAGCCCAGGAGGTTGACGCTGCAGTGAGCTGTGATCATGCCACTGCATTCGAGCCTGGGCAATAGAGTGAGACTATGTCTCAAAAAAAAAAAAAAAAAAAAAAGATTCACCTCCTGGATCCCCAGAAAAGGGCTTGGAGACCCCAGGGTCTGTAGATCATACTTTAAATGTAATAACAATATTATCACACATAAAAAATTAACAGGGCTGGGCACAGTGGCTCACGCCTGTAATTCCAGCACTTTGGGGGGCCAAGGCGGGCAGATCATCTGAGGTCAAGAGTTCGAGACCAGCCTGGCCAACATATTGAAACCCCATCTCTACTAAAAACACACAAAAAAATTAGCTGGGCCTGGTGGCATGCACCTGGAGTCTCAGCTACTTGGGAGGCTGAGGCAGGAGGATTGCTTGAACTCGAGGGGCGGAGGTGGCAGTGAGCCCAGATCACACCATTGCACTCCAGCCTGGGCAACAAGAGTGAGACTCCATCTCAAAAACAAAAACAAAACAAAAAATTCAGGCCCAGTGAATCCACGTACTCAGATTGTGTGATGTCTTCTCATATATACATTTCCCCTCTATATCTTTTTTTTTATTTGCCATTTAGTTGTTGAAAACACTGGGTTATTTATTCTAAGGAAATTCTATATGGTCTGGATTTTCCTAACCATGTTAAATTTTGTATATCAATTGTCAAAGTCAAATAAAATATAGAAATGAATCTCTAAATGTAAAATGTTTTATTTGGGGACTGGGTGCAGTGGCTCAGGCCTGTAATCCCAGCACTTTGGGAGGCCAAGGTAGGCAGATCACTTGAGGTCAAGAGTTCAAGATCAGCCTGGCCAATATGGTGAAACCTCATCTCTACTAAAAATATAAAAATTAGCTGGGTGTGGTGATGGACACCTGTACTCCCAGATACTTGGGAGGCTGAGGCAGGAGAATCACTTGACCCTGGAGGCCAAGGTTGCAGTGAGCTGAGATCGCACCACTGCACTCCAACCTGGGTGACAAAGTGAGACTCTGTCTCAAAAAATAAAAATATAGATAAAATAACAGGTTTTATTTGGGAAGCAAGAATTGCAATATGAGGCATCCACATAGACTGGGTAGTCTTCAGTATGTCAGAAGAATTAAGTGAAGTTTGGGAATTTTATGAGCAAGAGAAATATTATGAATTGTTTTGAAAGAAGCTCACTGGTGCTAGAGACACTTTTGGGAGCTAGCAAGCTCAGATTGGTGAGTGACAACAGTAGATTAAACTAGTCTTAGAGTGATGGCAGGTCACTTCAGCAGCTACTAGGTCCAACTGGTCTTAGGGTTACAGCAGGACGTTTCAGCAGCTGGCCTCACAGAAAATTTATTTTTCTTTTCTTTTTTTTTTTTTTAGGAAGTCTTGCTCTGTCACCAGGCTGGAGTGCAGTGGTGTGATCTCAGCTCACTGCAACTTCCACCTTCCGGGTTAAAATGATTCTCCTGCCTCAGCCTCCCGAGTAGCTGGGACTACAGGTGTGCACCACCACGCCCAGCTAATTTTTTTTTTTTTTTTGTATTTTTAGTGGAGACGGGGTTTCACCATGTTGGCCAGGATGGTGTCGATCTCTTGACCTTGTGGTCTGCCTGCCTTGGCCTCCCAAAGTGCTGGGATTACAGGTATGAGCCACCGCGCCCAGCCTCTTTTTTTTTTTTTTTTCTTTGAGATGGAGTCTTGCTCTGTTGTTCAGGCTGGAGTGCAGTGGCGCGATCTCGGCTCACGGCAATGTCTGCCTCCTGGGTTCAAGCAATTCTCCTGCCTCAGTCTCTCAAGTAGCTGGGATTACAGGCGCCCACCATCATCATGCCCAGCTCATTTTTGCATTTTTAATGGAGATGGGATTTCACCATTTTGGCCAGGCTGGTCTTGAACTCCTGACCTCAAATGATCCACTCGCCTCAGTCTCCCAAAGTGCTGGGATTACAGACTTGAGCCACCATGGTGCAGCCTCTTTTTCTCTCTTTTTTTTTTTTTAAATTAATTTGTTTATTTTGCAGAGACAGGGTCTCCCTATCCTGCCCAGGCTGGTCTCAAATTCCTGGTCTCAAGCAATCCTCCCAAACCTTGGCCTCTCAAAGCACTGGGATTATAGGCGTGAGCCACTACACACAGATAATTTATTTCTTGGAGTAAGTGCTATGTGCCCTAAGTGCATTTTTTTCTGACCTCTCAACTCTGATTTAGTTGGATATGACAAGAATGACCCAATTTGGGCTGGGCGCGGTGGCTCACGCCTGTAATCCCAGCACTTTGGGAGGCCGAGGCGGGCGGATCACAAGTTCAGGAGATCGAGACCATCCTGGCTAACACGATGAAATCCCGTCTCTGCTTAAAAAAATACAAAAAATTAGCCAGGTGTGGTGGTGGGCGCCTGTAGTCCCAGCTACTCGGGAGGCTGAGGCAGGAGAATGGCATGAACCCGGGAGGCGGAGCTTGCAGTGAGCCGAGATTGCACCACTGCACTCCAGCCTGGGCGACAGAGCGAGACTCCGTCTCAAAAAAAAAAAAAAAAAAAAAAAAAGAATGACCCAATTTGTATAATCAACTTTTTCACTCGATTTTCTGTTCCTTCTTCTGGACTGTGAACCAGAGAAAGTCAATGTTTAAGAACAATTTTTGGAGAAAGTCAATGTTTAAGAACAATTTTTGGCCAAATATTAGCAATGATTCTCTTCTCCTTGCCAGGTTTCAAAATGATTATTTTTGTGAGGTTCTGAATGACAAGTTTAGACTTTTCTCCCAAGTGTTGTGTTTTTTTGAGATGGAGTCTTGCTCTGTCGCCCAGGCTAGAGTGCAGTGGTGCGATCTCGGCTCACTGCAAGCTCCGCCTCCCGGATGCATGACTTTCTCCTGCCTCAGCCTTCCGAGTAGCTGGGACAACAGGCGCCCAACACCACGCCCGGCTAATTTTTTGTATTTTTAGTAGAGACGGGGTTTCACCGCGTTAGCCAGGATGGTCTCGATCTCCTGACCTCGTGATCCGCCCGCCTTGGCCTCCCAAAGTGCTGGGATTACAGGCGTGAGCCACCGTGCCCGGCCTCCCCCAAGTGTTTTTATTTTCTATTCCTTTATTCAGCATTGCTGCAATGCTTGCGTAAGTTTGTCAGCTGCTGGTGGCAGGCGCCATGCCAGAGCACAGCTGTGACTAAGACACAAGCTCTCTGTCCTGGTGGAGCTTACATTGTAGTTGGGGGGACAATAAGAATAAACAATGAGTAAAATATATAGCATGTCAGATGGTGTTCATTGCTAAGGAGGTCATAGCAGGAGTTGAGGGGACAGTGCATTGTTTTTCAATTTTTTTTCTTTTTGTAGAGACAAGATCTCGCTCTGTTGCCCAGGCTGGTCTCGAACTCCTGAGCTCAAGTGGTCCTCCTGTCTCAGTCTCCCAAGGTGCTGGGATTAGAAGCATGAGCCACCACACCTGGCCTCAACTTTTTTTTTTTTTGAGATGGAGTTTCACTCTTGTTGCCCAGGCTGGAGTGCAATGGCGTGATCTCAGCTCACCGCAACGTCTACCTCTCAGGTTCAAGAGATTCTCCTGCCTCAGCCTCCTGAGTAGCTGGGATTACAGGAGTGCACCACCACGCCCGGCTAGTTTTGTGTTTTTAGTAGAGACGGGGTTTCTCCACGTTGGTCAGGCTGGTCTTGAACTCCCAACTTCAGGTGATCCTCCCACCTTGGCTTCCCAAAATGGGAGGATTACAGGCATGAGCCACTATGCCTGGCCAGCCTCAACTTTTTTTATTGTGGTAAAATACATATGTAATAAAATTTACTATCTTAACCATTTTCAAGTGTACAGTTCAGAGGTATTAAATACATCCACAATATCGCGCAACTATCCCCACTATCCATCGCTGGAACTCTTTTCATCTTGTAAAACTGAAACTCTACCCATGAAACACTAACTCCCATTTCTTCCTTCCCCAGCCCTTGGCAACCACCATTCTTCTTCCTGGTTCTATGAATTTTGATGACTCTAAGTATAAACCACCTGGCTTGTCCAAGGCCTCCATGTAAACAAAGCCACTCTTATCAAGAGGGATCTCCTGGCCAGGTGTGGTAGCTCATGCCTGTAATCCCAGCCTCCACCTCCTGGCCTCAAGCAATCCTCCCACCTCAGTCTCCTGAGTAGCTCGGACCACACATGTGCGCCACCATGCCCAACTTATTTGTTTATTTTTGGTAGAGATGGGGTCTCTCTCTGTTGCCCAGGCTGGTCTCAAACTCCTGGGCTCAAGCAATCCTCCTGGTTCAACCTCCTTAAGTGCTGAAATTATAGGC
Organism: Homo sapiens; assembly: GCF_000001405.40. Lineage (NCBI taxonomy): Eukaryota > Metazoa > Chordata > Mammalia > Primates > Hominidae > Homo > Homo sapiens. The sequence continues at coordinate 75,139,429 of NC_000016.10, read as the reverse complement.
GTGAGCCCCCAGGCCCGACTGGCTCTGACGGTGTTTTTTTTTTTTTTTTTTTTTTTTTTTTGAGATGGAGTCTCGCTCTATCGCCCAGGCTGGAGTGCAGTGGCGCAACCTCGGCTCACTGCAAGCTCCGACTCCTGGGTTCAAGCCATTCTCCTGCCTCAGCCTCCCGAGTAGCTGGGACTACAGGCACCCGCCACCACACCTGGCTAATTTTTTGTATTTTTAGTAGAGACGGGGTTTCGCCGTGTTAGCGAGGATGGTCTCGATCCCCTGACCTCGTGATCCGCCCACCTCAGCCTCCCAAAGTGCTGGGATTACAGGCGTGAGCTGCCGCGCCCAGCCCAGCTCTGACAGTTTTGAGGGATTACTAGATAGGTATTTTGTAGGATGCTTTTCTATTGAAATGTATCCGATGTTTTTCTCATGATTAGAATGGAGTTGTGGGTTTTGGGGAGGAAGATCCTAGAGGTAAAGTGCCACTTCCATTACGTCATCATAGCAAGGATCTGGCATTAATTTCCTAGAGCTGTCATCACAAAGGACCACATACTGGGCAGCTGAAAACACCATGCATTTATTTTTTCACAGTTCTGGAGAACGGAAGTCTAAAGGCAAGGTGTCGGCAAGGTCCTGCTGCTGCTGAAAGCCGCAGGGGGCAGCCTGCCATGCTTCTTCCTGCCTTCCAGGGATTTCCCTCGCTGCTGCGGCTGGCTCTGCATCACTTCCCTCATGTAGCGTTCTCCCCTCCGGGGTCCATTTCTCTTCACCTCTTCTAATCAGGATACTAGCCATATTGGATTAAGGGCCCACTCTACTCCAGTGTGACCTCATCTTAGCTAATTACATCTGCAATCACTATTTGCAAATAAGGTCACAGTCCGAGGTTGCAGGGAGGATGTGAGCTTTGGGAGGACGTGATTCGACCCAGTAAAGGTACATGCTATCCACATGGCTTATGAGTGTTAATATCGACCTTGATCATCCTGCTGAAGGTGTGTCTCCACTATAAAGTTACTCCTTTTGTTTGTCCTTTTTATTCTGTACTCTTTGGAAGGAAGTCACTCTGCACAGTCCACGTTTAACAAGTGGGAAGTTGGCTGTGCGCGGTGGCTCACGCCTGTAATCTCAGCACTTTGGGAGGCCAAGGTGGGTGGATCATAAGCTCAAGAGACAGAGACCATCCTGGACAACATGGTGAAACCCCATCTCTACTAAGAATACAAAAATTAGCCAGGTGTGGTGGCGCACGCCTGTAGTCCCAGCTACTTGAGAGGCTGAGGCAGGAGAATCACTTGAACCCGGGAGGTGGAGGTTGCAGTGAGCCAAGATCACACCACTGCACTCCAGCCTGAAAACAGAGTGAGACTCCGTCTCAAAAAAAAAAAAAAAAAAAAAAAAAAAAAAAGGAAGTGGGAGGTTATGTCACCCTGCCTTTAGGGTGAGGTATCTAAATAATTTATTTGGAATTCTGCAGGTGAGGCTTGTCTCTTTTCCCCATTTACTAATGTATTCAATCATTTATTTATTTATTTGGACACAGAATCTCACTCTGCCACCTAAGCTTGGGGTACAGTGATGGAATCCTAGCTCCCTGCAACTCCTGGGCTCAAGTGATGCTCCTGCCTAAGCCTCACTGCATGCAGCTCATTAAAGGAATATTTTGGGGCCGGGCGTGTTGGCTCATGCCTGTAATCCCAGCACTTTGGGAAGCCAAGGCGGGCGGATCACGAGGTCAGGAGATCGAGGCCATCCTGGCTAACACGGTGAAACCCCGTCTCTACTAAAAATACAAAAAAAAATTAGCCGGGCGTGGTGGTGGGCGCCTGTAGTCCCAGCTACTCAGGAGACTGAGGAGGCAGGAGAATGGCGTGAACCCAGGAGGCGGAGCTTGCAGTGAGCCAAGATCGCGCCACTGCACTCCAGCCTGGGACAGAGCGAGACTTGGTCTCAAAAAAAAAAAAAAAAAAAGAATTTTTTTTGTAGAGACTGAGTCTCTCTCCCTGTTGACCATGCTGGTCTTGAACTTCTGCTCTCAAGTGATCTTCCCACCTAAGCCTCCCAAAGTGCTGAAATTGCAGGTGTGAGCCACTGCACCCAGCCTCAGTTACTTATTAATATATCACTATGGACTCATGAATACTTAACTTTGGGGAATAACCCAATATTATTCTACTTAGTTTGTCAATCAAAGTGTTCTAGCTTTGGCCCTTAGGAGTTCTCTCAGGTGACTCCTGGGCCCCTTTGACATGCCCAATCAGTGTGTGTGTGAACACTCTCTTACTTTCTGACATTACAAGATAATCCAGGGCCATCTCATATATTTCCTTCCCCTTGTCCTAAAATCAGCCCTTTCTCCAAGGGCCCCTGGTTCCTTTACTGGAGATTGGCATTAGAAACACAAATGCTGGCCCCGGGTGGGCTCCTTGCTTCTTAGGGTATTATTATTATTTTTAGGACCCCTTGGCTGACAGAGCAAAGAAATATATGTATGTATACTAAGGTGTGCATATACATATATCTACAAACAGGGTCCTTTTTTTTCCTTTTCTTTTCTTTTTTGAGACAGGGTCTTGCTCTGTTGCCCAGGCTGGAGCACAGTGTCACGACCATAGCTCACTGCAGCCTTGAACTCCTGGACTCAAGCAGTCTTCCTGCCTCAGTCTCCCAAAGTAGCTAGGACTACAAGTGAACACCATCACGGCTGGCTAATTTTTGTATTTTTTTGTGGAGATGGGGTTTCACCATGCTGTCCAGGCTGGTCTTAAACTCCTGGGTTCAAGTGATCCTCCTGCCTCAGCCTCCCAAAGTTCTAAGAATACAAGCTTGAGCCACCATGCCCAGTCTATATCTATAAATAGTTCTATATGTAATTAACTGTATCTGTATTAAGTTAAACATGAGTTGTTACTGATTCTTCAATTGTAATTCATTATCATATGGATCATTCTGGCCTCCTTTCTCACTGAACTGTAAATTTTCAGTCAACCAGTGAGAAGCCTGGCTCCTACCATTCACCAACTATTGACTATTGTTCCAGTATACATGTATAGCCATAGTAGGACTGTCGACGAGTATCCCTGCAAAAAACAACTTCATTGACTTGAGTACAGTACTGACATGTAGTTCCTTTTGCCTTTACTTTTACAAATTCCATTCAGTTCCAAAGTTACTTATGTCAGCGCCTTTTTCCCCAACCCTCTTCAGTGGGGCTGTTTTATACATTTAGAAAGAAAAAGTTAGATTCTCTTGCCACCATCTGCATTTTTTCCTGGGACTCCCCCGACTTCCTAAATGATCTTTTAAAAATTTGCCTTAGCTGGGCGTGGTGGCTCATGCCTATAATCCCAGCACTTTGGGAGACAGAGGTGGGTGGATAACTTGAGGTCAGAAGTTCGAGACTAGCCTGGCCAACATGACGAAAACCCATCTCTACTAAAAATATAAAAATTAGCCAGGCATGGCGGCGGGTGCCTGTAATCCCAGTTACTCGGGAGGCTGAGGCAGGAGAATCGCCTGAAACCCAAGAGGTGGAGGTTGCAGTGAGCCAAGATTGGGCCACTGTACTCCAGCCTGGGTGACAAAGTGAGACTCCGTCTCAAAAAATAAATAACCAAATTAATTAATGAATAATAAAGATAAAAACTTGTCTGTATTGTTTCACTCAGTGTGGTAAAGTTCTATAGGTTTTGACAAATGCACAATGTCATGTATGTACCATTATAGTACCATACAGAAGGGTTTCACCACCCTCAACATCCTTTGTTCTTCATTATTTATCCCTCCCACCTTGAACACCTGGCAATCACTAAATTTATTCCCTCCCAGACAGGGTCTCACTCTGTTGCCCAGACTCGAGGACAGCTTTGAACTCCTGGGCTTACCAATCCTCTCACCTTGTCCTCCCAAAGTGTTGGAATTGATTACAGGCTGGAGCCACTGTTACCAGCTAATCACTAATCTTTTTACTGTCCCTATGGTTTTATCTTTTCCAGAATGTCATGTGGATGGAATAATACAGTATATAGTCTTTTGAGACTGACTTCTATCACTTAGCAATATGCATTTAAGGTTCCTCTGTGTTATTTTGTGTTAAGGTTCTTCTTTGTCTTTTTGTGACTTGATAGCTCATTTTTAGAATTGCTGATTAACGTTCCACTGTATGAATGAGTGAAGGATCTCTTGGCTGTTTCCAGTGGTTTTTTTTTTTTTTTTTTTTTTTTGAGATAAGGTCTCACTCTGTCACCCAGGCTGGAGTGCAGTGTTGTGATCATGGCTCATTGCACGCTGTAACTCCTGGGTTCAAGCAATCCTTCTACGTCAGCCTTCTAAGCAGCTGGGATTACAGGCACCAGCTAGTTTTTTTTGTTTTTTTTTTGAGATGGAGTTTCACTGTTGTTGCCCAGGCTGAAGTGCAATGGCACGATCTCAGCTTATCGCAAACACCGCCTCCTGGGTTCAAGCGACTCTCCTGCCTCAGCCTCCCGAGTAGCTGGGATTACAGGCATGCGCCACCACACCTGGCTTTTGTATTTTTAGTAGAGATGGGGTTTCTCCATGTTGGTCAGGCTGGTCTTGAACTCCAGACCTCAGGTGATCCGCCCGCCTCGGCCTCCCCAAGTGCTGGGATTACAGGCATGAACCACCACGCCCAGACAGGCCTGGCTAATTTTTTTTTTTTTGAGGCGGAGACTTGCTGTGTTGCCCAGGCTGGAGTGCAGTGGTGCGATCTTGGCTCACTGCAAGCTCTGCCTCCCGGTTCACGCCATTCTCCTGCCTCAGCCTCCTGAGTAGCTGGGACTACAGGTGCCCGCCACCACGCCTGGCTAATTTTTTGTATTTTTAGTAGAGACGGGGTTTCACCATGTTAGCCAGGTCTCGATCTCCTGACCTTGTGATCCACCCGCCTCGGCCTCCCAAAGTGCCGGGATTACAGGTGTGAGCCACCGCGCCCAGCCCAGGCCTGGCTAATTTTTAAAAATGTTTTTTGGGGATGGGATCTGGCTATTGATGCCCAGGCTGGTCACAAACTCCTGGGCTCAAGTTCATTATCTTTAATGACCAACTTAATATTACAAAGAAGCCAAATTTCACAAAATTAATAAACTAATTATTGAATTCAATCTCAATCAAAATTCCAATTAGAATTAAAAAAATTTTTTTGAGATAAAATTCACCTAACATAACATTCAGAATTTTTACCATTTTAAAGTGTGTAAGTCAGTAGTTCTTAGAATATTCATAATATTGCACAACCATCACCGCTATCTAATTCCAGAATATTCTCATCATCTTGAAAGAAATCCTATACCTTTCAATTCCCTGTCCCCCAATCCAGGTGGAATTTTTAAGGCCTAAAACTTATTGTTATTATTATTATTTCTGAGACAGGGTCTTGCTCTATCGCCCAGGCTGGAGTGCAGTGGCACGATCTTGGCTCACTGCAACCTCCACCTCCTGGGTTCAAGAGATTCTCCTGCCTCAGCCTCCCAAGTAGCTGGGGCTACAGGCATGCACCAGCACGCCTGGCTAATTTTTGTATTTTTATTACAGACGGGGTTTCACCATGTTGGCCAGGCTGCTCTCGAATGCCTGGCCTCAAGTGATCCACCCGCCTCAGCCTCCCAAAGTGCTGGGATTACAGGCGTGAGTTACCATGCCTGGCAGAAGATCTAAAACTTATTCTAAAATGTACATGGACACACAACATCATCTGTGAAGTAGTCTTGCCAAAGAAAGCGGAATCTGAATCCAATCAAGCCTCTGAATATGTGCTGTCCAATATAATAGCCACTCAAAATTAAAATGAATTAAAATAAAATTATGCAGCCATGAAAAAGATCATGTCTTTTGTGGGAACATGGATGGAGATGGAGGCCATCATCCTTAGGAAACTAACACAGGAACAGAAAACACAGGTTCTCACTTATAAGTGGGAGCTAAATGATAAGAATTTATAAACACAGAGAAGGAAACAACAGATGCTGGGGTCTATCTGACGGTGGAGGGTGGGAGGAGAGGAGCAGAAAAGGTAACTATTGAATACTGGGCGTAATTCCTGGGTGATGAAATAATCTATACAGCAAACCCCCATGACATGAGTTTACCTATGTAACAAATCTGCGCATGTACCCCCGAATCTAAAATAAAAGTTAAAGGCCAGGCACGGTGGCTCACACTGTAATCCCAGCACTTTGGGAGGCCAAAGCGGGCAGATCACCGGAGGTCAGGAGTTCGAGACCAGCCTGGCCAACATGGCGAAACCCTGTCTCTACTAAAAATACAAAATTAGCTGGGCGTGGTGGCATGCACCTGTAATCCCAGCTACTTGGGAGGCTGAAGCAGGAGACTCGCTTGAACCCAGCAGGTAGAGGTTGTGGTGAGCCAAGATCGCACCACTGCACTCCAGCCTGGGTGACAGGGCAAGACTCCGTCTTGAAAAAAAAAAAGTTAAAAAATCTTAAAATGAAATGAGGCTGGGCGTGGTGGCTCATGCCTGTAATCAAGCACTTTGGGAGGTTGAGGTGGATGGATCACCTGAGGTCAGGAGTTTGAGACCAGCCTGGCCAACATGGTGAAACTTCATCTCTACTAAAAAAAAAAAAAATACTAGCCATGTGTGGTGGTGAATGCCTGTAATCCCAGCTACACAGGAGGCTGAGGCAAGAGAACCACTTGAACTCAGGAGGCAGAGGTTGCAGCGAGCCGAGATTGGGCCACTGCACTCCAGCCTGGGCAACAGAGTGAGACTCTGTCTCGGAAAAAAAAAAAAAAAAAAAAGAAATGAAATGAAATAGACAATTGAGTTACCTTAGCCACATTTTGAATGCTCCATAGCAATGCATGACCACTGGCTACAAAGTGGGAAGCGCAGATCTAGCATGGTTCCATCAGAGCAGAAAGTTGTACTGGCCAGCATCTCACCTAGATATAATAGTTCATAAGAAATACAGAGATTAGAGAAATATATTCAATACCACAAGGATGCAATCACCCAAATACAGAATATGGAAATTTCTACAGAACAAATGACCCTGCTTCATTTTTTTTTTTTTTGAGACAGGGTCTCACTCTGTTGCTCAGTGGCATGATCTTGTCTCACTGCAAACTCTGCTTCCCAGACTCAAGTGATCCTCCCACTTCAGCCTCCCAAGTAGCTGTGACTACAGGCATATGCCGCCATGCCTGGCTAATTTTTTATATCTTTGGTAGAGATGGGGTTTCGCTATGTTGCCCAGGCTGGTCTCAAACTTCTGACCTCAAGTGATCTCCCCGCCTTGGCTTCCCAAAGCGCTGGGATGACAAGTGTGAGCCACCATGCCTGGCTTACCCAGTTTCTTTAACAAATACATGCCATGAAAAAAGGAAGGGGGAAACTTGCAGATAAAAAGATTTATGAGACGCATCAACCAAACTTGATTTGAACTAACCAACTGTAAAACAGACATTTTCTTTTTTTTTTTTGAGATGGAATCTCTGTCACTCTGTCGTCCCGGCTGGAGTACAGTGGTGTGATCTTGGCTCACTGTAACCTCCACCTCCTGGGTTCAAGCGATCCTCCCACCTCAGCCTCCCAAGTAGCTGAGATTACAGGTGTCTGCCCCTGCACACGGCTAGTTTTTTGTATTTTTAGTAGAGACAGGGTTGTATCATGTTGGCCAGGCTGGTCTCGAACTCCTGACCTCAGGTGACCCACCCACTTCGGCCTCCCAAAGTGCTGGGATTACAGGCGTGAGCCGCTGTGCCTGGACAAGATAGACATTTTTTGAGACAATCCAGGTAAGCAACGAACCGAGGTGGACATATAAACTCATTCAAATATGGCAGGGGTGAAGGACCCAGCTAGGATGAGAGGGGAGTGTGTACCCAGCTAGGATGAGAGGGGAGTGTGCACTCCCGATTTGATGGGAAGAAAAACGAGGGTAGGTAGATCGTTGTTTTGGTGATGTTAGCAACGTGATGCTTCTCATTTGCTGTGGGAGGAAAACGAGCTAGGAATTAGCTTCAAGAACAGCAGCCGCATCACTCCAGGATGGTCCTGAGCTCTGCCCCGGGGAGGGTGAATATGAAAGAGTTGTGAAGTCTTTTCTTTCACCTACCTGGAAAACTGCTGCTCATCCTCAAATTTCCTCTTCCGGGAAGCCTCCCTGGCTTGCCCCACTGCCCAACCCCATCCCATCCTGAAAGCCCTCCCTGAGCTTCCCTCCTCATGCTCCTGAGGGTGGCCCACTCTAAGTGGGACACTGATACCTAGACTTGCAGGGTGAGGAAGAACTGGCCAGGTGGAAAGCCTGGAGAATATGCCAGACCGAGGGCACAGCGTGTGTCAAGAGCAAGCCTGGCTAGAGCTTGAGGCCCACAGGGACAGAAAGGAAAGCTGGATCTTAGGAGGTCAATGAGGAGGTTGGGAGGAAGCGGGATATAGGAAAGATGATAAATGGATATCAGGCCCTAAAAGGTGCCAGATCTGTGGGGAGGTCAGCAGGGCACAGCAGGATTTTTAAGGCCACTGCAAGGGCTTTGCATTTGTTTGAGGGGCCACAGGAAGCCACTGAAGCGTTTTAGGCCGTGGAATGGTCTTTATCCCTCAGTTTTGTCAACCAAAAAAAAAAAAAGAATCAAACTGTAAAATACTTGAAGGGATTTACTCATGTGAGTATTACGGTAGGTAGCTAGGCAGGCATGAACAGGGCAAGAGAAGGCTCCCCCTCCACCCAACAGGAAAGTCAGGCCACCCTCAGGTGATGGTCAGGCAGTTACACTGTTTCTCTAAAATAACAGTTGGTGGCAGCCTGCTCCAGGGAAAGGCAGTTTCCCAATAGATACAAAAACCTGAAACGGATGATCAGCTTCCCAATAAGATCTCAGGAGTTGGGTGACTGAGCTTGAGCATGCGTACTAAGAAGCAAAATGATGGAGTTTAAGAGATATATGACCTTCTAGGAACATTCAGCTGGTAAGGGAAGAAAGCCTCAAGTCAGCATGCGTACAAGGCCAGTCAACAAATTGCACGTTTCCCTCCCAAGCGCTAGCAGGCCACTGACCATGTGGACAACCCACCTCAAAAAAAGAATCAGGGGAGAAGGGCTGCAAGACCCCCAGAAGCGTGCCACCATATAAAACTCCAAGTCAGGCTGGACATGGTGGCTCATGTCTGTAATCCCAGCATTTTGGGAGGCTGAGGCAGGCGGATCACTGGAAGTCAGGAGTTTGAGACCAGTCGGGCCAACATGGTGAAACCCCATCTCTACTAAAAATACAAAACTTAGCCAGGTGTGGTAGTGCATACCTGTAATCCCAGCTAGCTACTGGAGAGGCTGAGGCAGGAGAATTACTTGAACCCAGGAGGTGGAGGTTGCAGTGAGCCGAGCTTGCGCCACTGCACTCCAGCTTGGGCGACAGAGTGGACTCTGTCTGAAAAAAAACAAAAAACAAAAAAACCACAAGTCAAAAGGTCAAACCACACACTTGTCTTTCAAGTTGCCCTCTTGGCCCTCTTCCAAGTGTACTTTCCTTCCTTTTGTTCCCACTCTAAAGCTTTTTAAATAAAATTTCACTCCTGCTCTAAAACTTGCCTTGGTCTCTCCTTCTGCCTTATGCCTCTGTGAACCCCAAAAATCTGAGGCAGATCTCAGTTAATTTAGAAAGTTTATTTTGCCAAGGTTGAGGACACATGCCCATGACACAGCCTCAGGAGGTCTTGGTGACATGTGCCCAAGGTGATCACAGCACAGTTTGTTTTTTTACATTTTAGGGAAACATGAGACATCAATCAACATATGTCAGATGAACATTGGTTCTGTCTGGAGAGGCGGGACAACTAGAAGTGGGGAAGGTTTTCCAGGTCATAGGTAGATAAGAGACCAATGGTTGCATTCTTTTGAGGTTCTTATTAGCCTCTCCAAGACAGGCAAAAGGATACGCATTTATCTCAGTGAGCAGAGGGGTGACTTTGAATAGAATGGGAGGCAGGTTTGCCCTAAGCAGTTCCCAGCTTGACTTTTCCCTTTAGCTTAGTGATTTTGAAGACTCAAGATATTTTCCTTCACATTCCCCCTTTTTCTTTTTAAAAATCTTTTAGAGAAAGCATTTTAGAAGAAAATCAGTCTCTGATCTCAGGTTTCATCTGATCTCTCATGGCTAGGATGGTTTATTCCTAGACAGGTAAGTCCCTAGTTGCTAGGAAAGCTCATTTTTAGAAGGTTGTGAAGTCTCACGTCCTCTGAAGAGAAAATAGGGGGAGGAAAGGAGAACAACAACAAACAAAAGAACAATCCTGAAAAATTGATATAGGCCACATTACTCCGAAGTCCATACATCAGTAGACAGATACGAAAGTGGCTGGCCCGGCGCGGTGGCTCACATCTGTAATCCCAGCACTTTGGGAGGCTGAGGCAGGCGGATCACCTGAGGTCGGGAGTTTGAGACCAGCCTGACCAACATGGAGAAACCCCGTCTCTACTAAAAATACAAAATTAGCCAGGCGTGGTGGTGCACTCCTGTAATCCCAGCTACTTGGGAGGCTGAGGCAGGAGAATAGCTTGAACCCCGGAGGCGGAGGTTGCAATGAGCCAAGATTGTGCCATTGCACTCCAGCCTGGGCAACACAAAGAGCAAAACTCTGTCTCAAAAATAAACAAACAACAAAAAAAGTGGCTTATGTATATAAATATAAATAGGTTGCTGTTATTTTCTTCTGAAGTTTAAGTTGTCCAGCTTCAGTTCACAGGGCTTTATGAAAACACAGCTTAGTTTTCAGTGACTCCAGATTAGGCAAAATGGGGAAAAAAAGAAGGAAAAATTTGAAAACATTATTTTGAAGACACGTTGCCAAGAAAAATTAGAATTTGGTTCAAACTGTAGATAATAATAAGAATTGAAAAATATTAGACAAGACTAGAATCTAACAATGAGTGTTACTATAGTTTTGGAAACATAATTTTCCTCTCTCTAGTTTCCTATTTTTACTAAAGACAAATCATGGTAGGACTGGTTTGCTTTATTGTACTTGGCCTAATTATTTGTATACACTACAGCAAAAATAATTAATGTTTACACAGGCTTTTAAACTGGTTTTGATGGAACGTTGTCCCAGAGAAGGAATCTCAGATAAGACTTTTTTTAAAGCCGAGCCCAGCCATGAATTTGTACCATCAAATACTGATGAGTTGGGTAAATTCTTCTCCTCTTGAGGTTCCAAGATAAACGTGGGGCTCCTGGGCCCCACAGTGACATTCTTTACTTACCACAGGTCAGGAACCCTTTACAGGGACTGTGTAGACAAAGGTATGAGGCCAGTTTTTCAAGGGGCTTTTATTGGCTCCATAAGTGAAGTTTGATTCCTTAAAGGAAAGCACACCGTTCTGGTCAAAGTCTTGGTAAAAATAACTAGTTTCTCCAATGGTGTCCTGTTACAAATGAAAACAGATTCTTTTTGCACTTATGCAAATAACTGTATTGTCATAAGTTAGGAATACTCACAAATAGTTTCCAAAATCTGTAGAAATCAGGTAGAGAGAAACAAATATGCTCTGAATTTTGTTCTTGAGTATACTTAACTCAATTGTTAAAAGTTGTAAATAGCTTAAAAGTTTTCTTGACTCTGAAAAGCAAAACAAAGATCAGCAATGTTTTAAGCAAAAAGTTAAAAAGATTACTTCAGACTTCTATTAGTTTAGTCCATGCAGTTAATTCCTGTTCTGCTTGATATTCATGAACATTTCAGCCCTCCCTGAATCCTGAAAGTTTTTCCTTTATGCTGATGTCACAATCTCCAAAGTTATCAGAAACCTGCATTCAAGAGCACCTGTTAGGCCAGACACAGTGACTCATGCCTATAATTTCAGCACTTTGGGAGGCTGAGGCCAGCGGATCTCTTGAGGCCAGGAGTTCAAGACCAGCCTGGCCAACATGGCGAAACCCCATCTCTACTAAACATACAAAAATTAGCCAGGCGTGGTGGTACATGCCTGCAGTCCCAGCTACTTGGGAGACTGATCTCCTCATGCTTCCCTCTTCATGCTCATGCTTTTTTTCTGAGACAGAGTCTTGCTCTGTCGCCCAGGCCGGAGTTAAGAATCACTTGAGCCCAGGAGGCAGAGGTTGCAGTGAGCTGAGATCATGCCACTGCACTCCAGCCTGAGCAACAGAGGGAGACTCTTTCCCTGCCCAAAAAAAGAGCACCTGTTAGAGTTTTAGAGTTTTACAGCTGATTATAAAACTACCTTTTATAAAATCAGTTTTATAGCTGATTGTAAAACCAAAGAGGACCAAAACAAGACGATTATCCGTGAATGACAAAAAGTTTTAGAGCAGCCATAGTCAAAGATACAATTGGCAAGGAAATTTGTTACTTCTGCAGCACACAATAATTTAACATAACAATTATGGTTATTACTGATAATGTACATTAAGTCAGATCAGAATTATAGGAGTTTCTCATAATTTTGGGACACATACCAATAACATATTTATAGGAATACAGCCCAAAGAAAACCAAACACCATTTTATATTTGACAATGCTTCCTGTATAATTTTTAGACCAAATAAGCCAAATATGTCATTTTTGGATTTTAGAGAACCTATTAATAACATTTTAAAAGACTAGTTAGGTCAGAAAAAAACATAATTTATAATTTTATCTTGGAAAGTTTGTCAAATATCAAAGGTATAAAACACTTGATATTACAAAATAGGATTACAAGTCATTGCAAAATAATTCATTTAACTGGCTGGGCGTGCTGGCTCATGCCTGTAACCCCAGCATTTAAGGAGGCCAAGGTGGGTGGATCACCTGAGGTCAGGATTTTGAGACCAGCAGGCCAACATGGTGAAACCCCATCTCTACTAAAAATACAAAAATTAGCCTGGTGTAGTGGCGCATGCCTGTAATCCTAGCCACCCAGGAGGCTGAGGCAGGAGAATCACTTGAACCTGGGAGGCAGAGGTTGTAGTAAGCCAAGATTGCACAATTGCACTCCAGCCTGGGTGACAGAACAAGACTCTGTCGAGGCGGGTGGACTTTGCAAGGCTGAGGTGGGCAGATCATGAGGTCAAGAGATTGAGGTCATCCTGGCCAACATGGTGAAAACCTGTCTCTACTAAAAATAAAAAAATTACCTGGGCATGGTGATGCACGCCTGTAGTCCCAGCTACTTGGGAGGCTGAGGCAGGAGAATCGCTTGAACCTGGGAGGCGGGGGTTGCAGTGAACCGAGATCGTGCCACTGCACTCCAGCCTGGCGACACAGCAAGACTCTGTCTCACAAAAGTAAATAAATAAATTAGTTAATTAATTAAAAGAAGAATTCATTTAACCAAAGTGATAACTCAAGGATTTAAAAAATACAGTGAAAACCTTCATTCTTTTTTTTTTTTTTTTTTGAGATGGAGTTTTGCTCTGTTGCCCAGGCTGGAGTTCAGGGGGTTGATCTCAGCTCACTGCTCACTGCAACCTCTGCCTCCCAGATTCAAGCGATTCTCCTTGCCTCAGCCTCCTGAGTAACTGGGATTACAGGCACCTGCCATCATGCCTGGCTAATTTTTGTATTTTGGTAGAGATGGGGTTTCACCATGTTAGCCAGGCTGGTCCTGAACTCCTAACTTCAGGTGATCTGCCCTCCTCGGCCTGCCAAAGTGCTGGGCTTACAGTCATGAGCCACCGCACCCGGCCTGAAAACCTTCATTCTTTAAGAGAAGAGATTTAAATGATAAGCCCTAGTAAAAACAACATGAAGCCAATTAAATTTGTTTTCCAAAATTTTATAAACAATTTATAAAATTTTCATCTTGATCATAAAATACAACTTCCAGCTGGGCACGGTGGCTCAGGCCTGTAATCCCAGCACTTTGGAAGGCCCAGGTGGGTGATCACTTGAGGTCAGGTGTTCAAGACCAGTCTGACAAACATGGTGAAACCCTGTCTCTACTAAAAAAATACAAAATTAGCCAGGTGTGGTGGTGCATGCCTGTAATCCTAGTTACCTGGGTGGGTGAGGCAGGAGAAATCTCTTGAACCTAGGAGGTGGAGTCTGCAGTGAGCTGAGATTGTGCCATTGCACACCAGCCTGGGCGACAAGAGCCAAACTCCGTCACAAAACAACAAACAAACAAACAAAAGTACATACAGGCAGATAGAAGGATGTGATAATTTTAATTAAAAAAAAATTTTTTTCGAGATAGAGTCTTGCTCTGTTGTCCCAGCTGGAGTGCAGTGGCATGACCTCAGCTCACTGTAACCACTGCTTCCTAGGTGCAAGCAATTCTCCTGCCTCAGCCTCCCAAATAGCTGGGATTACAGGTGCGTGCCACCATGCCTGGCTAATTTTTGTATTTTTAGTACAGATGGGGTTTCACCATGTTGGCCAGGCTGGTCTCAAACTCCTGACCTTTGATCCACCCACCTCGGCCTCCCAAAGTGTTGGGATTCCAGACCTTAGCCAGTGAGCCCAGCCCATTCCTCTTTCTTAAACTACCAGCCATTTTACTTTAGTACTAAATTTATCATACAAAATTCTTTCTCATATGAAATTATTTCTCTTTAAGCTTTCTTACCAAAAAAAAAAAAAAACCTCTTTATTTTTATAACTTTTTTTTACATCTCTTTTATTCCCTGGTTCCTTTTACCTTGCTTTTTTTTTTTTTTTTGAGATGGAGTCTTGCTCTGTTGCCCAGGCTGGAGTGCAGTGGCACCATCTCAGCTCGCCGCAAGCTCCGCCTCCCAGGTTCATGCCATTCTCCTGCCTCAGCCTCCCAAGTAGATGGGACTACAGGCGCCTGCCGCCACGTCCAGCTAATTTTGTTTTTGTATTTTTAGTAGAGATGGGGTTTCACCGTGTTAGCCAGGATGGTCTCGATCTCCTGACCTCATGATCCACCCGCCTCAGCCTCCCAAAGTGCTGGGATTACAGGCGTGAGCCACCATGCCCGGCCCCTTTTACCTTGTTTTATACATGACCTTTAAATTAGCTTTGAAGCCGGGCGTGGTGGCTCACGCCTGTAATCCCAGCACTTTAAGAGGCTGAGGAGGGCAGATCACCTGAGGTCAGGAGTCCAAGACCAGCCTGGCTAACATGGCAAAACCCTGTCTCTACTAAAAAATATCAGAATTAGCCAGGAGTGGTGGTGGGTGCCTGTAATCCCAGCTACTTGGGAGGCTGAGGCAGGAGAATCGCTTGAACCTGGAAGGCAGAGGTTGCAGTGAGCTTTGTACCACTGCACTCCAGCCTGGGCAACAGAGCAAGACTCTTGTCTCAAAAAAAAAAAACTTTCAATTAGACAAAAATTGTTCACCTTTTTCAAAAGGACACACTTATTTTTTATTTGTATTTTACTTTTTTTGAGATGGAGTCTCACTTTGTCACCCAGGCTGGAGTGCAGAGGCGCAATCTTGGCTTACTGCAACCTCTGCTTCCTGGGTTCAAGTGATTCTCCTCCCTCTGCCTCCCGAGTAGTTGGGACTACAGGTGCGTGCTATCAGGCCCAGCTAATTTTTTTTTGTATTTTTAGTAGAGACAGGGTTTCACCGTGTCGGCCAGAATGGTCTTGATTTCCTGACCTTGTGATGCATCCTCCTTGGCCTCCTAAAGTGCTGGGATTACAGGTGTGAGCCACCACACCTGGCTGGGACACAACTTTTTTTAAGAAAGAATGTTTTTGGCCTGTGTGGTGGCTCACACCTGTAATCCCAGCACTTTGGGAGGCTGAGGTGGACAGATTGCCTGAGCTCAGGAGTTCGAGACCAGCCTGGGCAACATAGTGAAACTCTGTCTCTACTAAAATACAAAAAATTAGCCAGACATGGTGGCATGCATCTGTAGTCCCAGCTACTTGGGAGGCTGAGGCAGGAGAATTGCTTGAACCCTGCACCACTGCACTCCAGCCTGGGTGACAGAGGAAGACTCTTTCTCCAAAAAAAAAGAATGTTTTCCTACATATATATATATATATATATATATATATATATATATATATATATACATATACACACACACACACACACACATTCTTATATATATATTTGTAGGAAAACATTCCACAAATATATATACACATATATATATATATACACATATATATATTTTAGACAGAGTCTCTGTGTCGCCCAGGCTGGAGTGCAGTGGCATGATCTTGGTTCACTGCAACCTCCACCTCCTGGGTTCAAGTGATTCTCCTGCCTCAGCCTCCTGAGTAGCTGGGACTACAGGCATGCACCACTGTGCCCAGCTAATTTTTGCATTTTTAATAGAGATGAGGTTTCACCATGTTGGCCAGGCTGGTCTCAAACTTCTGACCTCACGTGATCCACTCGCCTTGTCCTCCCCAAGTGCTGGGATTACAGGTGTGAGCCACTGCACTTGGCCCAAATATATTTTTATTGGAAAATACCCAAATAATAAAATCTCTATTATTTAACTTTAGATTCAAAATTATGAGTTTGTCTATATTTATCCTATAATATTTACTTATTTTATTTTAATTACTTACCTAGATTATTTATAAAAACTGTGCTTGTCATTATTTAAAATTATGGAACTGCCATTGCAAAATTATCACTGAGACAGTGAAAAAGATTGCACCTAAGTGACTCCATCTTGCTTCTAACCTCCAAGCTGTTCTTGTTCATTCCTGGGCATAGGCCAAACTAACTTTGGGAGGAACTTATAATTTAGCTTTGAAACAAAGATGATAACAGTGCTTTTCCAAAACAAACACTATTGCCTATAGACCGGACTGCCTAAAGCCACAAGATGAGAAGTTATGGTAATCTTACTAAATTTAAGATGTAGCTATTTTTATTAAACCAATATTAATGTCTTATTTATTAAAGATTTGTTAAATATAGTGAACTCCAAGTTTCTCTTCAAAGAATCAGTATGTCAGTATGTTCAGCTCTCTTATTCTTTGATTCTCCATTTTAAAGTTTAGCTTCCTGGTTCTCTTTGCCCCCTAGCTTCTAGTTTCAGTAAACAACTTTCCCGCCAGTCCTAATCAGTAGTTCACAGCTGTTCCCCTGGTCACCTGCTTTGACCTGAGTCACTCTTGGTCACCTACTCTGTCCTGATTCATCCTGAGCCAACTGTTCTGTAACCGCCCTTACTGCTAAACTACTCACCCTGCCACTCCGGCTGGTACTCCTGCTCTTTTTAAAATAGTCAATTGGAATTAGCTTAGACTGTGCGGTCCAACCCTATCCAATAGGGGAACGACACAGCAGTAGGGGCTACCTGCATGAGGAATAAGAACTCCTGCCCCTCCCCTGTCCAAGTGTGCTCTCACCATTGTTTCATCTGCGAGGGGCACCTTTTCTGCAGAAAGTGAAAATTGCCTTGCTGAGAAAACTAAATTTATGTTTGAGTGCTATTTCTTTGTGGCACTGGGGAATAAGCATTTTGCATTTCTAACAAGCTTACACAAGCAAAGATCATTCTGTTTTGGGCTGGGTATACAGTTTTGTAACCCCTATGAGAAATTTTGACACCTTATAGTATTTGGCAGGGATAAGTATGAAACTGCTGGATTAATATGCAAACAAAAATGTATGCTGGCAATTCTTCAGACATTTCTAATATTACTTTACCAGTAATTTTAAGGCTAGCTTATTTATTAATAATTTTACTGAGTTACATAAACTTGAAAAAATATTTGACGAGTCTTTTTTCCTGATAAAGCATTTCATTCGAGCACTTTTATTTTCTTAAGCCAGTTAATTAGAGCTCTTTTAAGCATTTTCAGTAGTGAAGCATTGTGTACACAACACATAAATACATAGACGTATTAGGCATGCTGATAGAAGTACATCTTATGGATACACTCAGATTATTGATAACCTGCTTCACAACCCTAGGCAGTTGTCAGCTAACTAGCCTTATGTTTGCATATTAAAGGAAACAACTCAGGTGAAAATCAAATAGCAAAATTTACATCATAAGGTACAGAGAGAAAAAGTCTGATGGTGCCAGAGGGAGATGAAAGATGAATGCCAAATCAAACATAAAATTAAAGAAATTTGCCGGGTGTGGTGGTTCATTCCTGTAATCCCAACACTTTGGGGGGCCGAGGTGGGCGGATCACAAGGTCAGGAGATCGAAACCATCCTGGCTAACACGGCGAAACCCCGTCTCTATTAAAAATACAAAAAATTAGCTGGGCGTGGTGGTGGGCGCCTGTAGTCCCAGTTATGTCTGTACTCTCTGGAGTACAGAGATCACCCCACTGTACTCCAACCTGGGTGACAGCGAGACTCTGTCTCAAAAAAAAAAAAACAAAAAAGAAATTTATCATAGGATTGTATAAGGAGACTAGTTTTATTTAGATAAAGGGACTACCTTTTAAGTGGATCTCTGAGCTCTGGGCAGAGCCCACACTGAATCCTGGGTCTCCAAGAAGGGACACTTATTATGAGGTTAGAACACGTGATGCTTTTACAGTGCACTTTTTAAAAAACTTCTTTTAAACAAAGACATTTCTAAGTGTCTAAACCATAGTCTTCCTTAAAAACCCAAGGGTAGGCTGGGTGCAGTGGCTTATGCCTGTAATCCCAGCACTTTGGGAGGCTGAGGCGGGCGGATCATGAGGTCAGGAGATCGAGACCATCCTGGCTAACACGGTGAAACCCGTCTCTACTAAAAATACAAAACAAACAAACAAACAAACAAACAAACAAAAAACAAGCTGGGCATGGTGGCGCTTGTAGTCCCAGCTACTTGGGAGGCTGAGGCAGGAGAATGGCGTGAACCCGGGAGGCGGAGCTTGCAGTGAGCCGAGATTGCGCCACTGCACTCCAGCCTGGGCGACAGAGTGAAACTCAGACTCAAAACAAACAAACAAACAATACAAAAAACAAAAAACAAAAAAACCCAAGGGTAACCTCTGTTGCAATAACTATTTTAGTCAAAAAAAAAAACAAAAAAAAACCCAAAAAAAAACCACAAACAGGTAACAACAATACAAAAGTAAGCAGTTGAAGAGACGAGACGAACTTGCCTGTTTACACTCTGGGGATTGCATAAGAAAAAACAGGTTTCTCCCTTAAAGGGAGCCTGGTGCCTTCTCTGTTCTCTTTAAGGAACCCCAGCTATTATAAACTATTTTAGGTCCCTCATGCAGCAGAGGGTGCAAGAGAAAGGAGATACAGCCGAAGTAAATGAAGAAAACAGAATTCAGTCAACTGAGAAGAAAAAAACTTTCGCTCAAAAAAAGACAAGATTCTTGGAGAAAAACAAAAACAAAAACATGAAGTCCTTTTAAATACAAACACACACACGCACATGCGCACACACACACACACCACACATACACATGCACATCTTCGATGTTAGCTTTTAATTAAGCTGACTTTTAATCATTGAGCTCCTTTAAAAAAATCTTTTAAAATCTCATTACCATATTTCAGCTAGGACAAATTGCTGCTATTTCAGAAGCACAGCCATTGCTCTTTCAGTTTGGCCTGGCTAGCAAAAAGGTGGCCTCGTTGTGTAACTAAAGCCACTTAGTAGTCAAAATAAAAAATCTTTCCTTTTTTTTTTCCTTTTGCTGGCTGTTTTTCACCCCCTATCACATCATCCTTTGTGTATGTGTGTGTGTGTGAATTTAGCCACTTCAGAGGCCTTGTTCCCCATAATTTGGGACTTCCTTTGTATTTGATCAAGTCAGATAGAGTTGATCAAACCCAATGGGAAAAAGACTGAAAGAACAACAAAAAGAGAAATGAACAACAACAAAACAGTTAAGCAAAACAAATGATCACACAATTTATATGATTACTAAGCTTTCTAGTGGTAAGGAGAAATTAAGACCAGCTGGTTGTAATCTTAACTTTAGCCAAAACAAACCCCAATTCAGTTACTTACCTAGGGATGGGTTTCAGGCTGAAGACTGCTCTCTACCATCCTAGAAGCAGGGAAAAACCCTCATCTTCCCTGTTGGTTGCGAGCTCAAACACCATAAAGGAGTTACCTGCCTTCCATCAACATGGAAGCAGGAAAAATTTGCCTTCCTTGTGTTAGAAGCAAGTAAAACTCCAAAAAAAAAAGAGGAGTTGTACAACAAAATGAACTTTAGATCTTGACCAGATTTTGAAAGATAAGGTATTCTCTGGAGGGTGTGCTTCCGGGCCTCAGCAAATTGTCCTATTGGTTTGAGCCATAAAGATAGCTCAAGCTGGTACCAAGCACTGATAGCTTTGTCAAAGGTCAGGGGCGCCTCCAGTCAGAATTCTTCTGTGGTTACCAAAATATGAACCCCCCAAATCTGAGAAAGGTCTCAGTTAATTTAGAAAGTTTATTTTGCCAATGATGATGGTGTGACACAGCCTCAGGAGATCCCAATGACATGTCCCCAAGGTGGTCAGAGCACAATTTAGTTTTATACATTTTGGGGAGACTTGAGACGTCACTCAACATACGTAAGATGAACATTGTTTGGGTCTGGAAAGACAGGGAGGGGGCTTCCCGGTCATAGGTAGATAAGAGACAAATGTTTGCATTCTTTTGAGTTTCTAATTATCCTCTCAAAAGGAGGCAATCAGATATGCATTTAGCTCAGTGATCAGAGGGGTGACTTTGAAAGAATGGGAGGCAGGTTTGCCTTAAGCAGTTCCCAGCTTGACTTTTCCCTTTAGCTTAGTAATTTTGGGGGCTCAAGATATTTCCCTTTCAGACCTCTTCAGTAGAATTCTTTCTTCTGATGAGGCAAGCATTGAGTTTTATGTAGACCTGTATGGATTTCCCACCACTCACATGAAGACCATGACCTGTGACACATTCCCTGGAGGTCCTGAGAACATGTACCCAAGGCAGTTGAGTTACAACTGGTTTTATACAGTTTAGGGAGGCATCAGACAGTAATCAATATAAGCAGGGTATGCATTGGTTCCTTCTGATTGAGGGAGGAGCTTACAGGTCATAGGTGAATTCAAAGACTTTTCTGATTGGCGCTGGGCACGGTGGCTCACACTTGTAATCCCAGCATTTTGGGGAGCCAAGGCGGGTGGATCACTTGAGGTCAGGAGTTCGAGACCAGCCTGGACCAACATGGTGAAACCCTGTCTCTATTAAAAATACAAAAATTAGCTGGGCATGGTGGCACTCCTGTAATCCCAGCTACTTGGGAGGCTGAGGCATGAGAACAGCTTGAACCCAGGAGATGGAGGTTGTAGTGAGCTGAGATCACGCCACTGCCTGAGCAACAGAGTGAGACTCCATCTCAAAAAAAAAAAAAAATTTCTGATTTTCAATTGGTTGAAAGAAGTTATTATCCAAAGACTTGGAATCTTGGTATACAACAACAAAATTTTTTTTAAATAAAAAATTTTAAAAAAGACAACCTGGAATCAATAGAAATAAGCATCTGGGTTAAGATAAGGAGTTGTGGAGACCAAGGTTCTTTTTTTTTGAGACAGAGTCTCGCTCTGTCGCCAGGCTGGAGTGCCGTGGTGCGATCTCAGCTCACTGCAACCTCCACCTCCTGGGTTCAAGCGATTCTCCTGCCTCAGCCTCCCAAGTAGCTGAGACTACAGGCGTGTACCACCATGCCCAGCTAATTTTTGTATTTTTAGTAGAAACGGGGTTTCACCATGTTGGCCAAGAGGGTCTCTATCTCTTGACCTCGTGATCCTCCCACTTTGGCCTCCCAAAGTGCTGGCATTACAGATGTGAGCCGCTGCACCCGGCCCAAGGTTCTTATTATGTAACATAGATGGTAAATGTCTAAGGCGTTAAAAGGTGCCAGACTCTTAGTTAAATCTCCCTTAGATCAGGATAAAACCTGGAAAGAGGCTGGACGCGGTGGCTCATGCCTGTAATCCCAGCACTTTGGGAGGCCAAGGCAGGTGGATCACGAGGTCAGGAGTTCAAGACCAGCCTGGCCAAGATGGTGAAACCCTGTCTCTACTAAAAATAGAAAAATTATCTGGGCACAGTGGCAGGCACCTGTAATCCCAGCTACTTGGGAGGCTGAGGCAGGAGAATCGCTTGAACCCAGTGGGTGGAGGTTGCAGCACGCTACTGCACTCCAGCCTGGGCCACAGAGTGACTCTGTCTCAAAACAAAACAAAACAAAACAAAAAACCTGGAAAGGGGAGGGGATTCTCTACAGATTCTAGATTTTCCCCACAAAAGACAGCTTTTTGGAGCTATTTAAAAAAAAAATCAGAGGAATATATTTTGGGGGTAAAATACATTGATTTCTTTCAGGGCCTGCTATCTGTCAGGTGATGCTAGAGTCAGGTTGGAATTTGGTATCTTATTGCTACAAAGAGTCTGTTTTGTGTCTTAAGATCAGAATGCCTTAAGGTCTCTGTTTTAATGTTAATGCTGGTCAGTTGTGTCTGAATTCTAAAGGAAGGAGGGGGATAATGAGGCTTGTCCTAAACCTCTTCCCATCACAGCCTGAATTAATTTTTCAGGTTTATTTTGGAATGCCCTGGGCTGAGAGGGAGGTCCATTCAGTCGGTTGGGAGGCTTAGAATTTTATTTTTGCCTTACAGTTTCCCAAAACGTCCAGTGAACCTCGCCTCTCCTTTAGAAGTGTCGTCCCTGGAGCCCACGAAAATGTCTGCAAGATCTGCAAGGGCCACCTTAAAGCCCGTGCCACCTTAAGCAGGCCCCACCCCTGGCCTAGCCAATGGGCTGACAGCAGCAGTAGCTGCTGCCACAGTAGCTGACTGGTCACCCTGCCACCCAGTGCTCACACCCTCTGGCCAGTGCCTGGCTATGGCCCGACTGCTCAGGTCTGCAACCTGGGAGCTGTTCCCCTGGAGGGGCTACTGCTCCCAGAAGGCAAAGGTACCGGGAGAGAAGAGAAGTCCTCTGGAGGGATGAGGTGGGGAGCGGGGAGCAGGGGGTTCTGATCCCAAGTTTCCTGGGCTCTGTGACGCCCCAGCACCAAGTGACCTGACCTTGGGCAAAAGGGCACTGGGCTTACCCTGTGGCAACTGTGGGTGGGTGTAGAGTGAGATCAGCTGAGTCCCCACTGCTACCATGAGTGGGGCTGGGGGAGTCAAATGGATGCCCCTGGAATAAAACACACCTGTGGAAGAAGGCCCTGAAGGAAAGGGCCTGGGTTCCAGGCCAGGCTCTGTCCTTAACTTGGCCTCCATTTCTCATCTGTAAAATGGGAAGAAACACATCCCCCGCCCCGCCGCGCCCCGCCCCCCACGA
The DNA here is from genome assembly GCF_000001405.40 of Homo sapiens. Lineage (NCBI taxonomy): Eukaryota > Metazoa > Chordata > Mammalia > Primates > Hominidae > Homo > Homo sapiens. The sequence goes on along the minus strand of NC_000016.10, from coordinate 75,116,273 downwards.
AGGGCCCAGAAGCCCCAGGCAACGTAGAGTGGGGAGGGGGCAGTGGAAGCTTTTCCTCCCCCTAATTCCCTTATCAAGCTCTGAGTTCCCTGTGGCTGGGGTGGTGCTTGGTTGGCCCTGGAGAAAGGAGGAAGTGAGGGATCTTTTCGGTTGCTCAGGCTGGGCTGGCTATTGAAGGAACCCTGCTGATAGCCTTTTTGGAGAGTGAATTCTGGTTTTTTATTTGGATGGCTGGGCGCTGTGGCTCACGCCTGTAACCCCAGCACTTTGGGAGGCCGAGGCAGGTGGATCGCTTGAGCCCAGGAGTTTGAAACCATCCTGGGCAACATAGTAAGACCCTGTTTTTATTAAAAAAGAAAACATTAAAAAAATTCTGGTGGCGTTTTTTTCTGAGGGGAAACTTTGACCCCCAATGGCTCTGTTTGGAAAAGAGGCATTTCTGGATAGTGGGTTTGTTTAAAGTGGGCCCACCTGGCAAGGATGTTGTCAGCGGGGCGGGCGCAGGGGAGGCTCACTCCAGCCTCCAGCCCCCAGCCCTCCCCCCGACACTGGGGCAGGGCTGTGGCCCCATGTGTCTTTCGGGGGACCCTGGCAGTGTGTTTCTTCCCTGCAGGGAGAGCTCTGCAGGGACTTCGTAGAGGCTCTGAAGGCCGTGGTGGGCGGCTCCCACGTGTCCACTGCCGCGGTGGTCCGAGAGCAGCACGGGCGCGATGAGTCGGTGCACAGGTATGGGAGGGTTCGCGGGCCCCTCCCCTGTCTTCTGGATTCAACCCCAGCTGAGAGAGAGGGTGCTGGGTTGCCTTCCTCCTCACTCATCTGTTTTGGGGTGCTCTGGCATGTTCTCTGCCCCTCGCTTGCTGTAGCCTCAGGCCCTGCAACACCTCGGGACCAGAGGGTGTCACGCCCCGCTAAATCGCTGAGGGTCTGGTTCTAGGTGCGAACCTCCTGATGCTGTGGTGTGGCCCCAGAACGTGGAGCAGGTCAGCCGGCTGGCAGCCCTGTGCTATCGCCAAGGTGTGCCCATCATCCCATTCGGCACCGGCACCGGGCTTGAGGGTGGCGTCTGTGCTGTGCAGGTACAGTGGGGCTCCCTCGCCCGGCCCGAGGATGGTCCCAGCACACCTTGGCACACCTGTGGCTGCCTCCCCCGCCACACACGGCACCTTGGGTCTGCTCCCGCCCGTGGGCTGCCTGCCTCTGGGGGTCTGGTCTGGCTGCTGGGGGGACACCCGCGGGGTGTGGTCCGGGGACGTGGCCAGGTCAGAGACCCAGGTCTGCAGTGGTCTTAGCACCTGCCCCAACCAGGGCGGCGTCTGCGTTAACCTGACGCATATGGACCGAATCCTGGAGCTGAACCAGGAGGACTTCTCTGTGGTGGTGGAGCCAGGTGTCACCCGCAAAGCCCTCAACGCCCACCTGCGGGACAGCGGCCTCTGGTTTCCCGTGGGTAGGACTCGCGAACCTTTCCTGGGACCCTGAGGGCACCGTGGGAGCAGGGCTGTGTCTGGGGTTCAGGGGACCTTCCTCCCCCAGCCCGAGGGAAAGGACCTCCGGTCCCTGAGGCTGCCTTCTGTACGCCGCCCTCCAGACCCAGGCGCGGACGCCTCTCTCTGTGGCATGGCGGCCACCGGGGCGTCGGGGACCAACGCGGTCCGCTACGGCACCATGCGGGACAACGTGCTCAACCTGGAGGTGGTGCTGCCCGACGGGCGGCTGCTGCACACGGCGGGCCGAGGCCGGCATTTCCGGTGAGCGCCCTCTGCGGGGGGCCCGGGCTCTGGCCCTGGGCACTGCTGGCGGGCTGCCCTGCAGAGACCGGGCTGTGAAAAGCACCTCCTGGCGGCCCCCTGGTTTGGCAGGCTAGGCTTCCTCAGGCTCTGAAGCCCTGTCAGCTGGGCCAAAGTGGATGGGACCAGGGTTTGCTCTCCCTGCCTGAGGCCGACTGGCTTTGTGGAGCAGAAAGCACTGGGCCAGGGAAACTGGGCCCGAGGGAGGCCAGCCCAGACCTCAGTGCCTGGGGTCGGTGTCTTGGGTTCCAGCTTCGGCTTCTGGCCAGAAATCCCTCATCACACAGCCTGGTACTCACCTTGTGTGTCCCTGGGACGTAGGAAGAGTGCAGCCGGCTACAACCTCACGGGGCTCTTCGTGGGCTCCGAGGGGACGCTGGGCCTCATCACAGCCACCACCCTGCGCCTGCACCCTGCCCCTGAGGCCACAGTGGCCGCCACGTGTGCGTTCCCCAGTGTCCAGGCTGCTGTGGACAGCACTGTACACATCCTCCAGGCTGCAGTGCCCGTAGCCCGCATTGGTGAGCTGAGGATGGGGGCAGTCAGGGTGGGCTCCCTGGAAGAGGCCCCCTGGGAAGGCCAGGCCTCACCTGGCCTGCCATCTCCCTGGATCCAGAGTTCCTGGATGAAGTCATGATGGATGCCTGCAACAGGTACAGCAAGCTGAATTGCTTAGTGGCGCCCACACTCTTCCTGGAGTTCCATGGCTCCCAGCAGGCACTGGAGGAGCAGCTGCAGCGCACAGGTATGCTGGGGTGGAGTGGGGCAGCAGGGTGGGCTGCCTCAGTGGCGGCCCGGTGTCAGCCCCCCTTCCCCAACTGCAGAGGAGATAGTCCAGCAGAACGGAGCCTCTGACTTCTCCTGGGCCAAGGAGGCCGAGGAGCGCAGCCGGCTTTGGACAGCACGGCACAATGCCTGGTACGCAGCCCTGGCCACGCGGCCAGGCTGCAAGGTGAGCTGGGGCTGGGGTACAGATGGGGCCCACAGCTCGGCCCACAAACCCTTTCCTCAACCCACCACTCTACTGCACAGAGCAGCAGGCTGAGCCTCAACAACGGGGCTGGGCCTGGCTGAGCAGGCGCTAGAAACAAGGGCTGCAGACCGCCCCACCCAGCTGTTCAGATACCGTCTACAGGGAAAGCACAGTTGTCTGCTAAGCCCTCAAAAGCCCTTCCTGTGAGCCAGGTCATGGGAACGGTGCGGTGCTCTTGGGAGCTGTACATGGAAGGAAGGCTTCCTGGAGGAAGAGATGATAGAGAGGGGGATGTTAGCCTAACCTGGGGAAGGGAAGTCTGGGCTCCAGGCAGCTATGCAAAGGCTCAGCAGCCTGGGGCTTGGGGGTGGGAGCCACAGGGGAGGTGTGGCAAGCACACCTGGGCCATTGGTCTCCTGTGTTGTGTCGGGGGGAGGTGAGGGCTGAGGCCTAGAGAAGAGCAGGATTATTTCCTTGTGTGAGGCCAAGAGCTGAAGCCCAGTGCCCTCCGACCCATCCTCAGCCTTGACCACGGTGACCCCGTACACCCAATCAGGCAGGGGTAACTCATAGGCTTCCCTCTGACCAGGGCTACTCCACGGATGTGTGTGTGCCCATCTCCCGGCTGCCGGAGATCGTGGTGCAGACCAAGGAGGATCTGAATGCCTCAGGACTCACAGGTTCTGCCCACCCTGCTGCTGGGGAGAGGTGGGGAGGTGTCAGGGCTGATCAGAGCCTGGGGCAGCAGGAGGCAAGAGGAGGACTGGGCTGGAGAATAGTTCTGTCCTCTGGGCCCCCAGGAAGCATTGTCGGGCATGTGGGTGACGGCAACTTCCACTGCATCCTGCTGGTCAACCCTGATGACGCCGAGGAACTGGGCAGGGTCAAGGCTTTTGCAGAACAGCTGGGCAGGTAGGAGCAAAGCCAGGGAGGGGAAGAGCTGAGGGCAGAGGAAAGGGAGCCCCCTGAGGATGTCTCCTTCCTGCCCCCAGGCGGGCACTGGCTCTCCACGGAACGTGCACGGGGGAGCATGGCATCGGAATGGGCAAGCGGCAGCTGCTGCAGGAGGAGGTGGGCGCCGTGGGCGTGGAGACCATGCGGCAGCTCAAGGCCGTGCTAGACCCCCAAGGCCTCATGAATCCAGGCAAAGTGCTGTGAAGGGGGTCTGAGCACTTAGCCCACAAGTTCCCTGACTACGGAGCCGGTTCTGGAACTTTTCTTCATGCCACGGCCCCTGCAAGGAAATAGATGCTGAGGCAGTCTTCCTGCCAGCGAGCCCACTGTATCTGGGCCCAAGGCCAGAGGGCCCAGAGAGAAGCCTGAGCACCGTGTTACCTCCCTGGCCCTCTGGCTGGCCCCAGGAGCCTTTGGTTCAGTAAACGACCCAGGGTGGTTCCCAGCAAAGCTGCTTCCTCTCTGCTCCTACGCATCCTGTCCTGGCGGGAAGAGAGCGTCTGGGTCCATTCAAGACTCTGATGACACCCCTCCCCGAGGCCTCCCACTGCCGGGGTCCCAGGACCCTTCCCCCTTCACCTGGTGACAGGAACACTCCTTTCCTGGTATGGAACGTGAGCTCCCGTGACATGATGATAGGTCTTCTCCTTGGGGCCTCCCCCAATAAATCTGTAATAAACCTGAAACCCACCTACAGCTACCTGGAAGTCAGCAGGCAGCACTTCCTCCCCTCCCCCTCCAGGGTCTCTGTCCTTTGGTCAGTGACCCCTTTGTTTTGGGGCTGTCCTCTGACTTCTTATAGCCTGGGGAGGAGGTTGGTGCTCAGGGTTCGGAAAGGAACCCAGGTCCCTGTCCCAGCTACTCCGCCTCAGAGCTGAGGACCTGCCCACGGCACATGTCACTCAGGATGGGCTCCCCAACTGGGCCTGAACCGGGCCTCTGAACACACTGAATGTGTTCCTCAGCAGCTGCCACGTCTCTAGAAACAGAGATGAGACTATTTTTGCACCCACCTCTTCATGGGGTGATGTATCGTACCACCAGCTGTTTTGCCCTCAAGGTCTGTCCACCCGAGGGCCTGCCCCTGTCTTGGGCCGGAGCCCGTCTTGAGACCTTGGCAGTTGTTCCCCCCTAAGCCCACAGGAGGGCGCCCGAAATCATGAAGCTCAGATACCACGCGGCATCTGCAGCTCACGACTCCTCTGCCCAGGGCCTGCGGCACTCAGCCCTGGGCAAACCTCCTCCTAGGGTCAGGTAAGTCCTGGCAGCCTGGAAGCCAAGCTAGTCCTCCATCCCCTGCAGGTCCCAGGAACCTGCAGTGCTGTCTCATCTTCCTTGCCCCTCTAGCCTTCGGTCCCTTTTGGAAAGAGGCATGTCACACCCCACGCCCTCCCTGGCCTCCGCCCCTCTCCTCCTCCCATCAGCTGTCAGTGCTCAGGCAGGCTGCTAGGCCTTAGGCAGAGGCAGCTGCGCTGAGACGCCCCAGTCCAACTTCAGTTCTTGGAACCCCTCCTCCGTGCTAATACTGGGCTCCAGCCGACAGCAGTTACACCAACCTGAGCCTGGAGGCTACTCCTCCGTGACGTTTCTGTCCCGTGCTGCCCTGGTGGGGAGCAGAGACCGTGCCAAGGGCTCACTGGTGACAAATCTCAGCCCTCTCCCCAAACCACCCCAGCACGCGTGTGCTCATCACCGAGACAGCCCTCTCGCCCCTCCCCTTCCAGCCAGCCAGCCAGCCACCCACTCTTCCAGGCGAGAATCCTGCAGCAGCTGCGCTCTCCCTCCTGGGTAGGACTCTTCTTTGATGCGCCCTCCAGTGCCTGGCAACTAGGAGGCGCTCAGCAAATGACCATTTCCCACAATCTTTTATTAAGAAAAATTCCAAACATACAGAAAAGTTGAAAGAACAAGTACACTGTTCACTGAAATACCAGCCACTGCAGATTCAACAATGAACATTTTGGCCTTATTTGCTTTGTGTATTTTGGGGGGAACTATTTGGAATTAAATTACACATTTCTTGAAGGCATTCACCTATATAATCCAGCATCTATCTCCTAAGAATGAGGACATTTTCCCATGAACTGCAGTACCGTTAAATGGCTATTAGAGGAATGGTTGGTCTTTGTGAGGGTCTCACGTCCAGGAACCTCATCAAAGTGTGCTAGGCCCTTAGCAGAGAGGGTAGAACCTGCTCGCCGGCTCCCTCACCTTCTCTCCCATCCCAGAAAGGCAGAACAGGGGCAACACAGGATTCTGGAGAGCTGTCCAGATAGAGGATCACAAACATGAGCTCCACCTGGGAAACACAGACAGCCCCAATCCCACCCCCACAACAAGAGCAGGCAACCTGGGTCCAAATTCAGAGGACACCACAGCCGGCAGAGGGCTGCAGCATGCCAGGTAGGACGGAAGTCGCTGGGGGTGGGGATGAGCACCAGCCCCTAGAGCCTGGAATAGCACCCGGCGTGGGCTACAGCCCTGCCCCACCCACCTCACAGCTGCTCGGCTCACCCATGGCACTGCCAAAGCAGCAGGCTTAAGCCGCCAAGGCGGGCACATGAAGCCTCCATTTCCAGGTCCAGGGGTCAGGCAAGGAGATCTCCTTCAGGGCTGGGCCCTGCCTCGCCAGCTTTGCTGGTGGAATTAAATATAGCACAGGGAGACACAGTTGCCAGGCAGAAGCAGGAGGTGCTGTGAATAGAACAGTGCCCTTTGTGGTGACAAAGCTATGGGGAGCCTGCTGTGCATGTGCCAAGACCTGCAGGGCAGCTCCCCCAGCCCCCACAGGGACCTCTGAGCTGCATGGTTTTGTCCCCGCTTCACATGTGAAATATCTGAAGTTCAGATGAAGTCGTTTCCCCAAGATCATTCTGCCAAGTAGGAGAGCCTGAATGCACAGTCTAGAGCCCACGTTCCTGCCACCGACTCACAACAGCCCCAAGGTCTTCACCCCAGACGGGTCCCGCGCTGAGACCCAGGCTCTGAACCACCGAGTCTTCTTTAGTGTTTCTCCGCTGGCCCTGGCTCACGTTTGCCCACTGGCCTGTTGTGAATGCCCTTGCACAGAGTAGGTGCTTCTGGAAGCATCTGATGGAGGGTGACTGCGGAGCCAGGGGCCGTGGCAGCAGGGGGATGGTCCAGCACATCAGGCGGGCCTGAGAAGGGTCAGAGCAGAGAGGCGGTGGAGTCGTCTCCCTCTAGAGCTTTCCTTCGCTGGCTCTGCAGGAGGCTCTGGAATGCTGCTCCGGGAGCCCGCTGGGCACGGGGACACAGGCCAGGCCTGCACTGCTGCTCCCTGCCCCGAGCTGCCTGCCCAGCCCGCATTTTGCCAACTTTTGTGAGCCTGAGCAGTTGGTTCTGGTTCAAGGGCTCTGAGCTGGCACAGCCCCAAACCAGGGCCTCTTCCTGGGCCTCAATGAAGCATGCCCGTGAGTCAGCACTGAGACGCAAACTGAACAACAGGCAGGGCGAGTGGAACGTGGGATGGGGAGCAAAGGCTGGAAGGAGGGGGGCTGGGCCCACACCTGGAAGAACCCACATCCTTGCAGCCTCCGGTGGCTGCAACATCTTGGCCCCTGCAGATCTTTTCAGAGGTCCAGCACAATGACTCCACAGAGGGCTGACTGGTTCCATGATGCTTAAGAGGTTAGGAAGCTTGTAGGAGGCACGCCTGACTTGCCACTCCCTCCACCCAGGCCTGACTATCTGAGGACCAATTCACACACCTGGAGCCCCGAGTAGCAGCCTGAAGGAATGCTAAGGAGGTAGGTGAGGGAGTGGGGGGCAGGCCCTTGCCCCCATTTCTTGATTGTATAACACTTCATTAAAATAAAATCACGCAGTGCCATCTTTTATTAGACATTTTAATACCATATCAAAACACCTTGACTAATGAAGAAAGCTTTTCTCCCAAGCTTTGAACATTTTTTTAAACATTTTATAAGTTTTTTTTTGTATTTTAATATATAAATACAGAAACCTATCTTGCATGGGCTGATGCCACGTGTGAACATCAATGGCTAAAATGTTCTCAAACATAGTGCCTGAAAACAGGGGTAGCTGTACATATTTCTTAGTAAGTCTTTTTTTGTTTAAGTTTTCTGAAAAAAAAAATCCACGAGGGCCTAAGAATAATGTTCAGGCATTTTTGCAGGACACTTGTGATTGTTAAATCCTCTGAACTGACCGGAACCAGGAGGAAAGAAGGGAAAAGAGATGGGATCAGTAGGAAGAAAGTTCTCAATGGGTTGTTTTTTGGCAATGAAGTCAAGATATTAGGGTCTCAAGGGGAGAAAAGAGCAAAAAACCAGCCAGAAAAATAGAGGGAAAAAACCAAACAAACCCAAAGTAGAGAAGTTGGTGGTGGAGAGGGCCAGTTGGGGCAGGGGAAGAGACCGTGTGCTCGCCCGCCGTCAGAAGGCTGGCAGCGAGGCCTTAGCTGTGTTCGTCTGTCACTGAGTGGGTTATGGCTGGGCAGCAAACAGCAAGCTGTAAACATCACGAGGGAAAACACCAGTCGACACTAGACTTTTTTTTTATATAATTTTTTTTTGTAAACACTTTAAAGACAGACCCACAATGCCTTTCAAAGATGAAAAAGAAAATGCCCTTTCCCTCCTGGGCTGAGGGGTGAGGGGAAGGATAGCAGTTGATTCATTCTTCTCTCAAACTTGCTCTCATCCAATTTGGTGTCCTCAGGGAGGAAGGGAGAACCATGATCTGGAAGTCAGTGCAGAAGGGGTGCCCTGTTCCCGCTGGTGTCCCAAGCTCAGCTCTGCCCCAGGGTCCGGTGAGCCTCCTCCCTGGAGCAGGGGCGCTCTGTCCCTGTGTGGACCGTAATAAATAAGTCGTGCTCCATCGGGCCGAGGGCTGTCTGCTCATCCCAGGGCAGCTGCATCCCAAGAGGGCAGGCGGGGCTGGGGCGTCTACACAGGACCCCAGAAGCCAAACAGCACACGGGGAATTTGCAGCCATGTGCCTGGGCAGGTTCTACTCCCCTGCCTCACTCTCCCCCCTGGCTCTTTCTTCTCCCCTTGTCATCAGTTTTTGAGGTGGAGGTAAAAAGAGCAAATGTCCCTGATTTGTCTGACATCATCAGCTGTTCTGGGAGTTTACTTGGAATAAATAAAATAAACCTAACAAAAGAAAACGAAAGCAAGAGAGAGAGAAAGGGAGGGGGGAAGAAAAAGGTCCCAAAACCTTTGGCTGTGAGATGGAGTTGGGCTTTTGGTTTTTATGGGGGTTTTGTCTACTTGTTTGCCAGAAAAAGGAAAATGCCAGCCCAGAACTTGGAGGGGACAGGTGAGATGGGGGTCAGGGGTGGATGGTTGGCAGCAAGTGGGGTACCCCTGGGGGAGAAATGGGGAGGCCAGACCCAGCGGTAAGCCAGGGGGATGTGTGGAGTCAGCACCCAGTGCTGTGGGATAGAGGGATCGAGTCTGGCCTGGAGGCCTCAGATTCATCTGGAAGCGGCATGGGAAGAAGCAGTGGTCAAATGATCGCTGACCAGCACTTTGCAGGGAACAATGCACTGCCCATGGCTGTTTAGTAAGTGCAATGTCCTTATGGCAACAGGGAGTGAGATTATCCCCGTTACCATAGAAGAGGCGGAGACTCAGAGGTGAGCGAGGATGAGGCCAAGCCAGGCACAAACCCACCGCTCAGGCTCCTTTTCCTGCCCGTGCACATTCCCAGGGGATATTCCTGAACTTTCTTTAGGAATGTAGATTGTACTGGTCTCTTCCCCAACTGATCCTAACTCTTCTGAGCCTGTTCTTCATAACTGTCCATGTTGGTTTGTATCTCTTGTCCTTCCCAGGGAAAATCATTTCCGGATGACTAACTGCTCACTGATGAGGTGCTCCTTCCCTCTGCTCCTGCTTTCTTCTCAGTGGCATAAGGGCAGCCCGGCTCCCTAAACTGCAGGCCCCCAAAGTGACCTGACCCCAAGCCTTGAGCCCGGAGCACCCCCAAACGCGGGCTCACCTTTGAGAGGAGTCAGCAAGCAAGCCCGCAGGTCAGTCCGCAGGGTGTTCCGGACAAGATCTGTTCACTTCAAACCACGAGTCTATGCAGCTGGGAGGAGGGGGCCGCAAGGGAAACCACGTTACCTGCTGCCCAGGCTGCTTTGAAGGGGCTCTTTCAGAGGGCCAGATTCCTGAGCAGGAGCTTCCTAAGTCTCTTCTGAAAGGACCCCAGGGAAACACAGTCATGTCCCCAGATATCCCTACTTTCTGAAGCACGAAGAAGGGTGAACACCAAGACTAGTCTTGGCCCAGGTGGAGGCAGCAGTACCGGCTCAGGGGGATCTGGTGCTGCAGGAAGGGGCAGAGTGGCTTTCAGAAGGACCAAAGCTTTCTGTGCAGAGCCCAGGAGAATGGCAGCAGCCACCAGTGAGAAGGTGAGAGCGGTGGACCCCTCAGGGCAGCTAGTCAGCTGTCTCCAAGACTCCCAAGGGCAGGGAAGTGGGAACAATGGCATGGCAGGAGGGCCACGGCTCTGGGTGCCACAGTCCTGAAAGAGCTCCTTCCTGGGTCAAAAGAACAGCTGTGAAGCTCCCTCCCAGTGGGTGACCTCTTAGGAGAGCCCCAAGCTCTACCCGGCTCAGCCATGATCAGCTGATCAGCAGCATCTAGTCCTTCCTGCAAGAGGCGGGAGGGGAGCCAGACAGTGAAGCCCTGCTCTCCAGTGTTTACAGAGAAAGGCTCTCTGCATCAAAGAGGGAACAGAGATTGCCCCAAGACAGCTTCCTGATTTGTAAACCAACATCTGGGCATTTTCAAAGACAGGAACCAGACAGATAATTGGCATAATTCTCCCCGAGGGCCAAAGATTTCCTTTTCTGGTTCTGGTTAGTGCCGCCCTGGGACACAAGCAAGGCTCCGTGCTGGGAGCTAGACCAAGAATCTCTCCCAGGCCAGCCTTAAGCCTCCTCTGCACCAGCCACACTGCGTGCCATGCCCGGTTGTCACCCTGTGCAGCAGTGGCCCTGAGAGTCAGGCTTTGAAAGGCCTGAGTGTCAGGAAGAAGCTCTGGGCTCGAGGATTCAACAGGTGCTGGCCCCAGGCAGCACAGTGTCCTGTCTTGGGCAAGAGGGTGCCTTCCTTCCAGCTGGAAACAAGGACGAGGCTCACACTGGAGTCCCAAGGCATATCTGGGCCCTGCTACTTTTAACTGTGCCCAGTGCTGTGGCCCCACAGGAAATGGCTCTTCCTGCCTCCCGGCCCTCTAGGGAGAAGGCCAGTGCAAGGCAGTGGGTACACCCTCCGCCTGGCCTTCCTCGCACAGATTGATGTTCTACCCCTGTGGAGCAGAGGGACCCGTAGAGGAAGAAGAGGCAGGGAGACAGACGGAGAACCAACCTTCCCAGTGGGATCCGAAGCTCCTCCAACCTGTGAGGCTCTACGGGTCTCCCCATCAGCTCCCACCACCTGAGCCCTCAAACCAGAGCACACCTCTGGCAACTCCACTCTGCTCTGCACTTGGGATGCTCGCACCTTCCCGCCGGCACAGTGGACACCTGTCTGATGGCCTCTGCCCTTACCCGCTCGGAGCCAGAGGTCGGGGGAGAGGTCATCCCATAACCAAAGGAGACAGAATGGCTGGAGATGGGGGTCCGCCCCTCTGGGAGGTGGGGTGCACTAAGCTACCTTGCCAACCCCTCCTACCTTTTGTGATAGATGCACAGGCAGGGCAGCCTGGCTATCGTGTCCCCCTGCAGCAGCTCCTCCAGGCAGATCACACACTCACCCGCGTCTTTAGTCAGCACATCATCTGCAAGGGGGACAGGGGAGAGTGCAGGAGGGTTAGTCACCAGTGGACAGGTGGCATGGGGCAAGCAAGGGCCTAGGAACTAGGGGACTGCTTAGCTGCCCCAAGCTGTGCCCGGCTCTGCAGGGGACACAGAACCCCAAGAGGGACGTTGACCTTAAGACTTTCACCGTGGAGATAATGCGTGGACATCACATGTTAATTACCCAAAGACAAAATGGGATTAATCTCAACATGTGATTAACCAAAAGCCTAGGTGACAGCGGACGAAAAAGGCTTGGAGAAGGGTAGACAGGAAGCAGGGGCAGCATGAGGCAAGCTGTTTCCCTCCACAGATGCTTTCCTAAACACACACGTAGCCAGTGTGCTGATGTCTGGTTTGGAAAAATATGGTAATGGGTAGAGTGGTAGGAGGCAAGAATGAGAGGAAGAAACAGGTCCCCAAGAAAATCCTTGTGCACGGAGGTTCACAGCAGCATTGTTCACAACAGCCCAAAGGTGGAAACAACCCAGTGTCTACAAACTGCGCAACGGATAAACAAAAGATGATGTATCCACACAATGGAATATTACTAAGCCAAGAAAAGGAAGAACCACCACATGCTAAAACATGGATAAACGTCAAAAATACTACACAAAGTAAAAGAAACCACCTATTGTATGAACCCATTTATATGAAATGTCCAGAATAGATACATCCATAGAGAGGGAAAGGAGATCAGTATTGGGGACAGAGGGATATGGGGAGTGACTGCTTAATGGGTAGGGGGTTTTCTCCCCCCCCACCACCCCGCTTTTATTTGAGATGGAGTCTCACTCTGTCACCCAGACTGGAGTGCAGTGGCACTATCTCGGCTCACTGCAACCCCCGCCTCCTGGGTTCAAGTGATTTTCCTGTCTCAGCCTCCCGAGTAGCTAGGATTACAGGCGCCCACCACCACGCCTGGCTAGTTTTTGTATTTTTAGTAGAGACGGGGTTTCACCATGTTGGCCGGGCTGGTCTCGAACTCCTGACCTCGTGATCCACCCACCTTGGCCTCCCAAAGTGCTGGGATTACAGGTGTGAGCCACCACGCCTGACCCGTTTTTTCCCCTTTTAAAAACTTTATTTTATTGTGGTAAGACTAACATATGCTCTATCCTCTTAACAAATCTTCAAGTGTACAACATAGTATTGTCAACTGTAGGCACTATGTTGTATGGCAGATGTCTAGAACTTACTCATCGTGCATAACTAAAATGTTATACCCATTAATCCACCACTCCCCTTCCCCCCGCCCAGCCCCTGGCCACCACTAGTCTACTCTCTGCTTCTATGAGTTTGAGTATTTTAGCTACCTCATGTAAGTGGAATCACACCAGAGGTTTTCTTTTGGGGCGATGAAGTGTTTAGAACCAGATAAAGATGGGGGTTGTGAATGTCTTAAATGCTATTAAATTGCACATATAAAAATGGTTAATTTTATGGTGAGTTTCATCTCAATGTTTAAAAAGAAAGAAACAAAAGTGACCCCGCTCACCATCCCAAAAAGAAGGAATGGAAGGAAGCTACTTGCACCCATGGGAACCCACTGGTTTTTATTAAGTCCTATGGCATTCTGCGTGCCGGCGACAGTGAATAGCCATGATCTCGGGATTCAAGCAGCTCACAGACTAGCAGGGATGCCGAACAAGGAAATCAAAAGGCACAGCATGAGGACTTCCAGGACATCTTCTCACGCGCAGGCCCAGGGCTGAGGGTATGGGGAAAGAGACCTCATCAGGATGGGGGCTGATCTGGGAAGGTTCTGGAGAAGGTGGAGGATGGATGAAGCTGGGGTGGGGACGGGAGATTCTGGGCACAGGGAACAGCCTTGTGTTCTGCTGTGGTGTCTGGGGCCGACAACAAGGAGTGCGCAGCAGCCCTGCGTGTGCGGATGAGGGCAGCGGGACACACAGCAGGTGCCTGCACTAAGGGAGGGTGCCCAGGAGGAAAGCATGAGAAGGAAGGGACGGATTCTGAGTTGGGTGGGAGGAGGCCCGGCCAGCTGATGGAGACCTCCAGGAGGCTGCTGAAGCCTAGAGCTGAGGTTTGGAACAGAGACATGGGTGCCAGGCATGGATGTGGGATAAAGAGGCAGTCCAGGGAGAAAGTTCAGACCAAAATCCAAAGAAGGCAGAAGACAAACCCAGGCCGACATGAATATTTGAAGGGCAGGTGAAAAGAGGCGACGTGAACAAAAGGCGACCCAGAAGTCCTCCAAGCCACAGGAGAAATATCAGGAGAGCAGTGTCTCAGCTGTGAAGAAGGCAGAGCTTGTGGCAGGATCCCTTCTCCGTCACTAAAGGAACTTAACTGTCCCGAACACTGCCAATGACAAACACATGTGCGTGTCTTCCTTTGAGCATCACCATCTTCCAAGCTGGGCAGGGCACCCAGTGTTATTCTCATTTTGCGAATGAGGATCCGGAAGCCCAAGGAAGTCACACACCTCATGAGTGGGCTTGTGGGTTGTGGGGCTGGGACTGGGACCCTCTGCTTAAGAGGCCTTCCCATTGCTGTTTCTTTGTGTTCTCTTATTATTTTGGTGGAAAGGCAAACACCTGGGGCCCATAAAATGAAGATTCTTCAGGGCCCAGAAGGCTATGGCTTCCGCTCCTCAAAGCCCCCCACCAGGAACCCCAAGGAAAAAGCATAAAATGGAACCGATTCGATCCTTAAGTCCCCAGGCACATGAGTTGCGAGAGAAGTCACTCTCAGCTTCCTGGCCACCAGGACAACTTGTGGTCATTTTCTGTCTAGAACATCTGGCTAGCCCGAGGACCCACCTGAAAGGGTGACACAAACTGAGAAGGGAGATGGCACAGTCTGCTGCTGAAGTGTCTGTCCCCTCAGACTCCAAACATGGCAAGTAGTGGATGAACACATGGGTGTGATCCCCCTGCTTGAAAGCACTAGCTACCATACATATTCAAATGCATGTGTAGGCACAGATCAAAGTCTGGAAGGATGCACACACTTTCACAGTGGTAGAGGAAAGGAGGACTTGGAGAAAAATCCTTTTATGTATTTCTGTAGCGTTCGAATGTGCACTACTTTAGTTAAAAACCCTGATAAGGAAGCATACTGGTGTTTGCATTTTACTATGAAATGCATCAGAAGGATAAGATGGGTTGGTGGATGGATAAACGGGTCTAGTACACTGCAGACTCCAGGTGGTGCATGTGCTATGTAATAGGGGCGTTCTCTCTCTTTTTTTTTTGACATGGAGTCTCGCTCTATCGCCAGGATGGAGTGCAGTGGCATGATCTCAGCTCACTGCAACCTCCGCCTCAAGAGTTTCTCCTGCCTCAGCCTACTAAGTAGCTGGGACTACAGGTGCATGCCACCACACCCGGCTAATTTTTGTGTTTTTAGTAGAGACGGGGTCTCATCATGTTAGCCAGGATGGTCTTGATCTCTTGACCTCGTGATCCACCTACCTCGGCCTCCCAAAGTGCTGAGATTACAGGCGTGAGCCACCGCGCCCAGCAATAAGGGTGTTCTCTATACAATGCTTTCAGCTTTGCCGTACACTGGGTGCAGTGGCTCATGCCTGTAATTCCAGCATTCTGGGAGGCTGAGGCAGATGGATCACCTGAACTCAGGAGTTTGAGACCAGCCTGGCCAACATGGTGAAAGTCTGTCTCTATTAAAAAACCAAAAGTTAGCCTGCCATGGTGGCATGCACCTGTAGTCCCAGCTACTTGGGAGGCTGAGGCAGGAGAATCATTTGAACCCGGGAGGCAGAGATTACAGTGAGCCAAGATTGTGCCACTGTACTCCAGCCTGGGTGACAGAACGAGACTCTGTCTCAAAAAAACATAAAAACTTTGCTGTGTGTTTGACATTTTTCATAATAAAACAGAGGGAAAAACCTCAACAGAGATGGGAGGAAAAACAGCATAGCTTAGTGAGGGCAGAGTCGTCATGCAGACATTCTTGGACCTGTATTCCCCACTCTCTTTGTCTTGGACACCTCATCTATGACATGAGCGTATGGGCTATAGCCCTTAGTTTCCTCTAAAGCATTCCTTCCCCTCCATACTTAAGGAGGATTTCCTGGGAACATGGCAATTACTGATTCCTAAGTAGTTTATCTTTGCATTTTCTCCTACTGATTGGTAACTCAACTGTGAGCCCAAGGGACTAGTTAGAATTCTCTGGGTCCCATACAGCTTCCCACACCAGGTGTGTTCTCTCCCCATCTGTGTCAGCTCCAGGAGGGCACATGTGGTCTCCCTCATCGCCCCCCAGGAGGTGATGGATTCAGGGAAGGGAGAGGCAGGTATGAGGATAAGGCTTAGGCGCTTTATGACAAGACTGGACTTGACTCTCTTTTTGCACCGAACCTCACTAGGGGAAAGGGAAGGGGAAGGGGAAGGGGGCGCGAGGGCGATTCTTCTTGTCCTGGGGCGGAAGGCCTGTGCACTAAAGGACTCAGACTTGAGCAGAGGAAGGTTAGAGGCAGCCTTTCCTCACCACTCCACAAGGCGGTTTTATGCACAGTGCAGTGTTGTGCCTTTACCAGCTGGCCTGAGTCTGCTGCACTGGTGGGAAGAACTAAAATGTGCAGGCACCCCAACCAGGCTGGCACACGGCAGGGAGCACATTTCACTGGGACCAAGAGCCACTGGCTGCAAAAGGCCACCTGGAGGTTCCCGGCAATAGGAAGGAGTCAGGGTCTTTGACTCAGACAGCATGGGGAAGCCAGCAGTGCCCACACAGAGCCCAGTGCCCAGGGAGCAGCATTCTTCCACAGCAGGAGGCAGGAGGCACACAAACCCAGCAAGAGGTTGCAGTGGGCTGAGTACAACTTCCTGTCCCCACCCCTGGGGCTGTGGGAGTTAGTGGCCTCCGGATGTCCCTGAGAGCCTAGCAGGGAAGTGGAAATGGCTGAAGCTGATGCTTGCCTATCAACTGGTTCCTACAAGACTTCCAGAAGCATCTGACACGAACCTGCTGCCTGCCGTCAGAGAAAAGCCATGGCGGGGGCCTCGCAGCACAAAACCCAGGCGCCTGGCCCACACAAACTGAGACTCTGCTGCAGATGGAGTCAAATGTCCCCTGGTATCTCCAGGCCCCTAGAGAAGAGGTTCAACAAATGCTGCCGGATAAGAACAAAGCCAAACTTTCTGCCATCTGGGTTCTGCCCTTTTCTTACTACCTCTGAAGCACCTCCCAAGTTTCCTGACGCCACTGTACAAAGCCAGCCAATGTCACTGCCCAAGGGAGAGCTTGGAAGTGTGTTTGGCCTGGCTGGGGATGGTGTCAGTGCCTGTCCCTCTAACCAGACCAGGGAACCAAACCAGAATGGCGAGCACGGCCCTGGAGCTGAAACAGGAGGGAGGGATGATGCCTGTGATGGGCTGGGGGTGGGAGGCGGTGGCATCTTCTGCTCCCTCCCTGGGATCCAGGCACGGTGCTTCTGACAGCTGCTATTTGTCAAAGCAAAGATATCTGGGAGGAGGAGCAAAAGAGCCTTAATTCTCTAAGCCAGCTATATGCAGGTAACTCCTCAGACACACACACCATGACTCCTAAAGCCCCTGTGGGGATCTTCGGATAAGCTCATGCAGCTGCTAAGTGGTGATGACTCCCAAGCCCAAGTTTCTGCCACCCAGCGACCTGGCCCCTTTTCCTTAAAAGACCAGGCCATAAGGGTGTCTTCCCTTGGGGCTGGAAAACACCACCCGTCTCACAGGCACTTTGCATCTCCCCCTTTCTGTGAAGTGTGTGCAGAGGACCCAAGGTGGATGGAGGAACCTGGTCACTGAGTGAACAGACCAGACAGGAGAGACACACACCTGCCCTCCACCATGCCAGGCTCGAGTATTCTGCAGAGTTCTGGCAACACATCCTCAAGAGACCCTGGAACTGCTAGAAGTATGGAGGGGTGGGGAGGCTCACACAGCTGCAGACACAGATCTGCACCTGGCTGGGAGGGAAAGCCCGTGCAGCTCCGAGGCAGCAGCTGAGCACAGGAACATGCCTCTCCATCTCCACTTGTGCCTGGTGGCCATGAAGGGCCCAGAGAGAAGGAAGGTGGGAGTCAGAGGGGAAACCCCTAGCAAATGACGCACAGGCTCAGGTTCCACCCCCTGACCTCATTTCCAGCCTAGGTGCGGTGGAGTGCCTGGTCCTGCTGCCTATTCAGCATGCAGAGCTGCTGGCCCAGTCTGCCAGGGACAGGACAGGGCAGTGCCACCCATGCCAGGCCTTGTCAGCTCCCCTTTTGGGAAATCTGGGGGGCTGTGCTCTTCAGGCAACAGGGTGACCTTGAGCAGAGAGTGTAGCCTACCAGCAGCGGCCCATCCAACTGCCCAGCCCTTTGAAGTGCAATGCAATTGTTTTGGTGAGCTGGGCCACCCGCAATGAGGATAGTGGGGGCAGCCAACTAAAGCTCAGGCCTGGAGCGCTTCATACTTTCCTACTGAGGCCACTACAGCTCCCTCCCACAGTCCTCTTTCCTGTAGCCACCTGTTCCTGGTTTCCCCACTTGTGTTAGGGCCTTGCAGGCCTCCCCTAGTCGCTTTCGCTCCTCATACACCCAGCAGCGGCCAGTCTGGCAGTCAGTGCAGCCGGTCAGCAACAGCTGGACACCCTGGGTGAGCAGTCACCTGCCCCTCCTCGCCCTCCTGTAGGAGGAGTAACAGGACAGACACCTCCGCAGTCTGACTCCAGCCTGTCCAGCCTGACTCCAGCCCATCCAGCATCTAACAATGGCTCTGGGCAATGCCCCAAGCAAGGCTGGGCAAACTCCTCGGCCAGCACCCGGTTTCCCCAGGCAGGGAAAGGGTAGGGTGCTTTCATTCTGACCACAGGGTCTCTGAGAGGAGGAGACATGGGACAAAGAATTGCCTGCAGGCACAGGGCAGGCTATAGCAGGAGCCATTTCTGCTTTTCCAGGAAGCCAGGTCCTCTCACATTTTTATTTTATATTTTATTTTTTGAGACAGGGTCAAGCTCTGTTGCCTAGGCTGGAGTGCAGTGGCGTGATCAAGCTCACTGCTGCCTCAATCTCCTGGGCTCAAGTGATCCTCTCACCTCAGCCTCCTGAGAAGTTGGAACTACAGGCGCTTGCCACCATGTCAGACAAATTTTTTGTTTTTAGTAAATGGGGTCTCACTATGTTGCCCAGGCTGGTTTCAAATTCCTGAGCTCAAGCAATCTCGGTTCCCCAAAGTGTTGGGATTACAGACGTGAGCCACTGCATCCGGCCTCCCTTGCCTTTAAAAGACAGCTTGTGTGACATTTAGCATCTCAAGAGCCTTAAAGATGGGGGCAATGGCCTTTGGCAGAGGGGAGGAAGAGGGCATCATGACATAAGAAGCTGAGCATGGGCTTCTGCTCCCCCAGAACACAGCTGAGGGGAGCTCTCCTTGGTGCTGCTGGCAAATGAACCTGCCGCCCCCCAGATTCTCCCTGGGCTGAGGACCCCTAAGCTTCCAGTCAAAAGCGGGTCATCTCCACGACTCCACAGGATTACAATGCTCTTCCGTTCAGAGCATCACCAATCAGACCCCCACCTCCACGCTTGTTCTGCTAGCCCAGAGACTCGAGGGTCAAAATTTGAATGCGTATTCTTTAGGGCAAGGTCCCTCAGTCTCAGAGTCACAAACAGAGATGTTAGAAAGGGAGAGAAATTAAAAGGCCCATTCGGGTTGATCCATCTTACCCACAAAAACAAACCAACGAACCCCCTCCCTCTTATACAGTATCCTCACCTTCCAGGAAGGCGCTTAGGAGGACAGGGGGTTTAACATTCGGTGCTCTGGAGTCAACCGCCCTTCCCTGCCCCTCCAGCAGGGGCTCAGCACATTCCCAAACTTCCCCAGCCAGGTGCCTGTCCTCGGAGCACCAGGCACTAGCTGAACCAGTTAAACTAGTCTCGCCTTTCCTAAGTTGTGTTTTTTCTAAGCTAGCAGGCAGCTACTGGAGGCCTTCCAACCCACCACTCAGGCCAACCCTCATAATAAGAAAAATACTACTTTCTATCTGCCTCATTTAGGAGGTTTCTACTTTTTTCCTTTAGTGGTTAACTAAATTTCATCTTATATAACCATCATAAATTTTCTAAAAATTTCCGCAATTGGTGCCAACAACCACAGAAAGTGTGTGTGTAAATGGGAAGTCTTCAGGGGAGTGACCAGGAGTTCTAGTGAATCTTCATAAGAAAACTCTTCACTAAGAAAGCCCCGCCTCGCCCCCTTTCCAGAAAGATTCCAAGAACTCACACCTCTGACTCTTAAGTCTTTTTTTAAATTAGAAAAGGTAACATGCAGCAGGTGAGGTTGGGATGATGACAAATCATGGGGAATACATTGGAGCTCCTGAGCTTTGGCCCACGGTCTGTGCTCTCTCTGAGCTGGAGCAGGCCCTGGGCGTGCCTGGGGATGCCCACTCCACATACACCCCCGGAAGCAAATGCTCTCCTCTTACCTGGAAGGTTTAGGGTCTTCAGAAAAGACAAAGACTGAACATGAGGAGTCCATACCACATGAACAGGGTCCACAGAGGGCCGGACCATTGTTTCTGAACAAAGCACTTCACCACGTTGAGACAAAGTCCACTGGAAGGACTGGAGACAACTGGCCTCTCTTTGCCTCCAGTGGTAAAGGACTGGCTTTTGCAAAAGAGAGCCTTAGGTGTAAAGCCTCTAGTTTACACACACACACACACACACACACACACACACACACACACGTGCACACATACAGAAACACATGCACCCTTGAGGAGGTGGCCTGCCCCTCAATTCCATGACAAGGGAAAAACTAGAACCAGAACCAGAGGAGCAGTGGTCATGCCTCAGGCTGGCTGGCCAATCTCCCCTTCCTCTAAGGGGGGCCCGGCTCCCGGTGTGGTTTCTGTAGTCTTGGGTGAGGCTGCCGGTGGTGGGGTGTAGGGGGGTAAACCAACAGCGCCAGGCACTCAAGTGCTGATACAGAGGGGGACAGGGGGACACATGGTGGCGTCCCAGGCAGTTCTCTGGCAGAGGAGCTGGACAGCCTCACCTTCCCGGTTCTCCACAGGGCAGTGGGGGTAACTCTGCATTTGGGCCATGGGGGCCCAAGAGCACTCTGTCCTCCACGGCTGCTCTTGCAAAGTTCTTCCTGAGAGCCAGGTTTTCTCAGGCTGAGCCCCTCTGAGGCTTCTTTGTATTCTTCCTACAACAAACGCAGTGTCTACAGAGAACGCCCTAGCAACCCACAGGACAAACGGAGGACTTCATGAGGTCTCCACACATGTGGGAAAGAAGTGAATAGGGTTTTTGAGGCCATGGCTAGGGAGGGCTGTGAGACGCAGGGAAGGCTCCTCTCCCTCCCTGGTCCCAAGCGGAGACGGCGAACAGGGACAAAGCTGAGCCTGAGCGTCCTGACAGCATGCATGCGACAGGACTGACGCGAAGCCTGCAGCACATGTGACAACAGACTTAGAGAACTGGCAGCAGTCAGCCCAGGAGAAAGGAGGCGTTGTCCCCTGGGGAGGAAAGGGGCTTCCCAGACCACAGCTATGATGCCCAGGGGAGGGCCGTGCGGGTCCTCCCACCTGAGCATGGCCTAACAAATGCATGGAGCTGAGCCACGTGGGTAATATGCCCACCTGCATCCAGAGTCTTTTGGCTGAACAAGTAATTAAGAGAGAAGTTTTCAGGAGACCTGAGTGGACGCCATTAGTCAGTTACTTCCCAGGAAATGCTCTGAGACCATGATCCCTCCTAGGCTCATGCTTTGTAGGGGAAAGAGCCCTCTGGGAGTGAGGAGGCTGCAGGGCAGAGAAGAGTCTCCCTAGGAAACATTCTCGCTGGGCTGGTTGCGTGATCCAGTCCTCAGATGCTCTCAGAAATCCCAGAACTCTTTTTCCAACCACTACTATGACTTGAATCTGGGAAGGTGGGCCAGTACCAGGGTTGGAGTGCACTCAGATCCACTGCCTGGTCTAGTGGAAGATGCCGTTTTCTGATGAACATGGTTTGGAGACCAGACTAAACACTAAGCATGGAAAATCGAGGGTCAGCAGTGGCGTGGGCTGAGCAGCACTGAGGAGAAGTCTGTGGGCTCTGGAAAACTGCAAAAAGAAACCTATGAAGGTCTCACATCTTTCATGGCAGCTGTAACTTCCCAAGCACTGACCATGTGCCAGGCTCTGTACCAAAGGCCTTTATGTGCCATCTCTTACCCAGTTCTGACAATCCTATGAACCAAGTATTGCTATCCACATTTTACAGAGCAGAAAACTGAGGCTCCGCTAAGCTGAGCAACTTGTATAAGATTGTAGACACAGAGTGGTAGAGGGAGATTTGAACTCCCATCACCTGGACTCCAAAGCCTTATGCACAGCATGCTAGGCAGATGTTGACAGTCATTTTGTTTCCCAGAGGCGTCCTGTTAGGTTAGCTTGGGTGTTTTGAAATCCCCTGCCCTCAGGGTCCTACCCTCTGCGGTATTCACTGTTCGGCTCTGAGGCAGCCTCCAAGGTAGGAGGCAACATGGCCAGGGTGGAGCAGCAAGGTGTCCTATCCGCATTTTCAATCCCCAGAGCGTCTCTATGTCACACATAGTCCCCCGTCAAGCTCTCTGGTGTGGACTCATAGGACTAAATCAGGTGTTCGTCCGAGTTCGAACGTGACAAGGAGACGACCAGCTTCCCAGCACTCTATGCATGCCACCAGCACACAGCCCCCACCTCCCCAAGGAGGGCGGGTGCTTGCTCTGGGCCCCTCTGCTAAGCCGTGGAGGACACCTGGCTGTCTTGGGGCCTTCCACAGTCAAGGGTGAAGGAAAGGCTGCATCTCCCAGCCAAAGTCCTCAGAACTGAGTTGCAGAGAGGCAGGGGCCTAACTGAGCAGCCCGAGAGCCTTCCCAGACCTCGGACCTGACCCCTGGGCCTTCCTTCCTTGTCCCACTCCTCTTCCTCTCTGACCTGAGCAGCAAGGCTCCCAGAACAGTCCACTTCCTCACCACCACTGAGGCACACCTGCCAGAGGGCAGGGTGAAAATACTGCCCAGAACCACCCTCGACTGGAGGCTCCCACAAGGACTGGCCGGCTCCCCCGACGGATGCTCTGGAGGCTGGTGAGGCAGGCCAAGCCCTTACCGTTGTAGGAGAGGCGAGGTTTGCTCAAACACATTATAAAGTGCATTTCCATCTCGTCAGAAGCCACAGACTTGGAGCAAATGGGGCACTTGAAACCTGAAAGAGAGGAGAATGGGATGAAATGTTTTCTCCAGATCCAGTACATCCACAGTACATGTGGACACTCTCGAATGACA
The DNA here is from genome assembly GCF_000001405.40 of Homo sapiens. Lineage (NCBI taxonomy): Eukaryota > Metazoa > Chordata > Mammalia > Primates > Hominidae > Homo > Homo sapiens. The sequence continues at coordinate 75,093,491 of NC_000016.10, read as the reverse complement.
GCCATGTGGGCTCAGGGTCAATGTGGAGGATGACCATCAGAACAGACCCTGGACCTGTCCTCCTTCAAGGACTCATTTGAGCATCTGCCTTTTTTTTTTTTTTTTTTGAGACGAAGTCTCACTCTGTCGCCCAGGCTGGAGTGCAGTGGCACGATCTCAGTTCACTGCAACCTCTGCATCCCGGGTTCAAGCGATTCTCCTGCCTCAGCCTTCCAAGTAGCTGGGATTACAGGTGTCTGCCATGACGCCTGGCTAATTTTTGTATTTTTAGTAGAGAGGGGGTTTCACTATGGTGGCCAGGCTAGTCTTGAACTCCTGACATCAGGTGATTCACCCGCCTCGGCCTCCCAAAGTTCTGAGATTACAGGCATGAGCCACCGCGCCCGGTGGCATTTGCCTTTTATTGCAGCCTTTGACTGACTGCCAGCTTTCACTAGGGCTCACCCTGCCTTATGTGCCTCGTTAAGGTTTAACCAAGGTCACTGACACCTGACTTGAGTTTTATCTTCTTTAGACCCTTTCTCAGATGGGTCTGGTGGACAATGGGGTAGGGAGGCATCAAACCAAGGCACCTGGAAACAGCCTTTGCATAACAGTTTAACATTCTTCTGCCTCACAGCCTTTCAGCCACTTGGTTGGATCACCCTGGGAGGAATCTCATCCCTCACCCAGCTCCCAGCCTCAGCCGCCCATGCCAGGTAGCAACTCTCTCCCTCACCCACAGCCCCCTCTGCCTCCTTTGTGGCTTAAGGCCACTGTCCTTTGAGATGTGTGTGAACTGCTTACACATCCAGAGTTTCAACTGATACAGAATTGTACCCATACTGGAGAATTTTGGTTGAGAATCTTTCGAGTTGAACTCCGTTAAGCAAACCTAATCCCCTGATCCATTTGTCCATACAACACAGATGAATTATTTCTAATTTTTTCCAATCTACTTTCATTGAAATGATTTTCAAATGGATCAATTCTTTTCCATATACATTCTATCAAAAAGATCTGTTGCCACTGAAATCTTATTTCTCTGCATTAAATTGTGCACATCACAGTTTCTCCCTTTTGTGACTGTGATTCCTGCCCGCCCAGCCTGGACTTCCTAATGTGGCACATTTAACAACAGCTGACCCTCAAACAACATGGGCTCGAATGGTGGGGCTCCACTTCCATGTGGATTTTCTATCGCCTCTGCCACCCTAAGACAGCAAGACCAACCCCTCCTCCTCCTCCTCTTCAGCCTACTCAATGTGAACACGATGAAGACCTTTATGACGATCCACTTCCACTTAACGAACACTAAATATATTTTCTCTTCCTTATACATATTTTTAAATGTTATTAAAAATTTTTTTCTTAATATTAGAGATGGGGTCTTGCTATGCTGCCTAGGCTGGTCTTGAACCCCTGGGCTCAAACAGTCTCCTGCCCTCAGCCTCCCAAAGTGCTAGGATTACAGGTGTGAGCCACCGCACCTGGCCACTTCCTTATCATTTTCTTAATAACATTTTATTTTCTCTCTCCTTATTGTAATACAGTATATAATACATTTATAACATACAAAATCCATCTTAATCGACTGTTTATGTTATTGGTAAGGCTTCTGGTTAACAGTAGGCTATTAGTAGTTAAGTTGTGGGGGAGTCAAAAGTTATCCACAGGGCTGGGTGTGGTCGTGCATGCCTGTAATTCCAGTACTCTGGGAGGCTGAAGCCGGCAGACTGCTTGAGCTCAGGAGTTTGAGACCAGCCTAGGCAACATGGCAAAAGCCTGTCTCTACAAAAATTACAAAAAAAAATTAGCTGGGAGTGGTGGTGTGTGCCTGTAGTCCTAGCTACTTGAGAGGCTGAGGTGGGAGGATGGCTTGAGCCCAGGAGGTCAAAGCTGCAGTGAGCCATGTTTGTGCCACTGCACTCCAGCCTGGGGGACAGAGCAAGATCCTGTCTCAAAAAAAAAAAAAAAAAAGTTATATGCAGATTTTTGACTGTGTGGGGGTCAGAGTCTCCCACGTAGTTCAAGAGTTCACTATACTGTTGTAAAGACTGGACTCTTGTGTTAGTCAAATTTTCCATATGCAGTTTTAATTGATACTAGTGATAACCATCTGCAATATTTCTTTTCTTTTCTTTTTTTTTTTTTGAGATGGAGTCTTACTCTGTTGCCCAGGCTGGAGTGCAGTGGCACGATCTCCGCTCACTGCAACCTCTGCCTCCCGGGTTCAAGAGAGTCTCCCACCTCAGCCTCCCGAGTAGCTGGGATTACAGGTGAGCGCCACCATGCCTGGCTAATTTTTGTATTTTTAGGAGAGACTAGGTTTCGCCACATTGGCTAGACTGGTCTCAAATGCCTGACCTCAGATGATCTACCTGCCTGAGCTTCCCAAAGTGCTGGGATTACAGGCATCAGTCACCCAACATTTCTTATGAAACAGATAAAAGGCTGAATGTGGCTGGGTGCGGTGTCTCACGCCTGTAATCCCAGCACTTTAGGAGGCCAAGGTGGGGAAATCACTTGAGCTCAGGAGTTCAAGACTAGCCTGAGCAACATAGTTAAACTCTGCCTCTACAAAAAATACAAATTAAAATTAAATTTTTATTTAATTGGGTGCCTAACTCTGCATGAAAAGCCGTGACTCTGGTGGCCCGGGGTGCTGAGAGACAGGAGGCTAACTGACGCAACCACTTTGCTTAAAGTCCTCTCCAAATCCTCTTTTTTTCCCTTCATTGGCAGTGCTTTGAACTATGGGACCAGGCAGAAAATTCAGGGCCTGGCTAACTACAGACAAAGTGGACAGTTGACTCCATGGCACAGTCGCCATTTCCCCAACCTCTTTCCTCAGAGATTCTTAGCATCTGAGCATGTCACTTAAAAAGTCTTGGAAACGCTACCAATCCAAGGACTTTGGTGGAGCTTCGGGAAAGGGCTGTATTTCTAACCTCTGGGTGGTTATAAATCCATCATTAACAAAGCTAGAAGACCAGGCCTGGTGTGGTGGCTCACGCCTGTAATCCCAGCATTTTGAGAGGCCACGGTGGGAGGATCACTTGGACTCAGGAGTTTGAGACCTGCCCGGGCAACACAGTGAGACCCCGTTCTCCACAAAAAGGACACAACAACCAGAACAACAACAACAAACCCCAGAAGACTATAAAGAAAGGAGGGGAATTCCATCCAGTTTTCTTGCACAGCTGGATCTAAACACACCAGGCTGATTATTTTCTAACTCAGTTTAGAAATGTGCAGATCCAGGGTCACAGCTCGATGGGGAGGTGAGGTGTAAACCTGCGTCTCACAGATGGAAGATGCTTTTCCGATCCAGCCTAAGTCCCTCTGCACTCACATGGGGTTTTTTTCAACCCCAAAGACCAAGGTTTTGCAACCCTTTAAATAACTAAAGGACACCTGCACTTTAACTTGGCACCTGCCTGCAGGCTGAGGCTGTGGAAGGAGAGGAGGGATGTGGTCTAGGACAGGCCTTCTGCCTCCAGGCCCTGACACTCTCACTGCCTAGCGTTAAAGTGACCTGTGACTAAGAACAAAACTACACCTTGCAGGTACTTATGTTTCTGATAACTCAGAACAGATTCAAGGTTATCCCTATAATAGCATCATTTACTCCCCTGTATTCCAGCGTGATTCCTTGAGTGCAGGAGGGGAGTTGAGTTACAGCTAAGGTACTAGGAAGTAGGCCACCCAACAAGAAGGTCTACAAGGGAATGTCACCAGACATTCATGTCCTAGAAAAAAAAGGCGGAGACTCAAGTTTAGAGCAATCCCCTCACTGTCCAGATGAGGGAATGGGCCCTGGTGAAGGCCTCTGAGTAGCACACTGTCACACAACTGAGGAGGTGGAGCTGAGACTAGCCTCAGGGTTCTCTGCTTCAAATCTAAAGTCCTTTCCGTCAGGGTAGGGAGAGTTGGCCATAGGGTTTTAAGAACGAGGCATGTTGGGAAATATTACCTCTGGAGAGGAAGCACCACTGGTGTAGGAAGAGGCCTACACTTTAACTAAAGCAGGGTTAGTAACACCAGCATCTACTACCTCTGGTGTTTCTGTTTTATTTTGGCATAGCTCAAGAAATAGCTCTGGGCTGGGCACGGTGGCTCACACCTGTAATACCAGCATTGTGGGAGGCCATGGTGGGAGGATCACTTTAGCCCAGGAGTTTGAGATCAGCCTGGACAACACAGGGAGACCCCGTCTCTATTAAAAACTTTTTTTTTTTAATTAGCTGGGCATGGTGGTGCATGCCTCTAATCCCAGCTACGTGGGAGGTTGAGGCAGGAGGATCGCTTGAGCCCAGGAGGTTGAGGCTGCAGTGAGCCATGATCATGCCACTACACTCCAGCCTGGCCAACAGAGTGAGACCCTGTCTAAACAAAAAACAAAAATGAGTAAGTTGGTGTCTATTATGCGAGTGGGAAATCACATGATGACCTGGCTTTTCCATCCTCGAGACCATGGCAAGGGCACACTGGCCATGGGCTATGCAGAGTCCACTAGGGGGTGGCCAGCAGCTCCCATCTCTGCCGGGTGCCATCACCGTTTCCTTTGAACCTCTCGAGCACTGTGCACTACGACTGGCACTTTCCATACTGCCAACTGGAAACCAACAGTCTCTCTTTAACCTCTGCAGCACCTACTCTTGCATATGATAATAAATAATAGTTTGCATTTATTGAGTCATTACTATGGACAGCCATGGTGCTTTACATGTCTTCTCATATACGGTAGGTAGGTACTATCTATCATTAACGCCATTTGACAGATGAGGACATCAAGGCTCAGAAGATTACATAACCTGATCAAGATTCGCATGGCCAGAAAGAGGCAGAGCTGGCCCACGACACCTAGGAAGTCTGCGCTCTTGCTCGTGTGCTGTGCTACTGACTGACTAGCACAGAAGAGTTACATGGCAGAAAGAACAGAAATACTACCAGCTATTACCAAATACTCATTTATGAACCTTCTACACTGTCCCAGCAATTTCTCCTTAAGTGCCCCATAGTCCGGGCTAACTTGTAGCCTGAAACAATGGACACTTTTTTTTCCTAGGAACTCTGTTATAACTATCTGGAGTTCTGCTTTCCATTTGGCACTGGGCCTACAGCACTGGTTGTAAGATGCTGAATCTGCAGATGACCTTTTAAATGGAAAATAAAGGGTAAAAGGTAAGAAGGACAGAAAAAACACGGACAGCTAGAAAAGACTAATATCCCCAGCTTCTTTCCTGAAATGTCATCCGATGATCAAGAAGGATTCTCCCAGTCTATTGCCCAAATCTTTTCCCATAAGCGTCCACTACAGCCCTACAGAATGATAAATCCTGTGATATTTATGAACTACCTGAAGGTTAAAACATCCAGGAAATTTTGATTCCATTTTGGAAAAAAGCTCACACCAAATTAAAATCAGCCCTCCAAAACAAAAGTAAACCAAAGGTCTGCAAACTCATTCGGCCTGCATGATTTTGTCAAACTTCCTCGGAGACCTTCATCAGCACTCAGAGCAGGTAAGAGATGCTTCAGGAGACATCTACAGGACACTCCCTAAGCCTCTGAGAGCAGGCTCTGAGCGGCACACCCTGGAGGCCAGGGGAGTAGCCAGCCAGCGCCCCAGCGGCTCCCTGCACATGGGCTGTGTCTGCCGAAAGTTTGCAACTGTCAGTGAAGGGAGATGTCAGTTTGCTCGGGCTTGCTGGCCAAGCCTGATACTGGTTCACCGTAGGCAATCATCTCCTCCCACCAGACAGAGGCAGAGGCAGGGAACGTACCCCGGGTTCCTTGTCCTTTTCTGCCAGTATGTTCAGATGAGGAAGGAACGAATGACAGAGCATTGTGGGGAATGTGTCCTTAATCACCCAATTCTGCTCTGGGTGGGTTCTGCCAAGCAAATGCGCCTACAGGATCCCTCCACTTCCAATCAAGAGAAGCCAAGAGAGTCCTTCTAATGGAGACCTGGTTTCCTTTCTTTCTCTTGTCATCAGATCAGCTCACTGTTTACACAGCCAGAAGAGCTGAGCAGAGAGTTGGATCAGCCAGAGTCCAGCTGCTTCCTGTCTTTCAACAAGTGCCTTAAGTGGGAAATCCTTTGCCATTTGGTTGGCTGTACCAGAGAGCAGAGCTCTTGAGAGAAGGCAAGTCTGCACTTGCCATCTGTGACCTCTTACTGTCAGGTCAAAGGGACACTCACAACATCAGGGTAAGCCCACTGTTAGGGGAACCAACAGTGATCCCAGGAATGCTGATGTGGTCATGTGCATCAATGTTCCTGGACCAGGGTAACTGGGCATCCCTTCACCCAGGCCCTACCATTTGACAGAGCAGCCGAGGAAGGATGGGGGCAACTGGTTCAAGCTACAAGAACTCTCCCAATCCACTACAACATTTATCATGCAATATCAACTCGAGTTTTTATGCTCTGGAGACCAATGCACTTCTCATTTTCCGAAGCTGCAACCTTTTCCTTTAAGACCTGATTTCTCAGGACAGGACCATGTGCTGGCGGCGTGTTGCTCCAGTTTCCCTCCCCAGCCCTCCCTTCTGCCCCCCTCCCCATGCTGATGCGCTATTTTAAAGGCTGCCCCAGTTCTGCCTGTCTCTGGGATCACCTAAAGGTAGAAGAATCAAAGGAAGCAACCAGGGTAAAGAAAGCCACGCCACACAGATGGGAGGTCCTGGGGCAGAGGGGTAGATGAGGGTAACTCTTGGCTGAGGAGCTCAGAGAGCGCGTGCCCCTTGACTTTGCCCTTAGCATTCAGTTCTTAGTTTCCAGCCTCAATCTTTCCGTCACATCCTCATGGTGCTTAGTGTCAATAAAATGGGACTTGAATAAACTAATTTTCATAAATGGGATTTATTATGAATAAAAGATCAAGGGGTAACACTGATGATTTTCTTTCACATTTCTAAGCTGTAGGTATCACATTCTTCACCCTCAAAGACACAGACTCCCTCTCTGTCAACACAGAAATAAGTGAAAACATTGGCACAATTTATCAGTTGCTGAGGTGTGAGTCAGTCTCTCCTAGAGAACATCCTTGACTGGGAAAGGCCCAGGAATTCTGGCTTTTGCCTCTTCGAAAACCTCTCTTCTGGACTCAACCTCTGCAGTTCTGTTCTGGGGCCTGGAGGCTCACCTGTTTCCCCAGAAATTTCTCATAAGCAGACATCAGAAGACAGCCATACTGACAAAGTTTAATGTATCTGTGTGTGTGTTAACATATCTGTTGTGATGGGTCAATTTGACTGGGCCATGGGGTGCCCAGATTATTTGGCTCAACATTATTTTTGGTGTGACTGTGAGGGTGGTTCCAGATGAGATCAGCATTTGAAACCATAGACTGAGTGAAGCGGACCGCCCTCCCCAAGGTGAGCAGGCCTCATCCAATCCACTGAGGACCTGAATAGAATCAAAAGGCAAAGAGGAGAAATTTCACTCTCTGTCTGCCTAACTGCTTGAGCTGGGACACTGGTCTTCTCTTGCCCTTGAACTAGGACTTACACCATAAGCTCTCCTGGTTCTCAGGCCTTCAAACTCGAACTGGAACTACATACTCCACGAGTTTTCCCAGGTCTCCAGCTTGCAGATGGTAGATCATGGGATTTCTCAGCTTCCATAATCATGTAAGCCAGTTTCTTATAATAAATCTCTACACACACACACACACACACACTCACTCTCTCTCTCTCTCTCTCTCTCTCTCACTCTGTCGGATCTGTTTCTCTAGAAAACACTGACCAATAAATCTGTCTATTAAAATACCAAACAAAAACTTTAAAGGACTAGCAACACCAGATGTTGGTAATGTCGGTGAAGATGTGTAGCAACCGGAACTCTCACATATGTTTGAGGGAATATAAAATGACACAGCCACTTTGGGGAAAGGTCTGGTAGTTTCTTATAAAACAAACATACACCTAGCCTGTGACCCAAGCAAATTCTCATCTATGTATTTACCCAAAAGAAATGTCAACATATACCTACAAATAGTCATTTACAAGAATGTTCATCACAGCTTTATTCCTAACAAGCAAAAACTGGTAACAATCCAAATGTTGGTCAACAGAATGGATATAGAAACTGTGGTACATCCGTGGAATAAAATGAAACACTACTCAGCTATAAAAAGCAATGAATTACTGATACATGCAACAACATGGATGAATTAAAACACGCCAAGTGAAGGACACAAAAGTGCACACATGATTCTAATTATATGAAATTCTAGAAAAGGCAAAATTAATCTACTGTGGAAGAAATCAGAACAGTGGTTGTCTCCAGGGGTTAGGGTGGGGGCAGAGATTCACTGAGAAGGTAATGAGAGAACCTTCTGGGATGACAAAAATGTTCTATATCATGAGGAGGGTTTGGGTTACACACGCGTATGTGTTTGTCAAAATCCACCAAATATACACTTAAGATTTGAGATTTCATTGTCTGCAAATTTTACCTCAACCAGAAAAAAAACCTGTAAACAAATATGGAACTGCAGTTAACTAACTGTAGTTAATGATCTGTGTCAAGGAAGTACACTGATGTCTGCAATAAAATGAAATGAACAGAAACAAAGATGCATAAGTTAAACTTCTTCCAACTTTTCCAAACGTTTGAAATTTTAATAAACATTGAACAAAGTGTCAAGCAGTGAGCTGTGTTGTGAAGAAAAAGCCAAGTAGAGTGGGTGGGTGTGCTAATTTGGATACAGCGGTCAGGGACAGCCTCTGAGGAGGTGACAGGTGAGCAGAGCCCTTGATGTATTAGAAGAACAGTGAGGGCAGAGCATCTAGGCACCGTGAGGACAAGGGCAGCGGGTGACAGCTGGGGGCACACTCTCAATCCTTGTATATGCTCAAATACCTTTCTTTCATTCTGACAGCTGAATGGATAGCTTGCCTGGGTACAGGATGCTTGAGCTGCATTCCTTTTATCCCCGTGGTCTGTAGATGAAATTCCACCATCTTCTAGCTTCTTGGTGTTGTAAATAGGAAATCTGGTGCCAGTGTGACTCTTTTCCTTAATAATTTGTTCCTTTGGCTTCTGAAAGCTTGAAGATTTTTCTCTTCATCCTAAGAGTTCAGAAACGTTACCAGGACATGCTTAGTGTCTTCTCTTATCAGTTTTACCTTTCAATATGCAGCCTCAAGTCTTCCTTCTTTAGAGAAATTTTCTTCTATATGTTTCATTACTTCCCCTGGTGGTAAGTCATCAATGCTGTTCACCAAATATTTCTAGCCTTCCTCCTTCCATCCATATATAATGACTGCATGTGCCTGCTCTCTTCGAAGTTAAGGGTGGGTTTGTGATTTGCTTTGGCCAATGAAATGTGAACGGAAGAACGTGCACACACCCAAGCGGACTTTAAGGGCCAGGGCATGACCTGCCATTCTACCTGACTGCTGCAGTGACCAGGGAGCAGGTGTTGCGACAAAGCCTCTGCTGGCTTAGGTCCCTGAGTAACAATGGTGAGCAGAGTCCCACCTCTTGACCTGCACTGTATGCAGCAGCATGGGGAAGAAATCAATGTGCCGAGCTGAGCCAGCAAGCTTCTGGAACTGTGTATTATGACAGTATAAGCTAGTCCTGGCCAGTCCTGCCTCAGGCACCCTTCCTCTACCCTTTCTCTTTCTAGTACTCCTGCTGCTTGTATGTCAAATCTCTTGGTTCTATCTTCCAGGTCCTTATCTCTTTCTCCATAACTTCTCTGTGCATTTTCTCTGGAGTGCAGCCTTTCTAACTCTGCCTAGGCCTCAACTGCCTCCCCCATGCTTGGCTCAAGGAGGTAAATGGTTGGCATTGGAAGTCAAGGAGTTAGGATATTTATATTCTGCTCTTTACAAATATAGGCTTCCTTGTATCAACTGCAATCTAGGCACTTGTCATTTTCAATGTTTGTATTCCATATGATAATCTAATAATACTGTGCCTAGCCACTTTCTTCTGTTGGGTATTAGGATTCTCAATTTTTACCAACTATAAAGATCCTCTTAGTAGTGATCTTCATTTTCTACTCTAAGCATGGTAGATTCCACTCCAACATATCTCTGAGGTTTCTGAATTCCACACTGACTGGTATGGAAGAAAGAGAATCAGACTAGGCATCAGAGGAAAACACGCTTTCCCAATCACTAGCCAGATGGCCTTGTACCAACTACTTAGTAATATTCAAGTAGTGCCCTTCCTATTCCAGAATTGTTTTAAAGTCCAACCAAGGATGGATGTGTGACTGCTCTGTGCAGAGTAAACCATTTTATCGGCTGCATCCAGTACTGCCCAAATATACTGAAGCTTGCTGGTAAATCTGTCCATTCGAGGAAATTCACAAATTCTTCAGGCAAAAAAAGTGAAAAATGAGTTGAACTTACATAATGTATTTTGTGACTCCAAGATGCCATCAATTGTAAGAGGCATCATTATAAACCTCAAGAAAGGGAAGAAAAGCTGCCAACAATTTTTTTCAATATGGTATTCCACAGATATTTATAATTTTAAGATGTGATTATATAGCACATCTCGATTTTAAAGTTGTTACATGGTGAAGTGTCTGTGCCTTAGAATCAATGAACATATGAAAAATACATATATGAATATCTGAAAAATCATACAGACTGAATTCCAATAATAGACCCAATCAATTTATTCCTGGCCGGGTGCAGTGGCTCATGCCTCGAATCCCAGCACTTTAGGAGGCCAAGGCAGGTAGATCACTTGATCTCAGGTATTCAAGACCAGCGTGGGCAACATGGTGAAACCCTGTCTCTACCAAAAATATAAAAATTAGCCAGGCATGGTTGCACATGCCTGTGGTCCCAGCTACTTGGGAGGCTGAGGCAGGAGGATGGCTGGAGCCCAGTAAGTTGAGGCAGCAGTCAGCCTTGATTGGGCCATTGTACTCCAACCTGGGTGACAGAGCAAGACCCCGTCTCAAACATATTCCTGTCTACTTACTGCAAACCAGAAGAGCCTAAGTGAAGACATCTATCTACAGCTAGGAACAAAAGGAAGGACTGCACACTGTGTGCATGGAGGTGAGCGTGAAGACATCAAACCCACCCTGCTGTACAGTAAGTCCAGCCTGCAGCCTGCCAGGTGGATCCTCAGCAACAGTATTCCAGCCACATGAAGAATGGGGAAAGCATCTACCAGGAACAGGAGCTATGGCCATTCATTGGTCCTCTTCCCTTTGACCCTCTAGACCATTTCTTCCAAAGAGAGGCCCTCAAAGGGCTGCTTAGGAAGGAAATGACGGGGAAGCAGGGACCGGGACATGATGGTCCAATGACCTGAGTCCGAGCAGATACAAGAAGCTGAAAACTGACCAGGTACAGTGGCTCACACTTGTAATTCCAACACTTTGGGAGGCTGAGGCAGGAGGATTGCTTTAAGTCAGGAGTTCAAGACCGCCAGCCTGGGCAACATAGTGAGACCCCCATCTCTACCAAAAAAAAGCAGCAGCAGCTGAAAACATCAGCATGAGTGTGAAGTGTGAATCAAGTCCCCAACTACTGTCTAAGAAAGATGAATATTGATTTATAACTCCTTGTCACCTGGCTACCATGCTTGGGTAAGTTTAGGGGCATTTAATTATGACTCAGAAAGTGTGGATGTAAAGTCTCCAGGGAAACACTTGGCTTGTATTTTGGAGATGTCTTATTTAAAGGATGGACCATCTGTTGAAAAAGGAGATCCTCTTCCTCTTGGTGCAGTAGCCCAAGAATTTCTTCTAGTTCTTAGACACTAGGGATTACCTACAAGCTAGGCAGTAGGATAGACAGGTCTGGCCAGGAAATGCCCAGTCATTCGACTGAACATCACGCTCTCCTTGCACATACATGGCTGCTCCACCTCTGTTTCCACCGCCGACACACTGCACACCTACATCCCTTGGACCCAAAACCCACTGCTGCTGCTGGTGTGGACTTCTAGCGTTTGGGCAATGCCAGAGAACACTCCTTAGAGTGGCTTGAATTCCCCTGCCTGTTCCTCATAAAATCAGCAACAACTGGAGCCAAGGACCACTTTCCCTCAAGAAACAAAAACAAAGGCAACAATAAAAACTGCTCTCTAGGTAAAACAGGCAGTTACCACTCCCAAGGGATTTGTGGGCTGTCTATAAAGCAGAAGAAAGTGTCACTTCCTCCACCTTCAGGAGGAACACTGTCCAAGTAGGACCAGCCATGCAGGTCAGGCTTCGCTCTTGGCAGGTGCCCTCAGAAGACCTTCCTAGAAAAACAGGACTGGCCTTGGAACTGCCTGTTTGCAGCTTCTTCCCTGGATATAGACTGTTTTCCAAGTCCTGGAGTCCTTATTTTTATTTATTTATTTGAGACAGAGTCTTGCTCTGTCCCCCAGGCTGGAGTGCAGTGGCGTGATCTCGGCTCACTGCAAGCTCCGCCTCCCGGGTTCACGCCATTCTCCTGTCTCAGCCTCCGGAGTAGCTGGAACTACAGGCGCGCACCACCACGCCCGGCTAATTTTTGTATTTTTAATAGAGACGGGAGTTTCACCATATTGGCCAGGCTGGTCTCGAACTCCTGACCTGGTGATCCGCCCACCTTGGCCTCCCAAAGTACTGGGATTACAGGTGTGAGCCACTGCACCCGGCCCTCATTTTTATTTTTTAAGAGACAGGGTCTCTCTCTGTTGCCCAGGCTGGAGTGCAGTAGTGGGATCTTGGCTCATTGCAACCTCCACCTCCCAGGCTCAAGCAATCCTCCTACCTCAGCCCCTCAAGTAGCTGGGACTTACAGGCCAGTGCGCCACCATGCCCAGCTGGAGTCTTTATTGATGTAATTAGAAATTCCAACCTCCAACTAACTTCCCTTTTTTATGGAGTGTGTGTGGGGTTGGGGGAGGTGTTTGGAGGGGAAAAGGGGAAAAACAGTTAGGGAAGGGAAAAGGACAATGAAGGAAACTTTCACAGAGAATCTATACAGGACCAATAGTTGATTTCTGGGCTCCTAAAGGCACTGTCTACCCTACTGTCCACCCTACTGGCTGATAGGAATTTTTTGCCAGCAAGAAAGAAAATGCCTGAACATACTATTAGATCATGTTCAGCACAGCATCTGACTCACCAGCGAACAGACACTCACATGTAAGTGACTGCTCATATGGAATAAAACCATTTGCCTTGCACTGTATAACTTACATCAGTTGATGCCAACAGCCCAGCCTTTCTGTCACTGGAGGTCTGTGAGAAGGCTCCTTCCACGGCTCCCAGCATAATCCTGGGATGCAGAATGTGTGCTGCTGTATTCATTTCATCAAAACCATCAGCTCAGCCAGGCACGGTGGCTCATGCCTATAATCCCAGCACTTTGGGAGGCCAAGGTGGGCAGATCACCTCAGGTCAGGAGTTCGAGACCAGCTTTGCCAACATAGTGAAACCCCATCTCTACTAAGTATACAAAAATTAGCCAGGCATGGTGGCGGGTGCCTATAATCCCAGCTACTTGGGAGGCTGAAGCAGGAGAATCGCTTGAACCCGGGAGGTGGAGGTTGCAGCGAGCCAAGCTCGCGCCACTGCACTCCAGCCTGAGCGGCAGAGTGAGACTCCGTCTCAAAAAACAGAAAAAACAAAAAACAAAAAACAAAAACACCATCAACTCAGGCTGGGGTCCTGGCACGCAGCTACACTACAGGCTACCTTCCTGCCTTGGACCCAGTCCTGGTACCCTGTCATCAGGGCATCCTCTGTTCAGCTGCACCTCCAACACAGGTAGATGGAGGCTGGAACCCAGAGGGCACAGTCCAGTAGGCCACAACTGTGTTTTGAAATGGCATCTAAGAGGAAGAAGCCAAAAGAGTAGAATGGAGTTGTTCCAAAAGGTAAACAGCAGTGCAGTGATCAATCCTATCCAAGGGAAGGATAAGGGTGAGAGAAGGCCTTCATACTTCAGTCCTTGCTTTTCTCTCACCCAGGGCTATGGTGACCACAGAGAAAGACATGCAAAGACTCTAGACAGCTGTGAGGGCCTGACCGATGGGTCAAAAGGAGGTTTCTTGTTTTTGTTTTTGAGACGGACTCTTGCTCTGTTGCCAGGCTGGAGTGCAGTGACATGATCTCGGCTCCCCGCAACCTCTGCTTCCCTGGTTCAAGTGATTCTCTTGCCTCAGCCTCCCGAGTAGCTGGGACTATAGGCGTGTGCCACCATGCCCAGCGAATTTTTGTATTTTTAGTAGAGACGGGGTTTCACCATGTTGGCCAGGATGGTCTTGATCTTTTGACCTTGTGATCCGCCCGCCTCAGCCTACCAAAGAGTTGGGATTACAGGCATGAGCCACCGCGCCCGGCCCCCAAAAGCAGTTTTCTAGAGACTCTCCAGACAGAAAGCACGAACGAGAAGGACCATGAATTCTAAGCTCCCTAAAATAGTGAATGACTTCTACTCAAGGCATGTAAAGTATGCTACCATATTGCTTTTCTTTGCCTCTGGTTCAGGTTACTTGAACCGGGTAGATAAGAATGGGAGAAGGAGAAGGTTGGGAGTAAGGCATGGAGGAGGCTCCAACATGGTAGCAGGAACATGGACATACCTTGTAAATCTTGATTCATAATAACAGTTCCAAGGTTAAGAAAGTTAAGGATCTCCTAAGGATAACAAGAAATCTGGCTAGCAAGCAAAAGATGTGTGATATGACATAACATTAAAACCAAGTATATGTCAGTGGACAGAAATGTTAAGCCAGGAAGCAATATCTGTATTGGTCCTCACAAACAAATGTTTATGAAAGAAGAGGACCACATAAATGGGCAATTCCTTCTTCATTTTGACTTTTCACCTTGAAGACTAACTTTACATTGATTGTAACATTCTCTCAAGTCAGCACTTCAACTTCCCAGAATATTGGCATCAGAAACATAAATATTGACAAATACCACTTATTGAAATGTGTGGCCAGGCGTGGTGGCTCACGCCTGTAATCCCAGCACTTTGGGAGGCAGAGGCTGGTGGATCACATGAGGTTGGGAGTTCGAGACCAGCCTGACCAACGTGGTGAAACCCCATCTCTACTAAAAATACAAAAGTTAGCCGGGCATGGTGATGTGTGCTTGTAATCCCAGCTATTCGGGAGGCTGAGGCAGGAGAATCACTTGAACCTGGGGGGCGGAGGTTGCAGTAAGCAGAGATTGCGCCATTGCACTCCAGCCTGGGCAACAGAGCGAGACTCTGTCAAAAAAAAAAAAAAAAAAAAAAGGAAAGAAAGAAATGTATGGAAGAGAATTAAAAAAACAAGCAGCCAGATATAATGGAAAAACAGAGATCTGGGCTCAGAGCTACAGCATTCAAGTGCTGACTTCTCCACGCACAAGTTATGTGACCAAGGGCAATTTCCTGAACCTCCGTGAACTTCCATTTTCTCAACTGTAAAACAGAAATCATGTTACCACCCTAGCCATTACATGGGAACATGTGTGCAACCAGTTGTATAAAGGTGTGGTAGGCAGAATAATGGCTCCCCAAACATGTCCACCTCCGAATCCCCAGAACCTGTGAATGTTTACCTTACATGGCGAAAAGCACTTGGCAGATGTGATGAATACAGAACCTTATTCAGGTGGGTCCGATGTAATCACAGCATCTTTATTATGGAAAGAGAGAGGCAGAGAAGAAGACATGACTATGGAAGCAGACAGACAGAGATTTGAAGATGCTTTGCCATTAGCTTTGAAGTTAGAGGAAGGGACCATGAGCCAAGGAAAGCGTGGCCTCCAGGAGCTGGGAAAGACAAGGAAATGGATTCTCCCCTAGAGCCTCCAGAAGCAGCACAGCACTGCAGACACCTTGATTTCAGCCCAGCGAGACCAATGCAGATTTCTCATCTCCAAAAATGCAAGAAAATACATTTGTGTTGTCAAATTTGTGGATATTTGCTACAGCAACAACAGGAAATGAATGTAAAACCTTCTAAGAGAAATGGCTGTTCTTCTAAAAAATCAACTCTTTTTTTGTTTGTTTTTTTGAGACGGAATCTCGCTCTGTCGCCAGGCTGGAGTGCAGTGGTGCGGTCTTGGCTCACCGCAACCTCTGTCTCCCAGGTTCGAGCAATTCTCCTGCCTCGGCCTCCCGAATAGCTGGGACTACAGGCATACACCACCACGCCTGGCTAATTTTGTATTTTTAGTAGAGACGGGGTTTGTACATGTTGGTCAGGCTGGTCTCAAACTCCCGACCTCAGGTGATCCGCCTGCCTCAGCCTCCCAAAGTGATGGGATTACAGGCGTGAGCCACCGCGCCCAGCCCCAGCTAATTTTTTGTATTTTCAGTACAGATGGGGTTTCACCATGTTGGCCAGGACGGTCTCGATCTCCTGACCTCGTGGTCCGCCCACCTTGGCCTCCCAAAGTGCTGAGATTACAGGCACGAGCCACCATGCCCGGCCTGGATCAACTCTTAAAGGAGAGTAGCTGGGGTTCCCTGGCTCTGCTGAAAATTATGAAGCAGGATATCTTAGTCAGTTTGAGCTGCTGTAACAAAATACTGCAGACTGGACGGCTTAAACAATAAACATTTATCTCTCATGGCTCTGGAGGTTGAGAAGCCCAAGATCAAGGTGCTGCCAGGTCTGATGTGTGGTGAGGGCCTCTCCCTGATTTGCAAAGGTCCACCATCTTGCTGTGTCTCACATGCTGGAGAGAAAGCGCTGGTGTCTCTTCTTCTTCTGGGGGCACTAATAATTCCATCATAAAGGCACCACACTCACGACCTCTTCTAAACTCACTTATCTCCCAAAAGTCCTCCTTCAAATACCATCACATTAGGGATTAGGCTTCAACACATGAATTTTGGGGGAGGAGGGGGATAAAACACATTCAGTCCGTAGCACATGGCATCCTCTCTTGGGAAACCATTGAAAACTGTGCCCCAAGAGAGGATGCCATGTGCTATGGACTGAATGTGCCACACTTAAATAGGATAAGCAATCAAGTCAGTCAGTCTGTCTATCCATTCATATGTATTCTAGTTATTAAGTTGTAAGGAAAATGGCAAAACAAATATAATTTCTCCCCTCAGTGAAGGGATGACCCATTAGGGAAGAGAAGAAAAGAGGAGGCCACAGAGCTCTCATTTCTTTCACATCCCGAAGTGGCTGTCTAGCGAATGTGTCCCACACACAGGCTCTTGACCTGAAACCTATGGGGATGGACATCAGCGGATCCATCAGCCTCCTGAAATAAGATGCCACATTCTAAGGGAGATTCATAGAGTTAGATGTCAAAAGTGTTTGGGCTTAGAACCCAAAAGTTCAGAACCATTTATATAACAAGAGAAAGATTATAGATAGAAGATTAAAACATATAATAGATATGTCAATAACAATCCAAATATTTGTGATTTACTTTTAGTATGGAGAAGATGGGACTCTGAAGGAAGAAGAAAACTGAATCAGGCCCTCCAGGGCTCTATATCTCATGATCAGGGTTGTTTGATATTTGCTATGGCATACAAAAGGGCCATTCAGAACAAGTTCTGTTAAGCATATTTTTCCTCTCTCCTGAGTCCACATATGTAAGCTATTCTCTACCTCACACAACGCTCTCTCAATCCCACCTACACCTGCAGCAACTGCCCCAGTTCCAATGAAGCATCTCCAATGGCCATCTTCACTTCCTCTCCCAGTTCCTCTTGAACCTGCTCCAATCTCTAAAACCATCCTTTCCACGGTTGCCAATGATCTCCACATGACAGCATCCTAACATCGATTCCTGAGCACTCAGCAGCCATGTGAGAAAGGTGACCCTCCTCCTCCACCTTTGCTGCACCTGCTGTCTGTGGCCCCCTTACAGTATAAGCCCCTTGAAGGCAGAGTCTGTTTATTTTACTGCTGTAGCCCTAGAGCCTGGCATATGATGGGCTCTTGAAAATATCTGTTGGATGAATGAACATCACACTTCACGGAAATGTGTGAAAAAGGCCCAGCTGTACAACCGGAAAGAGATAACAAATTAAGGGCAGTCAGCCTGCTGTCTGAGTCCATTCCCAGCAGAGGCTACCTTCTACCAGTCAAGGTTCCAGTAACTGCCATACCACAGCGAGGGTTAAGTAGGACAGTGAAGCGTGTGTGAGACAGAATGTCGGTTAGGAACCCACTGCGGTCATGCTGCTTCCTGCCCAACCCGCAGTTCCGATAAGGGGTGCAGAGAACGATCATGTGTGCATGTGCACAGACTGCAGGCGCCCCTGCCACCATGCTGTGGTGTGCAGTGGGCATGAAGGGAGCTACTTCGGCTGCCACCTGGGCAGGCCTTGACAGTACTGCTGGCAGGAAAAAGGTCAGCCCTTTCCCCCTATGCTAAATCAAGTCACAGACAGCTAGGACAGCCTCCAGGTTCTCATTCCTCCCACCAACAATGAAGAGTAGGAGGAGCCTCTCCATTTACTCCCTCCCACCCACCCCCACCTGGAAGTGCCCAGAGATAGGGGGGAAAAGCAGACAGCATGGTGACCTGGGCTTATGACCCCAGGCAGGGGTTGGCAAAGTACTCAACAGCCATTTCCTGGACAGTGCGAACTTTTGGGTGCTTCTGCACTCTGATACAAACATTTCCTTAATACATTTATTCAATATTTTATTATTATTACTTTTTATAGAGACAGGGCCTTGTTATGTTGCCCAGGCTGGCCTCCAAGTCCTGGCTTCAAGTGATCCTCCTGCCCAGGCCTCCTAAAGAGCTGGGATTATAGGCATGAGCCACTGCACTGGGCCTAAAAAAACCTTTATTATGGAAATTTTCAGACAAACAAAAAAATTGAATAGAGTGAGCTCCCAGGTACTCATCACCCAGCTTCAACAATGATCAAATCAGGGTCAGTCCTATCTGATTTTCCCCTGAGGTGTCCATGTCTTGGTTTGCTGCAACAACCCCAGTTCAAGCGTGTCGTCTTGGTGTAATTAATAGCTCCCTCTTTCAGTTTCAAACTTGCCTGGGATTGAATGATAAATTATATGGTCATCTGATCTTTATCCCAACTCACTCTCCCTGCACCAGATTATTTTGAAGAAAATTCCAGACACGAAATAAATCCACCCATAAATATTCACAATGTGATAGTAAAGGCTTAAATACAACTCCACACCCTTTAGACACCAACTTATGCAGCACTGTGCCCTCTCCTCTCAAGGGGCTGTTGGAAGGGTCACCCAGTAGGCTCTGTGCTACATGCTGGCATATGGAGCCTCACCGGGTGGCATGACCCCAGCTTAGGGATGGGGCTGACACACATGCAGAGAAGCCACTTATGCCGGCCTGACTCTACTGCATCGCCTCCTTCCATGGCACCACACTGCCTCCATACAGGAGGTCTAGCAACGGTCACGGACAGCAGGAGAGCAGAACAGACTAGCAGTCTGTGGCTCGTTTTACACATGCACGCGGAAGGAGCAGCACGAGTTTCAATCATTCCAAGTGAAAAAATGCAAACCTCAAACTGACCCACAGAGAATAAAATCCCAATCTTTATCTCTGCTCTCCGGGTGGTAGCACTGCAAGATTCTAGAGCCAGGCTGAAAGTTAGGGTATTTTAAGCAACCTACCTTCCTGACATTTACGAGAAAATAGCAAGAGAAAAGGGACATAATCATGTTTTCTGAGTCCTCAGAAGTGAACCGGAAAGTTCCCTAGTCTATGATCCGGCAACCCTATTTCTGGGTATATTTCCTAGCGAAATCCTCACACAGGTCAATCAGAATACAGCACGAGGATGTTGGCCACAGAACCATGTCGGGTAGCAGATGATCCCCAGGGGAACGGGCAAGGTCCCCGCAGAGCATGTACATGATGAATACTATGCAGCAGCCACAAGCAATGGATTAAATGTGCACGTCGGACAGATCCAAAAACAGTGCTGAGAGAAAAAAAGAAACAAAAGAATCCGTAGCACCAGGCCATTTGTGCCATTTTACCTAAGTTAAAAACACATGCACACAACTAAAACCTTAGATTAACAAAACCCATGTATGCACAGAAATGAAAAATTAAACCAATACACCAAACATATTGACATGGTTGGCTACGGCGGGGTGGGGAATGGACAACAGGAATTAAAAAACAGATCAATGTATGAATGAATAAAACCAAGACAGCAGCCTGGCCAAGACCAGTGAGACCAGCAATAGTGTGTCAAACATGTAATAGCATTAACTCAACACCATGCACTGGAGGGAGGTCTAAAAAGAAAGGAAAAACAACAGCTATTAATAAAAACTAGCAAGCAATCAACAATTGTGAAAAAAAAAATCTTGCCTCAATTTTATATTTATGTATATAAATCTATGTATATAGATACGTATACATATCTATGTGTGTATATATATATACATATATATAGACAGAGAGACAGAGAGAGAGAGAGAGAGAGAGAGAGAGAGAGAGATGGGGTCTCACTATGTTACCCAGGTTGGTCTCCAACTCTTGGGCTCAAGCATTCCTCCCACCTTGGCCTCCCAAAGTATGGGATTACAGGCGTGAGCTACTGTACCTGCCTGGCCCCTCAATTTTTTAAATGCTTTCTTTCACTAACTAGATAACCGGTTGAGTGTGATGAACAGTAGCACTGGGGCCCATCACTACACCAACACAGTATCTGCATCTCAGAGGGGAAGCTGGAGGGGCTCAAATGGAGGCCTTCATTGTAATGCCTCCCTCACAGTGAGGGCCTGGGATTGCTGGTCACAGGGCCACCTGCTTCCAATTGGGTGAGCCATGTCACAGCTCTGTTTACATTTCTTACTTGCAAAAGGAGGGGTTCAATGGGACAATCTACACCTAAAATTGCTTCCTGCTCTAACACTTGACACTTGCACAAGTGTGTATGTGTTTGTGTATACTACAACATAGCTAATCCTATGTTCTAAACTGTGTTAATGCTTAATTTTGTGCATACGTTACTGTCTCTAGTGGGTGGACACTGAAGGCTGAATCCACTTTCTCCAATTAACTGCAGGTTACTCTGTGTCAGGCACTGGACTGGACACTGAACAGTACAAGGGGCAGTTTAAGCTCCTTCCTGAAGCTTAAACTCTGATGAGGGATCCAGACAAGTAAACAAGCCAGAGCACTACCTTGTGATCAGCATTACGACAGGGACAAGGCAAGGTCCCAAAAGTAACTAGGAGTGGGGCCTGCACTGCCATTTTGGGGCCAGTGGGTTGGGGTGACAGTGATGTGAGGAAAGCATTCTTTTAAGAAGGAAAGCTTAGGCTGAGACTAAAAGATAAGCAGGCCAGGCATGGTGGCTCATACCTGTAATCCCAGCACTTTGGGAGGCTGAGGCAGGAGGACTGCTTGAGTCCAGGGGTTCGAGACCAGCCAGGGCAACACAGTGAAACCCATTTCTACAAAAAATCTGACTGCATACCATGTATCTGATAATTAAAAAAAAAAAATTAACTGGGCGTGGCGGCATGCACTTTGTAGTCCCAGCTATTCGGGAGGCTGAAGTGGGAGGACTGATTGAGCTCAGGAGGTTGAGGCTGAAGTAAGCCATGATCATGCCACTGCACTCCAGCTGGAAAGACCTTATCTCAAAAATAATAAAAAATAAAAGATAAGCAAAAGCTAGCCAGGCAGACAAGGGGTACCCTAGGTGCAGGAGTCAGGGGTGAAAAGGAAAGAGTTGCAGGTCGAGGGGGCATCATGTGCAAAGGCCCCGGGGTGACAGGGAGATTATTGTTTCAAAGAACTGGAAGAATAATGATGTGGTTGGATCAGAAAGGTAGACACCTATCAGCAGCTCATGGGTATAGTAGATTGTATTTTCCCCAAACAGCCCCAGGACTATTTCCGTCCCACATGCACTTCCAGAATCTTGCCACCCTTCATCAAGCACTGGAGTCTGTTTTCCCTGCCCTTGAACCTGTGTGGGCCTGGGACTGTTCTGACCCAGAGTACGGCCAAAATGCTATGACTTGTAAGGCTAAGTCACACAAAAGATGCAGCCACTGCCTATTTCAAGACCCTCACCCTTGGAAGCTTGCCACCATGCTGTGAGGAAGCCCAGGCCACATAGAGAGGCCACCATCAGCATTTGGATTGACGGCCCTTGCTGAGGTCTCTGTGGAGAACCAGACACGTGAGGGAATGAGCCATCAAAAGGTACCTGTGGCCAGGTACGGTGGTTCACACCCGTAATTGGGAGGCCAAGGTGGGCAGATCGCTTGAGGTCAGGAGTTCGAGACCAGCCAGGCCAACATGGCGAAACCCTGTCTCTACTAAAAATACAAAAATTAGCCAGGTGTGGTGGTGGGTGGCTGTAATCCCAGCTACTTCGGAGGCTGAGGCAGAAGAATCACTTGAACCCGGGAGGCGGAGGTTGCAGTGAGCCAAGATTGCACCACTGCACTCCAGCCTGCGTGACAGAGCAAGACTCAGTCTCAAAAGAAAAAAAAAAAAAAGACACCTGTGCCTGACCTTCTAGTTTTCAGCTGAGGTCCCAGACATCATAGACTAGCTGCTTCTGCTGTGCCCTATGCAAATACAATACCTGACCCACATAGTCCATGGGCATAATAAATAGTTGTTGTAGGTGATCGAGTTTGGGGGTATTTTGTTATGCAGCACCAGTATGAGAACAAATGGATAAAGCATAGTTTATTCACATAATGGAAAACTATTATAGCAAGGTGACGAAAACTCTACAACCCTACACAACAAGATGGGCGGCTCCCACACATGATGTGAATGAAGGAAGCAGACACATGAGTGCACGAGGATCACTATCTGATCCGATCTACTTAAGATACAAAACAGGCAAGGCAAGTCCACGCTGTTACAAGTCAGGAAAGCAGTACCTCCATGGGAGCTGCAACTGGGAAGGGGTATGGTGGGCGGGGTTGGGGGAGGGTTCCTAGGATGTCAGTACACAGAGGTACTTAGTTTGTGAATGCATCAGGATGTATGCTTATGATGTAATATAAGCACTCCTTTGTATGGAGAGTAAACTGCAATAAATAGGTTTCCTTTTAAAAAATGCTGACAGAGTTGCAAAAAAATGTGGATGTGGATGCTAAAGAGGAAAGCAGGATCGGGGGCAAGGTCCATTGAGGGTTTAGGTGCATCATTCCAGAAACACTGCAGAACTGTTGAACAGTTCAGAGGTGGCTTATATTTCAGAAATATTACTTTGGCCATGGTGCAGTAAATGGATTGGGAGGAGTCGAAAAGCTTGCAGAGCAGTGGGGAGTTACTGCAGTCATTCAGGCTATCGGTGGTGTGAATGGAGAGGCCGGCCTGGGCTAGGCGGCCCTGCTGCCCTGCCAAACATGAAGGTCCCTATGCTCCTGGGGCCAGTGGGCTGGCTGCCCAATGGGCCATCTGCTGGACTTAGAATCCAGAAGGGACATCTGGTCAACCCGACTCTGAACAATTATTTGTCTTGATTACTGAGTTTTTTTGGCATCCCCTTATATTTTCTGCCTGGCTCTGGCAGAAAGTGTATGGATTAAAAGGATTTTTAAAGGGTTTACTCTCTTGGACATGTTATTAGCTTAGAAGTCAGAGATTTAGGGGTGTAGAAGTTAATGATACTCAAGCAGCTCGCTTGGGCAACTGGGTAAATGGTGGTTTTTGTGGAGACATGAACTCTACAAGGGGAATGGGCTGCTAGAAAGGGGGCAGGGGTGAAGATGATGATACAGTTTGGGGCATACCAAGTTCTAGGAATGTGAGAAACATGTAAGTGGAGATAGCTGGTTTATCTGGTGTGAGGGGCCGAGGCCCAGGGGGAAGATCTGGACTGGAGATATGGATTAGGGTACAAACAGTTTTAAAAAGTCCAGATGAGGCCATGCACAATGGCTCACGCCTGTAATCCCAGCACTTTGGGAGGCCGAGGCGGGTGGATCACGAGGTCAGGAGTTTGAGACCAGCCTGGACAATATGGCAAAACCCCATCTCTACTAAAAATACAAAAATTAGCTGGGCATGGGGGCACCCACCTGTAGTTCCAGCTACTCGAGAGGCTAAGGCAGAAGAATTGCTTGAACCCAGGAGGTGGAGGTTGCAGTGAGCCGAGATCGCGCCACTGTACTCCAGCCTGGGCAATAGAGCAAGACTCTGTCTCAAAAAAACAAAAGCCCAGATAAGCCCACTCCAGGAGAATGTACAAAGATCCAAGACTAAGCCTGAGGGGAAACCATTTAAGGGAACAGAGTTAAACACCTGGGCAAAGATGGTGGATACAGGAAATATAAGAGAGCAGTGAAGAATATTTACAGCAGGGTAAGAGGAAAAAATAACCCCCCTGCCAAACAAATGATGTTCCCATACTGGAGATGTCTATGTGCAAAGCAACTCTTCTTGCCTTCCTTTTTTTTTTCTTTTCTGAAAAGGCAATAGTGCCACTGAAAGATTATCTCCTAACTTTGGTTGAACAACTCAGATCTTTAAAACGATGAGCCAATTAACGCTGTTCACCCCTTTGGCTAAAGAGCAGCAGAAAGTACCATTTTTCTGACTTTCTTGGGTCCCTTTGGTGTTCTTCGGGCATCAGCTTGATTCCATCCATTTTCTGAATGAAGAGAGGGAGGAGGGGGTGGGACCCTCGAATTTTTTAATGCTCCCAAAATAACTGAGTGAGGAACTTCTGGCCCATTTCACAGAAGAGGGAGAAAAAAAAAAAGACTCAGACAAGTAAGGGAATAGATGTTGGGTGAAAAGGGAAGTGTGTTCTCGGGCCTTGGCTACCAGGGCCAAATTTTAAGCATGGATCAGGGCGATTTCACTTTGTGCCTTAGAGGTGGTGGACCTGCGTGGCTGCAGAAGTGGTGAGGAGCTTGTTGCACAGATGCTAGACCCCAGGGCCAGCCCCAGCCCTGCTCATCCACTGCAGCAGCTGGTCTCGGAGGCCCTCACACACACCTGGGGTAGTCTTCCTCCAAAGGTCCTGCTATATAGCAGGATCACTGGGTCTGTAGCTTTTTGGACAAATATTTGAATTTGGCTTTAATAGGCAAAACCAATCAAGTAGACAATCCGTGAAAAAGGAGCAGTAGATATGGATCAGAGTGCCACTCCCGACTCTGCTGTGGGAGAAAGGGATTGGCCACAGCAGCACAGCTGCTCCACTGCTTGTGCCCCCCGCAAACTGAGACCCTGGCCAGGCCAGGGTTAACTGGTTCATGATTTTTTTGAGACAGGGTCTTGCTCTGTCAACCAGGATGGAGTACAGTGGTGTGATCACAGTTCACTGCAGCTTCAACCTCCAGGGCTTAAGCAATCCTCCCATCTCAGTCTCTGGAGTAGCTGAGACTACAGGTGCATGCAATCATGCCCAGCTAATTTTTTTTTTTTTTTTTTTTTTTTTTAAGACAAGGTCTCGCTCTTTTTCACCAGGTTGGTCTTGAATTCCTGGCCTCAAGTGATACTCCCACCTAAGCCTCCCCAAATGCTTGGATTACAGGCATGAGCCACCATGCCTGGCCCTCTAATACTATTTTTAAATTTTTCTGAATGTTTGAAAGTTTTTATAATAATAGTTTTTTAAAACTGCAGTGAATTATAGGATATTCACATTAAGCAGGATAAATACATGATTATAAATAGCTTCACCTCAGCTCAAGTTTTGCTGCCATGTGGGTTAAGAAAAAGCATTTAATTTTCAGAGTGTTCTGGATTTCAGATTTGTAGATAAGAGACGTATTAATTTTGTGGTGTTACCATTCTCATTTAGGTCTTTAGCCCTTCTAGAGTCTACCATTGTGTATGATAGTCTGTGCAGATCCAGTTAATGTTTCTCCATTTTAATTAGTCAATTCTCCTAACATTATCTATTAAGCAATCCATCCTTCTCCCATTGATTCATGGTGCCCCTTTATCGTATATTAAATTCCCGTATGTATATGGGTCTTTCTCTGAGATCATTATTCTATTTCATTTGTCTATTACCTGTTTTTGCGCAGACATCATTTGCTTTTAGTACTATGGCTTAGAAGCTTAAAAGTTCCCTTTTCTCTTCTTTCTGAAGTTTAACTTAGGTAATCCAAATGCATTTAAAAATAAGATTTCTTCAAAAAATCCAATTAGAATTCTGAACGGGTTTTACTTGTAGCAGACTGTATTTTCCAAAGATAGCACCAATATATATCTCATCCCACATGACCTTCTTACAAAGTGATATTAACACTCCTCTATCGAGACATGGGGTCTATGTTCTCTTGTACCTAGAGTGACCTTCCCACCTGCCTCAACCAACGGAATGTGGCAGATGCTGTGTGACTTCCAAGGGGCAGTCAGAAAGGCAAAATGGCTTCTACTTGGTTCTCTTTTGGGACAAGCGCTGTGGGAGCCCTGAGTCAACCTATACTTAGTGCAGTAACCCAGAAGGCACCACATTGGAGAGATCACATGGAAAATGTACACATAAACAGATGACGGAGAACTGCAGCTGTCCCAGCCCCAAACTGCTTGAGTCTTCCCAGACCAGGCAACAGGTATGTGAGTGAAAAGCCTTTGAGATGGTCGCAGCCACAGCCACCATCTGACTGCAACCTCAAGAGAGGCTTCAAAAGCCAAAAACGCTTGGCAGAGCTGCTCTCAAATGCTTGGTTCACAAAAACTGTGAGAGATAATGATTATTACTGTTTTAAGCTATTAAGTTTTGGGGTAATTTGTTACCCCACAGTTACTGAAATAGCCCTGAATTTCTAAGTCAACGAGAAAGGAAGATTATCATTTTATAATACTAGATCTAGGCTAGGGGTGGTGGCTCACATCTGTAATCCTAGCACTTTGGGAGGCCAAGGTGGGCGGATCACCTGAGGTTGGGAGTTCGAGACCAGCCTGGTCAACATGGTGAAACCCCATCTCTACTAAAAATACAAAAAATTAGCCGGGCATGGTGGCGCATGCCTGTAATCCCAACTACTCAGGAGGCTGAGACAGGAGAATTGCTTGAACCCGGAAAGTGGAGGTTGCGGTAACCTGACATCGCGCCACTGCACTGCAGCCTAGGTGACCGAGCAAAACTGTCTCAAAAAAATCTTCCATTGAATATAATGTTTGCTGTAGATTTTTGGTACAGGATTTAAAAATCAAATTAAATATCCCTTCATCAATATTTTATTGAGAATGTTAAACATAAAATGGTACTGAACTCATCGAATTTGTTTTCCGTATCAAATGAGATAATCATGTCTTCCCCTCCTTTGGTCTACTGATGTAACAGGGTCTCTGATGTTGAACCAGTCTTGTATTTTGGGGGAAAACAGTATTTGTGATATATGTCCTCAATACACTATTAGGCCAGTTATCTGATACTTTATTTGGAGTTTTTGTAACAGAGGTACCAGGGGGCTTTTTCATTTGTGATTAAACATTAGTATCTGTTTAGTCTTTTTTATGTAGTATTCAGTTTCTTCAAAGAGCGAGCCTCCAAACTCTTGTCTCTACCCTTGAACTTCTGGAATTGAATGGGAAACGAGTTTGGAGCCTAGCTGCAAAGATGCCTTCTGACCCTGTGGTTTGGCATCTCACTCCTACCTTCCCTTCCTAGGTGCTTGGCCAAGTCCATACACTCCTGCTCTCCAGAGGAGCCCTCCCAACAGGTGCAGGACTTGGAAAAAGTCACCTGAGAGAGGAGCAGCAGCGGCTTCCACATACAGGACTTTCTAACAGTCCTCTTGTCTCTAAGGTTAATCGTGATCTGGCTAATAATTGGTGGAGTGTCCACAGGAGGGGCTACCACTAGCCCTGAAAAGGGTAAAACTTCGATATACTGACTTGTCCACAAATTGAAGGGGAAAAAAAAGCAAGTTATAGACACGAAGAATGTGACACCCTTAGCAAACAAAACCCATTCATGCTTGCATAAGCATAAGGAAGGATACATTTCTGAGTGTACACACCCATGCTTTACAAGGGCTGCCTGGTCACCCAAGAGCAGGGAGACCAGGGCAGAAGAAGGGATAAGACCTTTAACTTTAAGCTTTCTATATTGTTTCATTTTGTGATGACGAACTCAAATTACTTTTATAATTAATTAAAAACAAGTCGCCCCACACCTTAATCCCTACCCTAATTATCCCTGGATCTCAGCTAAACGTCACAATAGTTGGCACTGCTACTACAAAGGTGTAAGTAACAAACGGCCAGAGCGTGGCTCTGGCCAGAACAAAACAACAAAACCCTGGAGGAGTTGAGGAGTTGCCGTGCGGCAGTAGTCTAAGGCACCCCCGTCTCAGGGAGGTGCTAACACATCCAGCCCTGCAAACCCCAGTGCAGGAGCCTCAGCCGCAGGCACCTCGGGGTTGGGTGATTGTACTAGAGTAAGAAGTGAACAGCCTCCCCCAGGCTTTCTTATCATTTTTGCTTTTCCTCGTCTTCAGCTCTGGCTGCCTGCTATCACTTGTAATACTATAATTGCCAAGGCAATGGGATTGGTATAATTTCTCGTTGCATGAAAACACATTCCCTTTTTTCCTTATTTGAAAGCACACGAGTTGCTGAGCAAGGGTCACAGGAACACGGCCTATCTCTCACGTGAAGTGGGGTGAGATACACCCATTCTACATTCCTGCAGGACCAGGTTTGCAACCCCATGCACCTGCCAGTTTGCTGGGCCCTGTGAGGGGCAAAGGACGGCACATGCACTGCTGAGGGAGCAGGAGGGTGAGCTGTGGCAGGGCCCAGCAGTCGGTTCTTCCGAAAAGCTCTCTCTGGCTTTCCTTGATACAAGACACACAGGGTGCCAAGTATTAGAAGAAGGGCCAGGAACAGCCTGAAAAGGTCTCCATTCTCCAAAGCAGCTCTGAGTCCGTTGCTCATTTAGCTCTTTCATGGAGTGGGGCAAGTGAGTAGGAGGAAGAAAAAACCACAGCGGCAGCCCACATTTCTAGAGCCACTCCTACGTGCCAGGCAGGTTCTGGGAGATTTATTTACATTGTTGCATTTAATCCCATGAACCTCTGCTCTAAGCACGCTTTTTTTTTTTTTTTCCCTCGGAGACTGAGTCTCACTCTGTCACCCAGGCTGGAGTGCAATGGCACGATCTTGGCTCACTGCAACCTCTGCACCCCGGGCTCAAACAATTCTCCTGCCTCAGCCTCCTGAGTAGCTGGGATTACAGGCATCTGCTACCACGCCTGGCTAATTTTTGTATTTTTAGTAGAGATAGTGTTTCACCATGTTGGCCAGGCTGGTCTTGAATGCTTGACCTCAGGAGTTTTCTTGTTTATTTAATTATTATTATTATTTTGAGATGGGGTCTCACTCTGTCACCCAGGTTGGAATGCAGTGGCACAAATCTTGGCTCACCGCAACCTCCACCTCCCGGGCTCAACTGATCCTCCCAACTCAGCCTCTCAAGTAGCTGGGACTACAGGTGCACACCACCACCCCTGGCTGTTTTTTTTGTATTTTTGGTAGAGATGGGGTTTCACCATGTTCCCCAGGCTGGTCTCAAACTCCTGAGCTCAAGTGATCCGCCTGCCTCAGCCTCCCAAAGTGCTGGGATTTACAGGCGTGAGCCACTGCACCCGGCCAAAACCCTGTCTCTTTAAAAAGAAAAGAAATATCAAGAATGGAGCCCCGTATTTTAACAAAAATCCTAAGCCAGGAGACTGGCTCCATATTCTCCAACACTTCTCTAGTGCCACCTAGCATGAGGGGGGCAGATACACACAGGGAGGTCACAGCCAACCCAAAAGGCCACTTTTCCCCTCCTCATTGCTGAACAAAGGCAGCGACTGCACTGTGCCTGGAGTTTTCCCTCCTCTCACTCCTTCTCTGATTGAGTCTTCCACTCACAGAGCTTGGTGGCGGGGGCAGGTCTGCAAGGTGCTCGCAAGCATTCACCTCTTTTGACAGCCACTGAATTTCAGAGTTCACACAGTAACTTCACAAATTCATCATTCACTCTAGAAACTACCCGCAGTGTCTTCCTTGATTTATTAATTCAAATACTTTTAAGAGTAGATCAAGGTCTTTAGGCTAAAATTAAAAACATGCCAACGAAATACCACCATATATTTTTCCAAAGCTAAATGCCATGCACACCTATCCACGGCAAACACTGAATGCAGCACCCTGGATGCCAAGCAGGATGGAGGTGGGAGACATCAGAGATGAAGGGAGATAAAGTAAAGCAGGTGGGGCCTGGCTGGTGATGCCCACCCCAAATCTAGGCTGGAATTAAACCCTCACCTCCAGGAATGTGCACACCCCACAGGGAGGCTAGAGGGTCTGCTCGGGCCTCCCTGAAGGCACTCCCTGCAGATCAGGGTAGGAGGAATGACCTGGGGCTTTCCAGAGTCCGGCTGTGAGCGCCCAGCTTGCTGCTGGCGTGGCGCTGGGGAAGCGGGGCTATGTGGGGAGCTGACAACAGGTACGTTCTCATCCAGGCCTGTCCCTAACCACTCGCATGACTCTGCAAAAATTTTAGCTTTGTCTCCTGTTTTTCACTCGTAAAGTGAGGCTTATGCCTCTAAGTTTCCCTCCCATTATAAAGCCTCTGAAAAGTTAGAGATTATTGTCATGTTTCTTTCCTACCACAGGTCCCCTCAAGGGGAAGTTCTGGAAGAACCCTGTGTTCTTCCACCCTGAAGAAAGGGGGCACTATCTCCAGGTGAGCAAAAGGAGCTGGGAAGCCCCAGGCCTCCCACGTGGTAAATGTTCTATAATATTGTCAGAACTGACACCTCAGTTTAAAAAAGTCTGCATTAGAAAAGGCAAGGGGGTACTTGCTATTCACACACAGCCTGTAACTTAGAAGATTCCTCCTCGTTCCTCCTGTGTGTGTCATACGGCCAGGCCCTCCGGACGCCTCTCCTAGCAAGCACCAGCCCCACCCCATATGAGCCTCCATTACCCACAGTGGCTTGACGTACAGAGGCTCTCACAAAGTCATGAAAGACTGAGGACCGCAGGAACAGTCATCTTGCCGCAGGCGGCCAAGAGAAGCCTGATAAGGGGGCGTCCCTGCTCCTCCCGGGTGATCCTGCTACACACATAGATGACAAAGGGAGCTCGGGGGCATGCGGCCAAAGCTGCTGTGGAAAGGTAAAGACACAGTCCATATTTGCACTCTCTTTGACTTAGCTCTTTTAATTGACTCTTTCCGATAAAGAATTCATTTCACTTCAGCAACTGCCAACTTTAGCAAAAGGTCAGTGCACTGGCCATGAGCCACTGTCGATGGAAACTTCTCAGCTGCCTTCAGAGATGCCTTGAGAGGCTGGTGCTTGATGGTCACGGGCCTCTGCTGCCTTCGTCTCCCGGGGCTGTGCTCCACGCTGCTTCCCAGGGAGACAACGACCAGGCATTCCCTTCTGACATGCTCTTGAACGCAGAAGGTTCTAAGCATGTTATTACAAATGAGCTGGAACAGCTCTGTCAAAGCAAGTTCTGTAAGTTGTCTCGATTCTTCTGAAGTGACTGAACAACCATTTGCTTAGATTTCTCACTTGGCTTAGATCTCGTAGCATAACAACGAGAACATGAATATTTTTTCATTGACACTTGTGTCAAGTCAAAAGTGTAACCTAATTTTAAGCTTCTCTCACAGATTACCTTAAGGGAAATACAATATAAACCACCATCTTCTACTGTCTCGGCAGCAGGCTCTTGGGAAAGGGAACCTCTCCCAGTTCTACTACACTTGGGCCAATTGTCAGTAAAAGGTCTCAGCCAGGTCAGAAGCTGACGCAAAGCACCTGGTTCCTCAAATTAGCACTTTAAACCAAGCTGCTGACAAGACGACTCATTGTGTTAAGAAACCTAAAGGAGTGAAAGTCATACTGTGGTGTAGGGATCAATTGAGAAGTCCCATACTTTTTATGTCTTCTTCCCTAGGTAACTTTGCCATCACACACACATGCAAAATCAAATCACAAAACTGCTGGCAAAAATATCAGAGCTGTCCATCAACAGATGAATGTTTAAAGAAAACGTGGTACATATACACTATGAAGTACGATTCACCCATAAAAACGAGTGAGATCCAGTAATCTGCAACAACATGAATGGAAGGTACATATACACTATGAAGTACGATTCACCCATAAAAAAGAGTGAGATCCAGTAATCTGCAACAACATGAGTGGAACCGGAGATCATTATGTTAAGTGAAATAAGCCAGGAAAAGAAAGATAAACATCATATGTTCTCACTTATTGGTGGGATCTAAAAACCAAAACAATTGAATTCATGGACACAGAGGGTAGAAGGATGGTTACCAGAGGTTGGGAAGGGTACTGGGGGTGTGGGGGGAGGTGGGGATGGTTAATGGGTGCAAAATAATAGAAAAAATGAATAAGACCTACTATTTGATAGCACAATAGGGTGACTATAGCCAGTTAATAACTTAATTGCATATTTTAAAATAAAGAGTGTAATTGTTTCGTGTGTAACTCAAAGGATAAATGCTTGAGGGGATGGATACCCCATTCTTCATGACCTGCTTATTATTTCACACTGAATGCCTGTATCAAAACATCTCATGTACCCCATAAAAATGCATACCTACTATGTACCCACAAAAAATGTATTACTATTTTTTTTAATCAGAGCTTCATATTAGGATCTGAATTCGTTAGTGTCCCCTGAAGGGGAGTCACCACTGCACAGCCTTCTTGAGAACTTCCTTCCCTATTTTCTTAGCCTCCTCCTCCTCACGAAGTTACAAAACTCCAGTACCCTCATAGTACAGGGGAGAAATAGAGATGACCTTGGAATTCTACCATCAAAATCAAAGCTGCGGCCAAGATTAAAATCCAAGTTTCTGGCCGGGCGCGGTGGCTCACGCCTGTAATCTCAGCACTTTGGGAGGCCGAGGCAAGTGGATCACTTGAGGTCAAGGAGCTCAAGACCAGCCTGGCCAACATGGCAAAACCCCATCTCTACTAAAAATACAAAAATTAGCAAGGCAGGGTGGTGTGTGCCTGTAATACCAGCTACTTGGGAGGGAGGCAGGAGAATCGCTTGAACCTGGGAGGCGGAGGTTGCAGTGAGCCGAGATCACACCACTGCACTCCAAGCCTGGGCGACAGAATGAAACTGTCTCAAAAAAAAAAAAAAAAAAAAAAAAGATTTTCTGAGTCTGGTATGCTAGGGTGGATTTCATGGTCATTGTGCTCAAATGTAGAGATAGGATATATTTCCCTGCTCCTGCCACAGGCAAGGTGGGACTACCCTAACTTAGAAAACTGTCGGCCGGGTGCAATGGCTCATGCCTGTAATCCCAGCACTTTGGGAGGCAAGATGGGCGGATCACAACGTCAGGAGTTTGAGACCAGCTTGGTCAATATGGTGAAACCCTGTCTCTACTAAAAATACAAAAATTAGCCAGGTGTGGTGATGCGCGCCTGTAGTTCCAGCTACTCGGGAGGCTGAGGCAGGAGAATCACTTGAACCTGTGAGGCGGAGGTTGCAGTGAGCCGAGATCGTGTCACTGCACTCCAGCCTGGGCAAGAGAGTGAGACTCGCCTCAAAAAAAAAAGAAAAGAAAACTGTCACTTCACCTTGGTTTGTAACGGCAAGTCCAAGTGCTCCTGGGTTTCTACAACTGAGAGAAGCTCCTAATATCCTGGGCTGTACCAAATAATCAAACGAGGTCTAGTCATAAAATCCTAGTCAAATTGTCTGTCTGATCCCCTAGACTTTGTAAAGGAGTGAAGAGAGAAATGAGATGAAGGAACATAAAGAATGTAACTTCAAGGGTCAAATGAAACAAAGCCGGCCTGAAGGAGAGAAAGGAGCGGTCAAATCCATCAGCCTAAGACCTTTAGTCCATGTTTAAATTGATTTATACAATTTCCAAACATTACAGGTAGAGTAAAAACTTCGAACTTTTGGCTCCAAACACTTCTCTGCTCACATTCAGAAATGGAAGGATCAGATAAGACCTGAGAACAAACTTCAAGAGATAGATGGGAGTCTTTTTGATGGCTGAAAAACCGGTTCCTACGAGATCTGAGCCATTTCGTCACAAACAAAAGTAAGAAGATGGGTAGTTTTCTCTGATACCCCCACTGCATCTGAGATTTCTCATGCTTTATCTGAATTCATTATGCTGTTCTTTTTGAAAATCCAAGATATCCAGCCTGGCTAACATGGTGAAACCCTGTCTCTACAAAAAATACAAAACTTAGCCAGGCGTGGTGGTGCATGCCTGTAGTCCCAGCTACTTGGGAGGCTGAGGCAGGAGAATCGCTTGAACGGAGGAGGTGGAGGTTGCAGTGAGCCAAAATTGCGCCATTGCACTCCAGCCTGGGGGACAGAGTGAGACTCTTTCTCCACAAAAAAAAAAAAAAAAAGAAAAAAAAAAAAAAAGAAAGAAAGAAGGAAAGAAGGAAGGAAAGGAAAAGAAAAGAAAAGAAAAAAGAAAATCCAAGATATCTGGGGCCAAGCCTACAAGGGCAAAGGGTAGCTGCAAAGTCCTGACACCTACTCTCAAAACAGTCCGGATGGTTGGCAGTTCCTCTGGCTCTTCCTAGAGCAGGCAGGCCTGACACATTCTGAGGCTTCCTTCACTGCTCCCAGATGCTCACACAGCTGGGGATCAAGGCCAGTATCTAGTTGTTTATATTCAAGTATGAAAAGCCTGGCGGGTAGCAGCCCCTTGGAAGGGTAACATTTGGCAGCAGCTCATCAACAGTCCAAGGAAAACACAAGGTGGTCAAACACTCTCAACTAAGGCACACAGAAAGCCCAGCGCATCTCCTGGGGGATGAGACCGATTTATTTAAAGGACAAACGGAAAGGAACCACGAGGATGTGGAACAACTCTCCTGAGTCCAACCAGCAGAGCAAGATGAGTACCAACACCCACTGCCATCTACCCTCCACCTAGTCTGTCATCAGGTTACCAAACTCAACCCAAATCCCTTTTCCAAAGCAGCGTGATGAGGTTTGCTACTTACTTTCTGCCCAAGTCCTGGGAGCCCTGTTGTCCAGTAGGGCTATGATTCCTCTTTAACTGATCCCCACTATGGCAGTCATTTCTGGTCTAGAGTAGTTGTCCCATCTTTAACAATTTATCTCATTCTTTTGAGAGGCCTTGGCTACTCTGTTATTCTCCTTAGTTCCTGCTGACTGCAACAGTGTTGGGCCAGCAGGTTTGGGGAAATAATCCTTGGGTCTAACATTTATTGTGTTATTCTTAGAGTGCTCCTTGCAAGCAAAGCTACTGAAAGCCAAAGTAGAAAAAGCTGCATATAATGGATGAGAACAGCTCACCTCAAGGGACCAGCCACAGCGCTCCTCAGATCTAAACGCTCCCGCACAGAAAGCAAAGGAGCGTCCATTGTGGCACATGCTTGTAGTCCCAGGCAGGCTGAGGTGGGAGGACTGCATGGGACCAGGAGTTCGAGATCAGCCTGGACAACATAGTGAGACCACCCCCCCGTCTCTAAAATAATAAAATAACATAAAATATTTAAAAAAAAAAAAAAAAGAAAAGGAAAGGAAAAAGGGCAGGTCAAGTATCAGTGTATTTAGAGGACCAGAAAGGATGGAATGCGGTTCTCTCTCAGGCCTCATATTTGTTGAGAAGGTTTACAACAGCAGTGGTCCCTACTTTTCTCCACACACAGCCCACCATGTATAAACAGCAATTTCTGGGTGGGCGTGGTGGCTCACGCCTGTAAACCCCAGCACTTTGGGAGGCTGAGGCAGGTGGATCACCTAAGGTCAAGAGTTCACGACCAACCTGGCCAACATGGTAAAATCCCATCTCTACTAAAAATACAATAATTAGCTGGGTGTGGTAGTGCACACCTGTAATCCCAGCTACTCTACTCAGGAGGCTGAGGCAAGAGAATCACTTGAACCCGGGAGACGGAAGTTGCAGTAAGCTGAGGTTGTGCCACTGCGCTCCAGCTGGGGTGACAGAGTGAGACTCTCAAAAAAATAAAAATGAAAAATACATAGCAGTTTCCAAGGCAGAAGGAAAGAACCAATTCCATCGAATTTCTTGCAAAGCAGCTGTTATGACGATCCTGAGGCCAGGGAAGATGAATCCCTTATTTATAAAAATGAAAGCGGTCAAGATAGCACCTGTAAGACCAGAATGAATCTGGTCACTCTGCTACACCAAACAGGCCAAGCCCCTGGCTAAGGAATAAATTGCTTCTTAAGGAGCTTTTCTTAATCTGGCACCTCTTTATCCAGGACCAAATCAATATATTAAAAAAAACTCCAAGTGTTGATCAAACCTGGTGACTCTAGCAGAGCAAAGAAGAAAACAAAACTGTCACCATCTGTATTTGTATTAGAATAACCTTACTAAATTCCATTTATATTAGAAATCTGGCATGAATAAGCAACAAACAAGCACGTGAACTACAATGGAGTCAAAGGAGCAGGGACATGCAGCAGGACGGCAGGGTGGGGGTATTCCAAGATGCCCCGGTAGTACCTGATTCTGAATGAGAGAAACCCCCAGGAGATTCTGAACAAATCTGAAAGAAAATGCAACAGCATTACGGTACTCTGTATGGAGAAATGTCCATCAAAACAAGACTCTAAATCTGTAATACCAACTACCCAAGAAACTGAACTAGAGGATGCCACAGGCCTGAATGCATCAGGAGAGGAATCTAGTGGCATTAAAAAGTCTTTTCCTGACCAGGCGCAGTGGCTCAGGCCTGTAATCCCAGCACTTTGGGAGGCCAAGGCGGGTGGATCACATGAGGTCAGGAGTTCAAAACCAGCCTGGCCAACATGGTAACTTCTTAAGTTACCCCATCTCTACTAAAAATACAAAAATTAGCCAAGCATGGTGGCACACACCTGTAATCCCAGCTACTAGGGAGGCTGAGGCAAGAGAATCACTTGAACCCAGAAGGTAGAGGTTGCAGTGAGCTGAGATCATGACATTGCACTCCAGCCTGGGTGACAAGAGGAAAACTGTCTCAAAGGAATAAAAAAAAAAAAGGTTTTTCCATGAACCAAGTCCTTGAAATGAAAATGATCTATCCTCTCACATCATGATACTTGTGAACTTCAGTATCTGTATCTTCAGTATTTTTGTCCAAACATACAGTTTCCATTCTTGTCAGAGGACCAATACCAGATTTGTCAACCAAGAAAGGTAAACATCAACCTCACACATAACATCAACATCATACATAATCTTATACCTCACTTTTAAACCTATTCTTTTCAGAACCACTAGAACTTATGAGCAGTACTGTCATTGAAAACGATGGAATCTTCCACCATACTCAACCCTTTCAGGGCCTCTGGCCAGAGCTGCCTGATGAAAATGTGAATGAACACACAGTCACTAGGCTTACACGCTGGGCTGAATAGAATGAAACTGATCCTTTTACAGTTCAACTTTCTTAAGCCCATACCTCTTAAGAAGAAGATTCCAATTCATCCTTATGGATCCTTAAACTTCAAACTATATATAAAAAGGAGTCTTAATGTGATATGGGGAGAGGCACCTGCAGAACTGACCATCAGCTATCAATGGCTAAAATGATTACAGTCCTCAGAATTTTCTCCAAAGGCAAATATGCCCCATTACATAGAAATACAACATGCCTGCTCAGCAAAGGAATTGAGGTAAATTCTGAGCAGCTGAGGGATAGCTTGGATCACTGGTTGGCAAATGTCTTTATCGAGGAAATACTGGAACAGAAACATTGATGGTTTTCTTAGAAGACCCTCTTGGTCCTTCAAGGATGTGCCCAGTTGGAGACAAGGCCAGCTTTCCCAGGTAATGCTACTTTTAGTAGGAAAGGCAATAACTACCCCCACAAGACTGAGTGTTTATGCTGTTTTTCTTCTGTAAAATCAAAGATCTTTAATCTCTAAGGTCACTTGGAAAGCGTGGTAGGGTCCCGAGGTCAAGTCTGCAGCATTCTTATGCCTTTCCAGCAGAAATGAGACTCCACAGGCTGGTAGGAAGGAGCTCCTTCTTCCAGGCAGGCAGCTGGTGTGTCCACAATGCTCTGTGGGCAAAGGAAGGAAAAGGCCTCTCATAGGGAGACGAGCAATGCCTGTCATCAGGCCTGCAGTCTACCCAAGACTCCAATGTTTGAGGACAGAACACGACCTACTCCTGGGCTGGTAGCATGGAAAGTGCTGGAACCAAGTTCTTCACAACAAAGACATCCAATAACTTAGGGCACTGGTTCTGCTGCAAGAAGGTGAGATTCTACATCATACATTGGGGACTGGAAAGACAGAATGGATACACACAAATGAAGGAGTGGTTCTAAATTCTAGTAAGCCTGGGTGATACAGCGAGACTCCGCCTCAAAAATAAATAAATAAAAATAAATAAGTTCTAGTAAGCCAGTGTTGCCACTTTATTTAAACCTGAGAAACAGTTCCTTTAGAAAGCATTAAAATGGGAGCAATGGAAAGAGTCCAAATGACGTTCCCACACTTCTCAATTCACTCCCTGCATCAATGCAGCATGGGGTGATGCCTGGCCCTGCTTGTTGGGAGAGGAAAGCCATCTCTTTACAAACGAACGCCTGCCCACCCAGTCTGCCTGTTACAAAGGGCCGTCTTTCTGAATTTGTTCTAGAGAGCTGATATGATCACAGTAACAGTTTCATTAGGACACCCTGCTCCTTTAATTTCTGCTCTAAAACAAGACAGCTAGACAGGAGAAAAGACCAAGAAGAGAGTCAGATCCTCCTGTTTGGACTTGACCTGTAAGAAAGGCTAGAGACAAGAAGGGCTGGGATGGTCCCAGTGATGTGGGCAGTGAAGGCCAAAGCACCATTGCCATGGAGCAATTCCCACATTCCTAGAGAAGCCACGCTCCACGTGAATAGGTAAGGCCAATCTCCCAGGAGGATTAGTATCAGGGGAGAAATCAAGAAATGCTAACACAGAACTTAGCTTGAGAAAACAGCCAGGGGAGAACAAAGTGCCAGTATTACCTGATTGCTAAATTATTAAATTGCTGCTTAGGCTAAAAAGCAATGGTTCCTTAGGCCCTGAATTAAAGGCACCTGACACAGACCAGCATGAGGACTGAGAAGCCCACATAGTGACCTCCACTCTGACCATACCCAGCTTTCCCCCACTTCCCTGCAGACCCTATGGAGAAATCTGCCCAGAGAATCAGGCAGGAAAAGATGAGCCAGTGCCTGGCTTGTCCCTTGAGCCACCAAAGTCAACAAAGCAGACAGAACTGGCAGGGTGCCAGGGAGGCAAAGTGGCATCAGCTTCTCCCAGCAGGGCCACGCCTCACCACAAATGGACTTTTAGAACAAGAGTACCCTACCCTCACAACAAAGGTCACTGCATTTATTTTCCTTCTCCAAAGCAAAATGGCTGAAGCCAGGAACTGCACTTCTGGTCAACACAGTTAAGGTCCTTCCCACTCTGAAAGACAAAATGCACTTTGCTTGTTGAAACACAGCAGGATGAGGATTTTCCACATGGGCTTCTGCCTTTTTCACAGGAACCACGAAACCAGAGGAAACTAAGGGTCCTTGCTTAGGGCCTTGGGGGAGTACAAAGGGAATTGTCAACAAGGAAGGAAGAAATAATCTCAAATGGCATCAGTCCTATTCCCTGAAGGGGAAGACACATAGTTCATACGAAAAGTAAAGTTTTGACCATGGCTTGGGAAGACTCTGATCACCAAAGGGAATATGTAACAAAGAACTTGCGTGGCCACAATGAGCCAAAGCCAGCAGAGGTGACCTGAACAGGGAGTACAGGAGCCCAGGAACAACCTGGGAATACCCTAAAGGCTCTTTTCTAAAGTCTAGACTTTCTCCAAAATGTGATGTGTACACACCAAAGTACAAACTGAAAAGACATTTTCTGAGCTTGTGAGGAAATTACTACTTATGTGAGTCCACTCTGCTTATTTAATAGGTGGATGTGTTTTACAGCATGGGGCACATCTATCATGGGCATTAGGGAAGCTCACAAATAGCCCCTGATAGTGACAGCCACTGGACATTGGTGATTTTTTTTTTTTTTTTTTTTTTTGAGATGGAGTCTCGCTCTGTCACAGAAGGCTGGAGTGCAATGGTGTGATCTCGGCTCACCGCAACCTCCGCCTCCCAGGTTCAAGCGATTCTCCTGCCTCAGTCTCTTGAGTAGCTGGGACTATAGGCGTGTGCCACCAGGCCTGGCTAATTTTTGTATTTTTAGTAGAGACAGGGTTTCACCATGTTGGCCAGGCTAGTCTTGAACTCCTGACCTCAGGTGATCCACCTGCCTTGGCCTCCCAAAGTGCTGGGATTACAGGCATGAGCCACTGCACCCAGCCATTGGCGATTTTTATGTTTTTAGCTGGAGTCCTCAAGTTAGAGAACAAAAATGCTTTTCTGACCCTCTATTCCCACCTTATATGTATATTTAGATAATTGATGTTTAACTTTAAGGTTCTAGCCACCCACCTGAACCAGTTTTATTATGTGGGGTGGGAAGTGAGATAAAGCCCCCTAGATTTCCTCTGCGATCTATAAATAGAGCTTCAGGAAGGCAATCAGCCTACCTAGGGCAGGAATTTCAGTCCATTTGCTCAGGAGGCTCCTCCCTCACTTCCAATCCAGAGGCCCCATGGAGCTAAGTCAGAGGGCGCCGATTCACATCATGTCCCCAGTGGCAGCAAATGAAAAGGCTCAGATTCTCCTCATTTTCACATGGGTTGCCAGCCTTGCTTTAACTCTGTAAGTTTGTGTTCCACAGAGCAAAATCACAAAAGAGATCATGCAATGATTAAGAGTGCATTTTGTGAAATGCATCACAACAGTAAGCTGGACGGACAGACAGATCGATGGAGGGAAGGCTGTATAGACAGTCTGTGATAAAGCAATATAGACAATGTTGGCTGCACGGTTGAGGTGGTGGTTATATGGGTGTTCACTGAACAGTTCTCTCAATTTTACTGTCTGACACACCTGCCTGCTGGAAATGGAGGTGGCCTTGAAGAAGTGAGAATGGCAGTCATAGCCCTGAGGTCAGAGGACATGGTCTCACCTTAAACAAGCCTGCTGACCTGGAGGAGGACTTTCACATCCCCAAGCTTCTTTATTTAAAAGGGTAGTGGTCAAAATCAGGGACCTTTTTACAAACATCTTATGTTTGGACCCAACTATGAGTCTACTGACTCACAATGTGAGGCAGGTGGGGTAACATAACATTATCTTTTTCTTTTCTTTTTTTTTTTTTTGAGACAGGGTCTGGCTCTGTCACTCAGGCTGGAATGCAGTGGTGCCATGCTGGCTCACTGCAACCTCTGCCTCCTGGGCTCAAGCAATTTTCCCACCTCAGCCTCCCAAGCAGCTGAGACTACAGGTGCACGCCACCACACCCAGGTAATTTTTATGTATTTTTGGTAGAGATGGGGTTTCACCATGTTGCCCAAGTTGGTCTCGAACTTCTGGGTTCAAGCAATCCTCCAGCCTTGGCCTCCCAAAGTGCTGGAAAAACAGGCGTGAGCCACCACGCCCGGGCACATTCTCTATCTTGATAGGGTTTTGGGTTTTGCTGATGCATGTACTTGTCAAAACCCAGTGAACATGTACTTAAAATGTGTACATTTCTTTGTATGTAAACTTTCCACCAAGAGGAAAAGCTATAAAGAAATACTTAACACCAGTTAATGATGTACATATTGAAATATTTAAAGATAAGTATACAGATGTCTATAGTTTACTTTGAAATGTGTACAAAATAAGAGGTGGATAGATAAATAAAGGAGTGGATAGATGAATAGATTTGTGATGATTAAACAAACATAGTTTAAAAAAAGATGGGCTGTGTGCTGTGGCTCATGCCTGTAATCACAGCACTTCGGGAAGCTGAGGTGGGTGGATCATGAGGTCAGGAGTTCGAGACCAGCCTGACCAACACGGTGAAACCCCATATCTACTAAAAATACAAAAATTAGTTGGGCGTGGTGGCACATGCCTGTAATCCCAGCTACTCACAAGGCTGAGGCAGGAGAATCGCTTGAACCCGGGAGGTAGAGATTGCAGTGAGCCGAGATCATGCCACTGCACTCTAGCCTGGGAGACACAGCAAGACTCCGTCCCCCCCAAAAAAAAAAAGGGGAAGATGCAGGCTGGATGCGGTGGCTCATGCCTGTAATCCCAACACTTTGGGAGGCCAAGGCGGGCAGATCACTTGAGGTCAGGAGTTTGAGACCACCCTGGCCACCATGAGGAAACCCTTTCTCTACCAAAAATGTAAAAAATTAGCTGGGTGTGGTGGCACACACCTGTAATCCCAGCTACTCGAGATGCTGAGGCAGGAGAATTGCTTGAACCCGGGAGGCAGAGGCTGCAGTGAGCTGAGATTGTGCCACTGCACTCCAGACTAGGCGACAGAGTGAGACTCCGTCTCAGAAAAAAAAAAATAGATGTATTTGGAGGTGGGTAGTAGTGGAGGGGGTGGTCTGTCACCCGTACAGTGCAATCATAGCTCACTGCAGCCTTGAACTCCCAGGCTCAAGTGGGCCTACTGCCTCAGCCTCCTGAGTAACTGGGACTACAGGCATGTGCCACGACACCCAGGTTTTGTTTTTTTTTTTTTTCTTTTTGTAGCGACAAGGTCTCACCATGTTGCCCACACTGGTGTTAAACTCCTGAGCTCAAGCCATCCTCCTGCTTCAGCCTCCCAAAGTGCTAGGATTACAGGTGTGAGCCACTGTACCTGGCTACAAGTTTTTTGTTTTTTTTTGTTTTTTTTTTTTTTTTTTGAGACGGAGTCTTGCTCTGTCGCCCAGGCTGGAGTGCAGTGGCGCAATCTTGGCTCACTGCAAGCTCCACCTCCCGGGTTCATGTCATTCTCCTGCCTCAGCCTCCTGAGTAGCTGGGACTACAGGCGCCTGCCACCATGCCCA
This sequence comes from Homo sapiens, assembly GCF_000001405.40. Classification (NCBI taxonomy): domain Eukaryota; kingdom Metazoa; phylum Chordata; class Mammalia; order Primates; family Hominidae; genus Homo; species Homo sapiens. The sequence goes on along the minus strand of NC_000016.10, from coordinate 75,050,726 downwards.
GCTAATTTTTCTGTATTTTTTTAGTAGAGACGGTGTTTCACCGTGTTAGCCAGGATGGTCTCGATCTCCTGACCTCGTGATCCGCCCGCCTTGGCCTCCCAAAGTGCTGGGATTACAGGCGTGAGCCACCGTGCCCGGCGGCTACAAGTATTTTTATTTTTTTTTTAATATCAGGAACACACGATCGATTGATTGATTGTTGAGACAAGGCCTGGCTCTGTTGCCCAGGCTGGAGTGCAGTGGCACAATCTCAGCTTACTGCAACCTCTGCCTCCCAGGCTCAAACCATCCTCTGATCTCAGTCTCCCAAGTAGCTGGGACTACAGGTGTGCACCACCACGCCCAGCTAATTTTTGTATTTTGGGTAGAGACAGGGTTTTGCCATGTTGCCCAGTATGGTCTCGAATTCCTGGGGTCAAGCAATCCTCCCGCCTCGACCTCACCAAGTGCCGGGATTACAGGAGTGAGCCACTGCATCTGGGCACAAGTATTTTAAAAAGGTCCTCGGATGGATTAAACAAACCGTGGTCCATCCATACCATGGACTACTACTTAGCAATAAAAAGGAATAGACTATTGAAATACACAAGAGTTTGGAGAATTATGCTAAGTGAAGAAAGCCAATCCCAAGGATTACATGCCCTATGATTCCATTTATATAGCATTACTGAAATGATGAAATTCTAGAGCTGGAGAAGAGACTAGTGGCTGACTGGTATTAGGGATGGGGAGGAGGGAAGAGAGATGGGTATGACTATAATGGGCAGCATTAGGGATCTGTGAGGTAGTGGAACAGTTATCTTGATTGTGATGTTGGATACATAAACCCATATGTATGATGAAACTGCACTAAACCACACACACACACACACACACACACAAATGGGTGCATGTGAAAGTGATGAGATCTGAATATGGTCTATGGATGGTACTAACAGCACCCATGCCAATTGCCTCATTTTGCTATTGCACTGTAATTATGTAGGATGTACCACTGAAGAAAACCGGGCGAAGGTACAAAGGACCACTCTGTGGGCTAGTCTTACTGTACAGAAGTAAGTAGAAGCAGCGAAATTTGTTTTTTGCATTTTTTGTAGAGACGGAGTTTCGCCATATTGCCCAGGTTGGTCTCTAACTCCGGAGCTCAAGTGATCTGCCCATCTCAGCCTCCCAAAGTGTTAGGATTACAGGTGTGAGCCACTGCACCCAGCCTCTACAAGCAATTTTTAAAAACTATCCAGGTGTGGTGGTGCACACCTGTGGTCCCAGCTGCTCGGGAGGCTGAGGCAGGAGAATTGCCTGAGCTTGGAAGGCTGAGGCTGCAGTAAGCTATGATCGTGCTACTGCACCCAGCCTGGGCAACAGAGCGAGACCTGGTCTAAAAAATTTTTAAAAGATTAAAGACATAAAAAAAAGGATTCCAGGCCGGGTGTGGTGCTCACACCTGTAATCCCAGCACTTTGGGGGGCCAAAGCGGGCAGATCACCTAAGGTCAGGAGTTTGAGACCAGCCAGGCCAAGATGGTGAAACCCTGTCTCTACTAAAAATACAAAAAGAAGCTGGGTGTGGTGGTGCACACCTGTAGTCCCAGCTATTCAGGAGGCTGAGGCAGGAGAATTGCTTGAACTCTGGAGGCGGAGTTTGCAGTGAGCTGAGATTGCACCATTGCATTCCAGCCTGGGTGACAAAGTGAGAGACTCCATCTCAAAAAAAAAAAAAGGGATTCCAAATTCCAGCAAATAAAAAACTAATAAAGAATGGAAGGAAGGACAAAGTAGACAAAAAAAATAACTAAACAATTTCTTGAAATGAAAAGGATAGTCATTAAAATTTTTTTAATTCAATGAATGTAAGGATTATCCACAGGTTTTAAAAACCACCGGTCAAAGGTTACTGGGAAACGAGATCTGCGCACCATTTCAGAGTTGGCAGCTACAGATCACCTTTGCCTAGTAGAGATCACCCGAACCAAGCCACGGACAGACTGACATCATGAGCTTCCTGATAGGATGCAGTGGGAAGGACACATCATCATCTGTGCAGTCCTTCTGCCAAAAATGCTTAACTGGTAAAGGCAGGCCCTAATGGTTCTATTCTCGAGAGCCGACAAGTTACAAAAGGGAATTTCTTCAACTCAGTGAAAGGTATCTAGAAACCCACATCAACTGCCACTTGTAAAGGCGAAATTTTAAGAGCATTCTCTTTTAAATCTCTCTATGGTCAGGAACAAAACAAGGATGCCCACTTTCACTGCTTTAATTCAGTGGTGAATTAGAGAGCCAAGCCAGCATTATTCAATGTTAGGGGCTGAATAGTGTCCCTCCCCAAATTTATATGCTGAAGTCCTAACCTCCAGTACTTCAGAATGTGACTATATTTGAAAATAAGGCCTGTAAAGAAGTAATTAAGTAAAAATGAGGTCATCGGGGTGGGCCCTAATTCAACATAACTGGTGTTCATATGAGAATAGGAGATTAGGGGCTGGGGCTGACTCATGTCTGTAATCCCAGCACTTTGGGAAGCCAAGGCAGGTGAATCACTTGAGTCCAGGAGTTTGAGATGAGCCTGGGCAACAGGGCAAAACCCCATCTCTACAGAAAATACAAAAATCAGCCAGACGTGGCGGCGTGCCTGTAGTTCCAGCTACTTGGGAAGCTGAGGCAGGAGGATCCCCTGAGCCTGGGGAGGTTGAGGCTATAGTGAGCCATGATCACACCACTGCATGCTAACCTAGGCAACAAAGCCAGACCTTGTCTCAAAAAAAAAAAAGAATGATGAGGACACAGACACATACAAAGGGAAGACCATGTCAGGACACGGAGAAGCGGAGAAGACCACCATCTGCAAGCCAAGGAAAGAGGCCTCAGAAGAAACAACCCTGCTAATACCTTGATCTCGGCCGCCATGCCTCTAGAACTGTGAGAAAATACATTTCTGTTGTTTAAGCTACCCAGTTGGTAGTACAGCAGCCCTAGCAAAGTAACATGGTAGGCAAAAGATTTAAGGGCTTAAAAGGAGGAAACAGCTGTGATATGATTATCTATATTAGGAAAGGCAAGAAAATCTACAAATGGTAATAACTAACACAAGTTCAGCAAAGTTGCTAGACGCAAGATCTACACACACAAAAGTCAACAGCACTCCTCCACATGCCAATAACAATTAGAAAACAAACAGACACAAAAGTGTTCATTGTGACTCTATTTCTAACCACGGAAACGTGGAATCAAGTTAACTGCCCCTTGCTATGAATACAAATAAATAAATTGAGCCAGGCACAAGCTCATGCTTGTAATCCCGACTCTCTGGGAGGCCTGCTTGTAGCCAGGAGTTCAAGACCAGCCTGGGCAACATAGCCAGAATCCATCGCTACAAAAAATTTAAGAATTAGCTGGGCATGGTGGCATGCACCTGTAGTCCTAACTACTTGGGAGGCTGAAGCAGGAAGACTGCTTGAGCCCAGGAGTTCAAGATTACAGTGAACTGTGATCATGCCGCTGCACACCAGCCTGAGTAACAGGGTGGGACCCCATCTCTTAAAATAAATAAATAAATCTGTTGAGGTATATTTATCCACATATTAAGGGAACACTATAAAGCAGTTCAAATGAATGGGGTGGATCTGTAATGAATACATCTCAAAAACATAATGCTTAATTTTTTTTAATGGCAAGAGACAGATTATATCCACTTTTAACATACACACAAAATTGTGGGGATTCTTATAAGTGGTACAAGTACAGAGAAATCCACAGAAATAAAAAATAATATAAACATTTCATTTTGGTGCTAACACGTAGATGATCACTATATTATTTTTCTGTACTGTCCCGTATACCTGAAATACTTCATTCCGGGCGTGGTGGCTCACACCTGTAATCCCAGCACTTTGGGAGGCCGAGGTGGGCTGATCATGAGGTCAGGAGATCAAGACCATCCTGGCTAACACGGTGAAACCCCGTCTCTATTAAAAATACAAAAAAATTAGCCGGGCATGGTGGCAGATGCCTGTAGTCCCAGCTACTTGGGAGGCTGAGGCAGGAGAATGGTGTGAATCCAGGAGGCGGAGCTTGCAGTGAGCAGAGATCGCGCCACTGTGCTCCAGCCTGGGCGACAGAGCGAGACTCAGTCTCAAAAAAATAAAAAAATAAATAAAAAATAATAATAGAAGAAAACAGCTGGGTGTGGTGGCTCACGCCTGTAATCTCAGCATTTTGGGAGGCCAAGGCAGCAGATCACCTGAGGTCAGGAGTTCGGGATCAACCTGGGCAACATGGTGAAACCCCGTCTCCACTAAAAATACAAAACTTAGCTGGGCGTGGTGGCACATGCCTGTAATCCCAGCTACTTGGGAGGCTGAGGTACGAGAATCACTTGAACCCAGGAGGCAGAGGTTACAGTGAGCTGAGATCGTGCCACTGCACTTCAGCCTGGGTGACAGAGCAAAACTCTGTCTCAAACAAAACAAAACACAAAATGAAACACCCAACTCATTGAGGCCTATATAAATGCAAACATTTGGCTGGGCGCGGTGGCTCACACATGTAATAATACCAGCACTTTGGGAGGCCGAGGCAGGCAGATCACCTGAGGTCAGGAGTTCGAGACCAGCCTGGTTAACATGGTGAAACCCCGTTTCTACTAAAAATAAAAAAAATTAGCCAGGCATGGTGGTGCGTGCCTGTAATCCCAGCTACTTGGGAGGCTGAGGCAGGAGAATTGCTTGAACCCAGGAGGTGGAGATTGCAATGAGCTGAGATCGTGCCATTGTACTCTAGCTTGGGCAACGAGAGTGAAACTCCATCTCAAAAATAAAAATAAAAAAAAAAGCAAACATTAAATTCTAAATGACAGCGGGACACAGTGGCCTGTAGTGCCAGCTATTTGGGAGGCTGAGGTGGGAGGATCACTTGAGCCCAGGAATTCGAGACTGCAGTGAGCCATGATCATGCCACTGCACTCCAGCCTGGGTGAATTAGCCCTGTCTCTGGAAAAAAAAAAAAAAAAAAAGACGAAGAAGAAGATTCAGCTGAGCAAGTTAGGTTTACTGGCACCAGATGCAGGTTCACACTCAAAGTCAAGACCATGCTATGGCCATGGCAGGAGGCCAGCCTGGGCAACACAGCAAGACCCTGTCTCTTAAAAAACAAACAAACAAACAAACAAACAAGTCTATTACTATGGATGGCTCAGATAAAGCCAGCGATTGACACTGTCATAGCATCTTTATTGCTAAGTTAAAAAAAAATATTGCACCCAGCACAATTTGCACTGGTCCCACCTCTACTTATTAGTAGTAATCTTCACAGCTCATCCATCCCCTCTCTATGCCTAAGGTAATGACTCAAGCTTCTCCTTCCCAGCCTTTTCCTAATAGAAAAAAAATGGTCAAGAGCACCTAACAAAAAACCATAATGCAAATGCAAAAGGGCAGGCAGAGTTCATGTATTTAATTTTAGGTCTGTTACTAGGTTTTTCTTGAGCCCTGGCCAGGGTTATTCTGGTCCTGGCATGGGGAACATAGTTTGCATGGGTGTGGGTTAAATTAAAAACAAACAAACAAATAAAACTCTCACATCAAGTGCTCAAAGAACATGTCCCTAGGCTGGATCCTTGAGGCAGCCGGACAAGCACCACCCACGATCCAACCAGGACACCTGCCAGAAGATCCTAAGACGAAGTTTGTTTCCCACATTACAGAAAAAGGACAGGGGCAGCAGCTAACACAATAATTATTTCAAACACTCTACCACCTCCTTCTTCTGGTGGAAGTATTATGCAACATTAGAGAAAGGAATTCCACTTTGAATAGGCCCATGGGTGACAGAGCACCATACTAAGCTCTCCTTAGGGAATTATATTAAATAACAGATAAGCTGCTTAACATATTATGTTACTTCACTTTTAAGAATTCCATTCATGGTTCATTTGTTATAAACGCAGTCCCTTTTCCAAGGGAAAGGGGTATGTCCATCAAATAACTTAATTAAAAATATGGCCATACTGCCTTGTGAAATTAGTGGCAGAGAAGTCAACAGGATGAGGAAGCCTGAAAGTCAAGAGCTTGGGCTGGGTATGGTGGCTCACATCTGTAATCCCAGCACTTTATGAGGCAGGAGGATCGCTTGAGGCCAGGAGTTCAAGACCAGCCTGGGCAATATAGCAAGACCCCCATCTCTATTTAAAAAAAAAAAAATGGCTGGGTGCAGTGGCTCATCATGCCTATAATCCCAGCACTTTTGGAGGCCGAGGCAGGCAGATCACTTGAGATCAGGAGTTTGAGACCAGCCTGGCCAACATGGCAAAAGCCAGTCTCTACTAAAAATACAAAAATTAGCTGGGCATGGTGGCGCATGCCTGTATGCCTATAGTCCTAGCTATTTGGGAGGCTGAAGTGGGAGGATCACTTGAACCCAGGAGGCAGAGGTTGCAGTAAGCTGTGCAATTCTAGCCTGGGCAACAGAGAGAGACTCCGTCTCAAAAAATAAAATAAATTTTAAAGAAAGTCAGAGCTCTATCTGTCCTACACCTAGGGAAGGTGACATCTAAACCACTCTAAGAAATTCCAAAGTTTAAATTCTGAAAGTCAAGATCACATTTTAAAAGTACAAAGCAGCTGGGCATGGTGGCTCACACCTGTATTCCCAGCACTTTGGGAGGCTGAGGCGGGTGGATCACCTGAGGTCAGCAGTTCAAGACCAGCCTGGCCAACATGGTGAAACCACGTCTCTACTACAAACACAAAATTAGCCAGTACTACAAATACAAAATTAGCCGGGTATGGTGGTGCATGCCTGTAATCCCAGCTACCTAGGAGGCCAAGGCAGGAGAATGGCTTGAACCAGGGAAGTGGAGGTTGCAGTGAGCAGAGATCGCATCATTACCCTCCAGCCTGGGCAACAAGAACAAAACTCTGTCTCAAAAAAAAAAAAAAAAGTACAAAGCAAGAATGGCTGGCTCCTGATATGCAACAGGTTTCGTGGAAAACCAGTACTCCACCCAACCCAGGATCCCCCATGTCTCTTACATGCTATATATACCTGTGTATATATGCCATATACTGTCTCTTTTATCAGAGTTTATCAGATTGTGAGCTCTATGAGGGCAAGAACCATGTCTTATCCATTTCTGTGTATCTATCAGGACTGAAAATGATTCCTTGCATATATTATAGTTAAATGTTCTGTAAGTATTAGCTGGGTTTGAGTGAATCCAGCACAAAAAGGCCTGGTGAGGTAGAAGGAAGATAAGAACTGTACAGTTTTGGAAGGCAGCCTGTTCAAAACAAACACATGTCTAAAATGTAAAAGAAGAACAGCCAAATTTTACAAGAAAGAGAAAAAATGTTCCTTAAAGTAAAACTGAGGAAGGGAAGCACCAGTTTCCTCTCACAAGCTTCTGAAAAGATAAAACCATGTCTGGTTTCAGTGATAATGTGTTACAGGCTTAGGCAAGAACAGGTGAAAAAAATCTGATAAATGCAATCAACCATGAAGCTGGCCACAGCTCAGGGCTGAGGGAACCAGACTTGGCCAGGCTGCTTAGAAACTCATTGGTATAAATACGGCTTTAAAACAAAGGAGGCTCAAAAAGAGGAGAGATGATAAATGCATCAGTCTCAACTTGTTCTTTATTGTAGACAGTCTCCCACTTCTATTCAAGTATTTTTGGAGTGCCAACTACCAGTGAGACAAGGAGGTGGGATGACACCAAGTATAACACCAAGGGAAGCACTCAAGGGTCATCTTTACCGTCCCGGAGCTGGCCTTGGCCTGCGTTCCCACTAGCTGTTAAACCCAACATGCCAAACCTGGAAGAACGCTAATACATCAAGCATTGGTGTACAGCAGGCCTTCGCTTATTATAACCTCTAAAGAGCAGTGAGCCCATTTCAGGCCCTCTGTGAGAGGTCACAAGGACCTCTGAATGAAAAAATATCAGGATTCAAAAACCATTCTGCAGAAATCAACAGGCTGATCCTAAAACGTACATGGAAATGCAAAGGACCTAGGATAGTCAAAACCCAACATTATTTTGAAAAAGAGGAACAAAAATGGAGACTGTACACTACCCAATTTCAAAACTTATCATAAAGTTACAAGTAACCACAATAGCAACAGACACATAAATCAATGGAACAGAATTGAAAGCCGAGAAATAAACCACTACATTTATGACCAGTTGATTCTGCCAAGGGAATTCAGGAAGAAAGGATGGTCTTTTCAACAAATGATGTTGCTACAACTAGAAATATGTGTGTTTACAAAAAAAAAAAAAAAAAAAGAAAGAAACAGACACTCCCTCCCTCATACCATATCCAAAAATTAACTCAAAATGGAACACAGACATATGTAAGAGCTAAAACTATAAAACTTCTAGATGAAAATAGGAGAAATTTTTGTAACCTTGGTCTAGACACTTTTTTTTACATATACCAAAAGCATCATTCATAAAAGCAAAAAATTGATAAATTAGACAACCAAAATTAAAAATGTTTGCTCTTCCAAAGATACCATATAAGCAAATAAAAGCACAGGCCACACATTGGGAGAAAATAGTTGCAAATCATATCTGACAAAAGACATATTCATAATACATAAACTCTTACAACTCACTGACAAACAACTCAATTTTTAAAAATGAGGATATACAGAAAATCATTGGACCTTCCTCTTAATTTTGCTGTGAACCTAAAACTGCTCTATTAAAATAATTAAGTCTTTGTTTTTTGAGACGGAGTTTTGCTCTTGTTGCCCAGGCTGGACTGCAGTGGCATGATCTCAGCTCACTGCGACCTCCGTCTCCCAGGTTCAAGTGATTCTCCTGCCTCAGGCTCCCGAGTAGCTGGGATTATAGGCGTCTGCCACCATGCCCAGCTAATTTTATATATATATATTTTTTTTTTTAGTAGAGATGGGGTTTCACCATGTTGGCCAGGCTGGTCTCGAACTCCTGAGAGAATTAAGTCTTAAAAACAGAAAACAACAAGCAAGCAAAGATTTGAATTGACATTTCACCAAAAAAGATAAGTGAATTGTTAAACACATGAAAAGGGATCATCACTAGCTAACGAAATACAAATTAAAATCACAGTGAGGACTGGGCACGGTGGCTCACGCCTGTAATCCCAGACCTTTGAGAGGCTGAGGCGGGCGTATCACTTGGGTCAAGAGTTGGAGACCAGCCTGGCCAACATGGTGAAACCCCATCTGTAACAAAAAATACAAAAATTAGCCGGATATGGCGGCATGCACACGTAGTCCCAGCTACTCTGGAGGCTGAAGTGGGAGAATCACTTGAACCCAGGAGGCAGAGGCTGCAGTGAGCTGAGATCATGCCGTTGCACTCTAGCCTGGGCGACAGGGTGAGACCCTGTCTCAAAAATAAATAAATAAATAAAATAAATTAAAATCACAATGTGGTACCACTACATACCTACTAGAATGACTATAATCCGTAAGTCAACAATACACGGTGTTGGCAAGGATGTGGCAAAACTGGAACTCTCAACCATTGCCCATGAAAATGTAAAATGTACAGCCACTTTGGAAAAGGCTGCCAGTTTCTCAAACGTTTAAACACAAACTTCTCATATGGAATCTTATGTCCACATAAAATCACGAACATGAATGTTCACAGCAGCATCATTCATAATTGTCTTAAGCTAGAAACAATCCAAAAGTCTATCAGCTGGTGAATGGATAGACTGACTGTGGTAAATTCATATAATGGAATACTATTTAGCAATAAAAACTACCGATGTCAGCACAAACTACTGATACATACTCAACACATATGAACTTAAAAACATGGTAAGTGGGCTGGGCATGGTGGCTTATGCCTGTAATCCCTGCACTTTGGAAGGCCAAGGTGGGTGGATCACCTGAGGTCAGGAGTTCGAGACCAGCCTGGCCAACGTGATGAAACCCCATCTCTACTAAAAATACAAAAAATTAGCTGGGCATGGTGGCGCGCACCCATAATCCCAGCTACTCAGGAGGCTAAGCCAGGAGAATCACTTGGACCCAGGAGGCAGAGGTTGCAGTGAGCCGAGATTGCGCCACTGCACTCCAGCCTGGGCAACAAGAGCAAAACTCTGTCTCAAAAAAAAAAAAAAAAAAAAAAAAACCCACAAAAAACAAAAACAAAAACATGGTGAGTGAAGGACACCAAACAGAAAATAATACATACTGTATGATTTCATTTATATGAAATTCCCAGAAAAGGCAAATCTAGAGAGATAGCAGTTGCCCGGTGGGGAGCAGAGATTGACTAAAAACAGGCATAGGAACTTTCTGAAGTGGCCCTTTCAGATGTGGTGGTTCACATCCGTAATCCCAGCACTTTGGGAGGACAAAGTGAGAGGATTGCTTGAGCCCAAGAGTTTGAGGCTGCAGTGAGCTACAGTCTCACTACTGTACTCCAGCCTAGGTGGCAGAGTGACGCCCTTGTTTTAAAACAATAAAAATAAAAAAAGGACTTTTTGAGAGATGGAAGTGTTATAAAATTGGATTTTAAGCCATGCGTGGTGGTGCGCGCCTGCAGTGCCAGCTACGTGGAAGGCTGAGGAAGGAGGATCCCTTGAGCCTAGAAGGTCAAGGCTGCGGTGAGCTATGACCATGCCACTGTACTGTAGCCTGAGTGACAGAGTAAGACTCAAAAAAAAAAAAAAAAAAAAAAAAAAGAAAGAAAAGAAAGAAACAAAAGATTTTAGTGATGGTTTCATAACTATATATTTACTAAATCTCATTGTACATTTATAATGTATGAATATTATGGTATGTCAACTATACCTCAGTTTCAAAACAGTAACAACCAATATCCCACAACATCTGGAGGATCCCTAACTGCAGGTTCCTATATACAGTGAAAATCTTTTGGGATACTTTCTGGTAGAACTGTAGTTTTCTGGCAAAGAACTATGAAAGGGATTTCTCTATTAACAGTGCTTCTTCAACAACAGCACACGTAAGAATCACCTGGAACACCTGTTGACAGACCAACCCCTCTCTTCCCACTGGATTCAGTAGGTCTGGGGTGGGGCCCATAAATCTGCATTCCTAAAAGCTCCAGGACCAGTCATTAAAAACAGAGATTTCAAAGTCTCACCAGAGATGTATTATATCCAAATCTCTAACAAAGGGGAACCTGGGAATCTGTACCTCTTACAAGTATCAGGGAGAATCTTATGATTGATCTCATGGTTTAGTACTCCATGAGCTACAACACTCTCGTATACCATTAACTCCAAGGATTTTTATAAGTAGTTTCAAGAGTAAAATCTGTGTGTTCCTGGGTTGAAAATGACCAAGTAAATTATCTGTATTTTAAGTGGTTCTAAAGTCTTTAGGGTTCTGCCTTTGGCCTCCCTAAATAAAGCAATTTGCAGGAAAGCAACTTATATTTATTCACAGTATTCTAAATATGCTTCCACATTAAAAAAAAAAGTTTTCCAAACAAATTAAAAATAATAAATAAAACAGAAAGTTTTTGCCATTAAAAACATTTAGGCCACTTTTCAAGTTTAGTCTAATTTTAAATCTGTTCATTTCAAAACCACATTTTTTCTATATTTTTAACAGGGGTATGTAATTGTTAGATCTATAGGAACTATTAATTCTGCACAATTCTGATAGGCACTGAGAACAGCAGCAACAGTGCCATTTTCAATGGTTCAATTCAAGGATTTATCACATACCTACTGGAATGTAATGCTGTGCTTAACACAGAGATTAAACACAGAAGAAGATATGGTTCTTACCAGGAATTCACCAGTGATTATAAAACAATAGTACTCAACATCACTGTATACTGGAGCAGATGGGGAAATTTTACAGAAGTAGGACTGTGTCCTAGAAAAAAAAAATAACAGCACTTAAATTATTTTCAATTTCTCTTATCAGTATGGCTCAAAGGAGTGGGAGGACTCATCATCTTGCACACTGGAATGCCATGTTGTATGAAACAGAAAGAGCCAGACTGCAGATCGTGCTTAGAAGAACACACACACAGGACTTCCTGGAGAGCATCTTACTGTTTCTTCAGAGATTCTTATTTAACTGGCTTACAGTGGGGCTCAAGCTCCCCAAGGAAAGTGTTCTGTGGTAAATTATGTTTCTAAAGATAGTTGCAACAATAGTGTCCATCTTACCAGCTCTTCAGCAATGTCCCCTCTCCTGCCCTTCCCCTTGTCACAATGCCAAACCAAATTCTTGTTTTGACCAACGGAAGGTGGAGAAAGCCACATCATGTAACTTCCAAGGCTAGTAGGCCCTAGGAGAATTACAGCTTCTGCCTTTGCTGCCTGGTATGCTCACTTTTGGAATTTAGCTTCCAAATAACAAAAGCCAAGCTAGTCACAACTAGGGAGACAGCCACAGCGAGAGAGAGAAGGCTTTGCCTCCTCATCATGCCCACCAACTTGCCAGATGTGTGAATGAAGCCATCTTAGCCATTCCAGTCACTGACTACAATGTCATGAGACACCCCAGCTGTTAGTCACATAGAGAAGAACCATCCAGCTGAGCCCTGCCTGAATTCCCAAGTCATAGAATTATGATCAAATATAAAATAGATGTTGTTTTAAGCCATTAAGTTTTGAGGTAGGTTTTGTTGCCTAACAACAGACAACAAAAATAGGCTTCAAGTCTGCCCTAGAATATTCTTCTAGGTAAATGATATGCAATCATAGTCAACATATATGAACTTGGTCACTACATCTCAGGAATAAGAGAAGCTTGAAATCTAGCTACCAGAAGGAAGAAAATAAGTGTTCACAAGCAAGATCCAATCCACTTCCTCATCATAGACTTTTCCACATTTGTCAGCAAAAGGTTTTGTTGCTTCCCAAATTTTGTATTAGGAAAACAGGTTATATGAGTGCTTTAACTCCTTTCTAAAGGCCATGCTAACTAAAATCAGTGGTTAGTGAGATGTTTTCAGCTCAGTACTCTCCTGCCTCTAAGCACATTCTATTCATAGATTTGGGGTCCAGAAACCATTTTTTACAATGTTAAAGGAGATGGAAGAAAAGGTGAATTGGAGAGAAGGTCTGGGGTGGGGGAGATCTACCCACAAACAAGAAGAGTGGGCCAGGAATGCTGGCTCATGCCTGTAATCGCAGCACTTTGGGAGGCCTAGGTGGCAGATCACCTGAGGTCAGGAGTTCCAGACCAGCGTGGTCAACATGGTGAAACCCCGTCTATACTAAAAATACAAAAAATTAACCAGGCATGGTGGTGCACACTTGTAATCCCAGCTACTTGGGAGGCTGAGGCATGATAATCGCTTGAACCCAGGAGGCAGAGACTAGATTGCGCCACTGTCCTCCATCCTGGGTGACAGAGGGAGACTGTGTCTCCAAAAACAAAACAAAACAAAACAAAAAAACAAAAGAGTGAAGACCAAGTGACATTAAAACTGAGTACTTCCCGGCTGCCTTGTTTAATAAATGAGGCAAAAGACTGGCATTGCACACCTATCTACTGATGTAGTTCCAATCTTAAGAGTTTGCTGAAACAGGAGGAACAAAAGATCCTGGATGAATACAGATCTCAACAGTATCATCCATTCTGCTCATCATGAAAGCTTCAAAAGATGCTGCTGGAATCGACAGATTGAAATTCTAGCTCTGTCAATTCCCATCTGTAAGATGGAAATAGTTTATTTCCACCTCTTGGGATTGTTGTGAGGAAAAAAATAAGAGCATGTGTAAAGTACTAACCAAGTGCCTGGCACAGAACAGGCACACAAGAACTGTCAAGTTCATGCTCACCTTCTCTCTTCTCTCCCAAATCAACACAACTGGACCTATAAAAGTGCTGCATAGTCCAAGCATCTTCTCGAATATACTCTAAGCAAACATAATAAAGAAATGAAATCACATATGGCTCAATTCAGAGTGGCCGAGGGAATTAAACATACGTGTGTATAATACATACATACAAACATATACCATCCAGGTGTAATCTGGACAAATCTTTACCCAGTTATCACAAAGGTATTAGTATCCCTTTTAAACATTTAAAGTTTGAACAGCTGAGAAAGAAAATGAATGAAGTTGTTTCTACATTTAGACAGGTTGTCCACCCGGCCAAAAAAATAAGAACTTTTCTTAATCCAAATGAAGGAAAGAAGGAGAGGGAAAAAAAAAAAAAAAGAAACAGATGAAAGTATTGGATAGGAAACAAATAAGCAAGATAATTAATTTAAATTCAATTATATTGATGACTGCATTAAATATAAACATTCCAGTTTAGGGGCAAAGACTGTCAGTCTGGATTAAAAAGCAACATCAAGCCCGGTGTAGTGGCTCACGGCTGTAATCTCAGCACTTTGGGAGGCTGAGACAGGAAATCACTTGAGGTTCAGGAGTTCAAGACCAGCCTGGCTAACATGGTAAAACCCCATCTCTACTAAAAAATACAAAAATTAGCCTGGCATGCTAGGCAACATAGGGAGAGCTCATCTCTACGAAAAATAAACAAAAATTAGCTAGGTGTGATGGCACATGCCTGTGATCCCAGCTACCCAGGAGGCTGAGGTAGGAGGATCACATGAGCCCAGGAGGTCAAGGCTGCTGTGAGCTGAGATTGTTATAGGAGGTAGCTAGTAAAACATGAGCAGAGGAGGAGAGGTCCCCTCACACCCCCAACCAGGAATGTCAGGTGACCATCAGGTGATGGTCAGGCAGTTGTTAAGCAGTCCCCCTAAAATAATAATTGGTCGCAACTGGTGCCAGAGAACGGTAGTCTCCCAGTAGATAGAAAAAGCTGAAACTGGTGATCCCAATAAGCTCTTAGGAGTTGGGTGAGTGGGCTCAGGCATGAGCACTAAGAGGCAAAATGGCAGAGTTTAACTAGTTTATGACCTTTCTCTAGGAACACTTAGCTGGTAAAGGAATGCCTCAAGTGGGCATGTGCACAATTTCAGGAAGCACACTGTGCATGGGGCCCCTCCCAAGTGTTGGCGGCCACTGCGCATGCGGACAGCCAACCCCAAGAGAAGAATCGAGGGAGAAGTAACACAAGACCCCGAAGCATGCCAACATATAAAACCCCAAGTCAAAGGGTCAAACCGTGCATTTGATCTCTCAAGTTGCCCACTTGGCCCTCTTCCAAGTGTACTTTACTTCCCTTCTTTCCTGCTTTAAAGCTTTTTAATAAACTTTCACTCCTGCTCTAAAATTTGCTTCAGTCTCTCCTTCTGCCTATGCTCCTCAGTTGAATTCTTTCTTCTGAGGAGCCAAGAATTGAGGTTGCTGCAGAGCCATTCGGATTTGCGGGTGGCAACAAGATCGCACCATTGCATGATCACTGCAGTTGGGTGACAGAGTAAGATGTCTCAAAAAAGAGAAAAATCAAATGTATACTTTCTATAAGAAAAACATTTTAAGGCCCAGTGCAGCGGCTCACGCCTGTAATTCTAGTACTTTGGGAGGCTGAGACAGGAGGATCACTTGAGCCCAGGAGTTGGAGACCAGCCCAGGCAACATGGCAAAACCCTGTCACTACAAAAATTACAAAATATAGTTGTGCACACACCTGTAGTCCCAGCTACTTGGGAGGCTGAGGCAGGAGAATAGCTCGAACCTGGGGAGGGGGGGTGGAGGGTGGGGATTGCAGCAAGCATATGAAGAAATTGGAACTCACGCACTGCACTGTTAGTAAGAATGTAAAATGGTAAAATGGTGCAGTTGCTATGAAAAAGTTATGGCAGTTCCTCAAAAATTTTAAAATAAAATTACCATATGATCCAGCAATTTCACTTCTGGGTATATGTATCCAGAAGAACTGAAAGCCAACTGGACGCAGTGGCTCACACCTGTAATCCAAGCACTCTGGGAGGCTGAGGCTGGTGGATCACTTGAGGCCAGGAGTTTGAGACCAGCCTGGGCAACGTGGCAAAACCCTGTCTCTACTAAAATTACAAAAATTAGCCAGGTATAGTGGTGCACACCTGTAATCCCAGCTACTTGGGAGGCTGAGGCATAAGAATCACTTGAACCCAGGGGGCAGAGGCTGCAGTGAGCCAAGATCATGCACTGTACTCCAGACTGGGTAACGGAGCCAGGCACTGCCTCAAAAAAATTAATCAAGTTAAAATCGAAAGAACGGAAAGCAGGGTCTTAAAGGATGTTTGTATATTCGTGTTCACAGCATTGTTCACAATATCCAAAGGCAGAAGGAACTCAAGTGTCCATAAATGCAATGCATGAATGGGGACAAACAAAATGTGTTATGTACATAAAAAGGAAGTAAATTCTGACATTTGCTCCAACATGGATAAATCTTGAGAATGTTACGCTAAGTGAAATAAGCCAGTCACAAAAAGACAAATACCATACAATTTTGCTTATATGAGTTATTAAGAGTGGTCAAGCTCATAGAAAATAAAATGGCGGTTGCTGAGGGGAGAGGGAAATGGAAAGCAGTTGTTTAATGGGTACAGAGTTATAGTTTGGCAAGATGAAAAAGTTCTAGGGATTGGTAGCATAACAATGTAAATATATTTAACACTACTGAACTGTACATTTTTAAATAACTGAGGGTAATTTTTTGTTTTTGTTTTTGAGACGGAGCCTCGCTCTGTCGCGAGGCTGGGGTGCAGTGGCACAATCTCCGCTCACTGCAACCTCCGCCTCCCGGGTTCAAGCAATTCTCCTGGCTCAGCCTCCCAAGTAGCTGGGACTACAGGTGTGCACCAACACACCTGGCTAATTTCTTTTTTTTTTTTTGTATTTTAGTAGAGTCGGGGTTTCACCATGTTGCCCAGACTGGTCTCAAACTCCTGAGCTCAGGCAATCTGCCCACCTTAGCCTCCCAAAGTGCTAGGATTACAGGCGTGAGCCACTGCACCTGGCCAAGGGTAATTTTTATGCTAAGTGTATTTTGTCACAATTAATTTTAACAATCTTTAAACAACATCAAAGAAGAATCATTCAGAGGTAAATATTTTAAAATGTGCACAAGACTTTTATTCTAAAACTATAGGCCAAGCACAATAGCTGACGCCTGTAATCCCAACACTTTGGGAGGCCGAGGGAAACAGATCACTTGAGGTCAGGAGTTCAAGATGAGCCTGGCCAACATGGGGAAACCCCGCTTCTACCAAAAATACAAAAATTAGCCAGGCATGGTGGTGTGCCTGTAATCTCAGCTACTTGGAGGCTGAGGTGGGAGAATCACTTGAACTTGGGAGGCAGAGGTTGCAGTGAGCCAAGATTGCGCCATTGCACTCCAGCCTGGGTGACAGAGCGAGACGCTGTCTCAAAAAAAAAAAAAAAAAAAACTATAAAACACTGATGAGAAAAATTAAATAGCACTTAAATGAAGCTAGAGAAATACCGTGTTCATGAATTGGAAGTTGCAATATTGTTAAGATGTTAACTTTCCTCAATTTTATCCTTAAATTCAATAAAATCCCAATCAAAATTCCTGCAAGCATTCCTTTTTTTTTTTTTTTTGTAGAAATAAACAAGGTGATTCTAAATTTTATATGGAAATTTGAAAGCCTGAGAATACCCTAAATAAGAATTTAAAAAAAGAATAAAGAAATCAAATAATAATATTTGATTTCAAGACTTATTATAACACCACAGTAATCAAAGGAACATGGTATTGGCTTAAGGACAGACGTATAAAGAAAAACAGAATAAAGTCCAGAAATAGACTCTACATGTATTGCCAATAGTACCCTTAAACCTTCCATGGTAATCCAGTGGAGTCTTGCTCTGTCACCCAGATGGAGTGCAGCAGCATGCTTACAGCTCACTACAGCCTTGAACACCTTGGCTCAAGTGATCCTCCTGCCTCAGCCTCCTCAGTAGCTGGGACTACAGGCATATACCACCATGCCCAACTAATTTTTAATTTTTGTAGAGACAGGGTCTTGCTGTGTTGCCCAGGCTGGTCTGGGTCTCAAGTGATCCTCCTGACTTGGCCTCCCAAAGTGCTGGTATTATAGGCATGAGCTACTGCATCTGGTCCTTTGTAAATTTTTTAATTGAATTGTTTGTCTTTTGGTTGTTGAGTTGTAAGACATTTTTATACATTTTAGATATACTAATTCCTTATCAGAACATGATTTGCAAAATTTTTCTCCCATTCTGTAACTTGTCTTATTATTTTCTAGATAGTATCCTCTGCAGCACAAGTCTTTAATTTTCTTTGTGTTGTTGTTTGTTTGTTTTTTGAGATGGAGTTTCGCTCTTGTTGCCCAGGCTGGAGTGCAATGACAATTGACAAAGTCAATTGACAAAGGACTTGCATAGACATTTCTCCAAGGACTATATATGAAGACCCAATAAAAACAAGAAAAGGCCGGGTGCAGTGGCTCATGCCTGTAATCCCAGCACTTTGGGAGGCTGAGGTGGGCAGATCACCTGAGGTCAGGAGTTCAAGACCAGCCTGGCCAACATGGTGAAACCCCATCTCTACAAAAATACAAAACTTAGCCAGGCAGGATGGCAGGTGCCTATAATCCCAGCTACTCAGGAGGCTAAGGCGAGACAATTGCTTGAACCCAGGAGACGGAGGGTGTAGTAAGCTGAGACCGTACCACTGCACTCCAGCCTGGGCGACAGAGCAAGACTCCGTATCAAAAAAAAAAAAAAAAAAAAAAACCTCACAAGAAAAGATGCCCAATATCCTTTGCAAATCAAAACTATAATGATACCACATCAGAACCACTATGACTGCTATTATCAAATAGACAGGTAATAATAAGTGTTGGAAAAGATGTGGAGAATCAGAACCCTTATATACTGTTGGTGGGAGTATAAAATTGTGCAATTCCTTTGGAAAACAGTCTGGCAATTCCTCAAAAAGATTCAATTAAAGTTACCCAGCATTTCTACCGGGTAGATCCGGCAGAATTGACTCGACACAGTAGAACTGACCGAGCAATTCTACTCGTAGGTATATATAGCCGGGTGTGGTGGCTCACGCCTGTAATTCCAACACTTTGAGAAGCCGAGATGGGCAGAATGCTTGAGTTCAGGAGTTCGAGAACAGCCTGGGCAACATGCCCTGTCTCTATGGAAAATACAAAAAATTAGCCAGGCATGGTGGCAAGCGCCTGTAGTCCCAGTTACTTGGGAAGCTGAGGTGGGAGGATCACTCGAGCTTTGGAGGTCAGGCTGCAGTGAGCTGAGATCACACCACTGCTCTCCAGCCTGGGGGACAAAGTGAGACCCTTTCTCAAAACAAACAAAACAAACAAACAAACAAACAAAAAACCTTAGAAAAAAAATTTTTTTTTAAGTAAAACAAGAAAATGTCTACACAAAAATTTGGACATGGCCGGGCACGGTGGCTCCCCTGTAATCCCAGCACTTTGGGAGGCTGAGGCAGGCAGATCACGAGGTCGGGAGATAGAGACCATCCTGACCAACATGGTGAAACCCTCTCTCTACTAAAAATACAAAAATTAGTTGGGTTTGGTGGTGCACGCCTGTAATCCTAGCTACCTGGGAGGCTGAGGCAGGAGAATGACTTGAACCCAGGAGGCGGAGATTGCGGAGAGCCAAGATCGTGCCAGTTCACTCCAGCCTGGGCAACAGAGCAAGACTCTGTCTAAAAAAAAAAAAACAGGTGGGGCGCAGTGGCTCACGCCTGTAATCCTAGCACTTTGGGAGGCTGAGGTGGGCGGATCATGAGGTCAGGCGTTCAAGACGAGCCTGGTTAATGTGGTGAAACCCCATCTCTACTAAAAATACAAACATTAGCTAGGCGTGGCGGTGCACACCTCTAGTCCCAGCTATTTAGGAGGCTGAGGAAGAATTGCTTGAACCCGGGAGGCGGAGGTTGCAGTGAACCGAAATCACGCCACCGCACTCCAGCCTGGGTGACAGAGCGAGGCTCCGTCTTAACAAAAAAAAAAAAAAAAAAAAAAGGAATAAAGTGCTGCATGCTACAATGTGAGTGAACCTTGAAAACATTATGGTAACTTAAAGAAACCAGATGCTAAAAGCTATGCGTTATATATTATCCCATTTATATAAAATGTCCAGAATAGGCAAGTTTACATAGGCAGAAAGTGGATTAGTGGTTGTCTTGGGTAGGGGAAAATGGAGGAAAACAGAGCTACTGCTAATGGTTATGGGGTTTCTTTTTGGACTAATTAAAAAAGGTTCTAAAATTTATTATTTTTCTCTTGTGTTGCTTGTGCTGTTGGTGTCATATTTAAGAAACTACTGCCCAATGCAAGGTCAGTAAGATTTCCAACTACATTTCCTTCTAAGAGTTTTATAGTTTTTTTCTCTTTTTCTTTAAATATTTCTCTCTTTTTTTTTTCCTCCAGCTACTGCAGATCAAAGTTTTAGTTCTTATATTTAGGTCTTTGATCCATTTGGAATTAATTTTTGTATGTGGTGTGAGGTAGGGGTCCAAACCACATTCTTTTCCATATGGATATTCAGTTGTCCCAGTAGCATCTATTGAAAACACTATTCTTTCTCTATTGAATGGTCTTGACACCCTTGTTGAAAATCAGTTGACCATAGATGCATGTGTTTATTTCTGTACTGTCATGAGTATGGTAAATGTGGTGATGGTTGTACAATTCTCAGAATATACTAAAAACCATTCAACTGTTTACTTTGAATGAGTGAATTGTATGGTATGTGAATTATTTCAATAACAGGTTTTTTTTTTTTTTTTTTTTGAGATAGCATCTTGCTCTGTCACCAAGGCTGGAATGCAGTGGTGCTCTCTCAGGTCACTGCAACCTCTGCCTCCTGGGTTCAAGCAATCTTCCCTCCTTGGCCTCTTGAGTAGCTGGGATTACAAGCATTCACCACAACACAACACCTGGCTAATTTTTTTTTCTTCACCTGGCTAATTTTTGTAGTTTTAGTAGAAATGGGTTTTCACAATGTTGGCCAGGCTGGTCTCGAACTCCTGACCTCAAGTGATCAGCCCACACCCAGCCTCAATAAATTTTTTGTTTGTTTGTTCTGAGATGGAGTCTCGCTCTGTTACCCAGGCTAGAGTGCAGTGGCATGATCTTGGCTCACTGCAACCTCCGCCTCCTAGGTTCAAGCGATTCTCCAAGCTCAGCCTCAGCCTCAGCTGGGGCTACAGGCACATGCTACCATGCATGACTAATTTTTGTATTTTTTTTGTAGAGATGGGTTTTCACCATGTTGGCCAGGCTGGTCTTGAACTCCTGACCTCAAGTGATCTGCCCGCCTCAGCCTCCCAAAGTGCTGGGATTATAAGTGTGAGCCACTGAGTCCAGCCAATAATAGTTTTTTGTTTTGTTTTTTAAGAAAAGGTCAGCCGGGCGTGGTGGCTCATGCCTGTAATCCCAGCACTTTGGGAAGCCGAGGCAGGCGAATCACAAGGTCAGGAGATCGAGACTATCCTGGCTAAGATGGTAGAACCCCGTCTCTACTAAAAATACAAAAAAAATTAGCCGGGCATGGTGGTGGGCACCTGTAATCCCAGCTACCTGGGTGGCTGAGGCAGGAGAATGGCGTGAACCCGGAAGGTGGAGCTTGCAGTGAGCTGAGATGGCGCCACTGCACTCCAGCCTGGGCGACAGCACGAGACTCCGTCTCAAAAATAAAAATAAAAATAAAAATAAAATAAAATAATAAAAAAGTCAAGACTGCAGTCAAGCTGGAGTTGTAGCAAAAAAAAAAAAGGTCAAGATTGCAGTCAAGCTGGACATGTAGCATACACACTGTATTTACAACCACTAATATTAATGACTTCACCAAGTTTGTGATATATAAAAAGAGAGTTGGTTCAAGGACTAAGCCTTCGTGCCTTTCAACATTTGAGGTAGAGAGATAAAGAGGAATCTGCAAAGGAGATAAAACCAATGAGAGAGATAGGAAGAAAACTAAGTGAGCATCGTATTCTAGAAGCAGTGAAGACAGTGTTTCAAGGGGAAGGAAATGACCAGCTGGGTAAAATGCAGCCACTTTTCCCAAACTGAGAACTGACAATAGGCTACTGGATTTAGCAGTACAAAGGTCCTCAGTGACCTTGATAAGAGCTGTTTCAATTGAGTGATGAGGGCAAACACCTGAGTGGAGTGGATTCAAGGAGGATGGAAGAAGAAAAATCAGAAAACCAAGAAAAGAGAATTCTTGAGAACTTTTTGTCTTAAAAGAAGTAGCAGGGGCCGGGCACAGAGGCTCACGCCTATAATCCCAGCACTTTGGGAGCCCAAGGTGGGTGGATCACTTGAGGTCAGAAGTTCGAGACTAGCCTGGCCAACATGGTGAAACCCCATCTCTACTAAAAACACAAAAAATTAGCCAGGTGTGATGGCACATGGTTGTAATCCCAGCTACTTGGGAGGCTGAGGCAGGAGAATCACTTGAACCCAGGAGACAGAGGTTGCAGTGAGCCGACATCACGCCATTGCACTCTAGCCTGGGCGTCGAGTGAAACTCCGTCTCAAAAACAAAAAACAAAAAACAAAAAGTACCAGAATGGACTAGTATCTGTAGGGGAAGTAGAATCATGATAAGTTAATTTGTTATTCCTGTTTTCAAGATGGAAGAAATAGCAGCAGTTAGTATGCCAATAGGAATGTACCACTAGAGCGGTAATATTTAGCAGAGAGCAGAGGAAGGTTGGAGCAGCACTCTGGATGGACTCAGGAAGTGGGAATGAAATTTTGTTTGCAAATGGAGGTATTGGCCCTTGCAAGGATCATGTACAACTCATACCTAGTTACAGGAAAGGGGGAAAAGGCAGATATACAAGCACGTGGGTGGATACGGTGGCGAGTGCCATTGTTTTCTCAATGAAATAGGAAGGTCATCAACAAAGGCTAAGAAAGGTGTTTTTAAAAGAGAGGAGAAAGTATGGAAGAGTCCTCTAGGAGGCTGGAGAATGAAGGAACTGTGGAAATACAGCAGGATTCCCAGACAGCATTAGGGGCCTGTTTAAGGTTAGTAATCATGAATTAAGAGTGAGGACAGCGAATGTGCTCAGTGTTTCTTCTAACCCAGGGGCACACCCACAAAGTAGGCAGAGATTTGGATTTAACCAGAGTTGTGATTTAGCCAAGCAAGTGTGACAAGGCAAAAGAGGGGAAGAGGATTGAGAGTGTAGTACATGAGGCAGTCATTATAATGACTGACCATGGAATTTAAGTTGTTTAAGGAGAAAAGTACAGGCATGAGGGCGTGAGGGAAAGGGAGAAGAAAATAGGTTCAATGGGCTGTAGTTCCTGCTGGAGTCAAAGATGGTTGAAAGGACTGATATTATAAACAGCAGATAAATGGAGTCACAGGGGGCAACTCTTATGGCTGACAAGGTAAGAAAATCTACTCCACCATTTTACAAAACTACAAAGAATGTCATAGGCCCAGCTATAGGGCTAAAAAGGATTCCCACAATTCAATTTTTGATGGCCAAACTGATTGCAATTTAATAACAACATGAGATACCATTTATTAGAGCCACAGCACTTTTATTTTCTTTTTTTTTTAAGAGACAGGGTCTTGCTATGTTGCCCAGGCTGGAGTGCAGTGGTGTGATCACAGCTCATTGCAGCCTTGACCTCCTGGGCTCATGCAATCCTCCTGCCTCAGCCTCCCAAAGTGCTGGGATTACAGGAAGGAGCCACTATACATGGCTAGAGCCACACCACTTTCTAGCTATGTAACACTGGCTGAGTTCCCTAACCGCTGGGTCTTGGTTTCCTTATCTGTGAAATAGGAATGTTAACAGGAATCACCTCAAGGGGTGAGGATTCAATAATTGAATGTTAAGCATTTAGAACTGTGCCGGGCACTTAATAAGATGAAATAAATGTCTGTTATTAGTGATATTCTTTTTCTTTCTTTCTTTTTTTTTTTGAGACAGTCTCATTCTGTTGCCCAGGCTGGAGTGCCGCCTCTGGGTTCAAGTGATTCTTGTGCCTCAGCCTCCTGAGTAGCTGGGATTAAAGGCACGCACCACCACGCCAGGCTAATTTTTGCATTTTTAGTAGAGACGGGGTTTCACCACGTTGGCCAGGCTGGTCTCGAACTCCTGGCCTCAAGTAATCTGCCTGCCTCTGCCTCCCAAAGTGCTGGGATTACAGGGGTGAGCCACTGCGCCTGGCCAGAAATATTCTTATTACATACTACTGTTACGATCTACTTTGTTGTATATATTTTTTTAATAACCAAGAAAAACTGCTATGAAAGCAAAAGTCTCAGTAGGGAAGAGTTCAAACACTGAAGTATTAAGCCTGGCTAAGGCTCAAATCATTACAGAATTTTTCCAAGTACTTTTCCTAATCTGCTCCTGTTTCTCCACTTTCTAGAGGCATGAAGGAAATGACACGTCATCCAAAAGGGCTCTGAGCTCAGGGGAACGCTATAAACATTGACCTTGCTGTTGGGTAATGGGTTCAACTTCATTCTAAACTCTTGTTTCCAGGTTCTATGCCAGTACTTTTACTCTTGCCCACACAGTTGCTCAGTCACATGTAACAGCAACAGCTTAAAAAAAAAAATAAATAACCTTAGAATGTTTTTCTTTTTTAGGAATATTTTAAATGTTCGTTTAAACACAGATGAGAGTTCTTTTACAACTCAAATAAGATGCTTAGTTATTGGTCATTTGATTATTCTGCAGATCACTAGAAGAGGGAGGAAAATTCAGGCCCCTGCTGACCTGTCACCTGACTCAAACTATGGGGTTATTGGATCAATCCCACACAAGACCCCTCTGTGGGATCCTATCCCAGACAGATGTATAGGCCTCACCAGCATGCTGCCTATTTAACGGTTTCTGTTGGCAGCACCCCAAGGAAGCAAAAGCACCAGGCTGAGTGCAGACCCATGACTAGCTGCCTCTTGCAGGCCTGACTTAAAATCCCACCCACCCCGTCCCCCCACTGCCTGGTGTTTTCTTTTAGAGCTCTCAGATGTCGATCCAAGATAAAAATTTCTTATGCTCTAGTCTAGCCATTGGCAGAAGCAATCATCCCATCAGAAAGAAAAATGGAAAGAAACAGTGAACTCTGAAACAAGTTAGACACATTCAGATTCTTCAGAACAGAGGGCTGGGAAAGAGAAAGTGGGGCTCCTATGAATCCCCTCTTACGAAATGTCCTCTGCAGTGGGGGTCGAGCTCTTTGCTGGCTTATTATTTAATTGGTCCCTAAGAACAAACTAAGTTTATAGGAGGGGCTATACGATCTTTCCTGTGGTAGTCTTATAACAACTCATAGAGAAATTGTGGCCAAATGGTAGATATGGTCCCTAACAAAGAGCTAAACAGGTATAAGCATTTTGGGGCACAATTTTGGGGGGATAGTCAGGGAGAAGTGTGCTGTGAATAGATTTCACTTCCAGGTACAAGTTTCCAGAAATTACAACAGAAACAAAAACAAAATAAAATAGGCCAGGCGTGGTGGCTCAGTCCTGTAATCCCAGCACTTTGGGAGGCCGAGATGGGCGGATCACAAGGTCAGGAGATCGAGACTATCCTGGCTAACACTGTGAAACCCTATCTCTACTAAAAATACAAAAAAATTAGCCGGGTGTGGTGGCGGGCGCCTGTAGTCCCAGCTACTCAAGAGGCTGAGGCAGGAGAATGGCATGAACCCGGGAGGCAGAGCTTGCAGAGAGCCGAGATGGCGCCACTGCACTCCAGCCTGGGCAACAGAGTGCAACTCTGTCTCAAAAAATAAATTAATTAATTAATTAAATAAAATAATAAAATCCACACATGTACATGGAACAACATGAAACAATGAAGAGGACATTAAATAAGAAAGAGAAGTTGTGAAACAAGCATAATGTGCTTTCTACGGCTTTACACACACCCATTCATCCAGAGGCAAAAATTTGGAGACATATACACCAGAGGGATCATGGGGGAAACTTCCGCTTTCTACATTAATGTTTAAAATCTTCACAGTGAATATTCTGATTATTTTTGTGACCACGAAAGAAGCAGGAAGAACTTTTGTTTCTTAAAAGATTTGCTTAAAAGACAGAAAATACTGATTTGGAAACCACAAAGGTCTGTTGTCTTCTGCTTCTGCACAGCATGTGCGAGTTCAGCCTTTCCAACTCCCTCACCTGCTCCAGGGCTTTCCTTCTTTTGTAACTTCTTCCTCTTCCTTCTGCAAATGCTGCCTCTTTCTAAACCCCTTCCTGTCATCTTACAAGCCATCTTTTTTGTTTGAGATTAATTTCCTGCAGAAAGTCAATCCCAAGCCACTGCTGACAACTCTACAAAAATCACCAGAAAGAAGTAACCCAACTCTTTTCCAACACAAACTACCTTTATCTTTATTCCTATGATTACTGTACTTCTTCATGTGTATATTTACTGAACTTTTACTAGGCACCTAACTCCGTATCATAGGTAATAAACACTCACAATAGACTTTTTAAAAAAACGTTCTCAACTAACATATTTGGCTCATAGTAAGTACTCTGCAATCAGTAACAATATGCCTTCTCTTAACAGTAAACTCCGAGCCTCAATTCCCTAAGCCAAGGACAGTAAACAGGCTTAGTCTCACACATCAACTCCAGCAGTTAGTATGGACTGTGGGCACTTGGAGTACTGTGTTAAGAAGGATTCTGGGCTGGGTGCGGTGGCTCATGCCTGTAATCTCAGCACTTTGGGAGGCCAAGGCAGGTGGATCACCTGAGGTCAGGAGTTCGAGACCAGCCTGGCCAACATGGTGAAACCCCGTTTCTACTAAAAATAAAAAATTAGCCAGGTGTGGTGGCACGCACCTGTAGTCCTAGCTACTGGGGAGGCTGAGTCAGGAGAATCACTTGAACCCAGGAGGTGGAGATTGCAGTGGGCCGAGATCACACCACTGCACTCCAGCATGGGTGACAGAGTAAGACTCTGTCTCAAAAAAAAAAAAGAAAATAAAATAAAAAAAGAAAAGGATTCTGAGCCCCTGTAGGGCTCCATAATAAACAGTGAGGTAAATTATAACAGTGTCAGCCATGGCCAAAGAAAAAGGTTGGGGGTCAGTGGCTCTTCCCTCCTACATAGCTTGTTGGGGCCCAGGCTGGTGTGACCTTTTTTTTTGTTTTTTTTGTTTGTTTGTTTGTTTGATGGAGTTTCGCTCTTTCACCCAGGCTGGAGTGAAGTGGCGTGATCTCAGGTCACTGCAACCTCCACCTCCCGGGTTCAAGAGATTCTCCTGCCTCAGCCTCCCGAGTAGCTGGGATTACAGGTGCCTGCCACCACGCCCAACTAATTTTTGTATTTTTAGTAGAGACGGGGTTTGGCCATGTTGGCCAGGCTGGTCTCCAACTCCTGACGTCAGGTGATCCATCCACCTTGGCCTCCCAAAGTGCCAGGTTTACAGGCGTGAGCCACTGCGTCCGGCCTGGTGTGACTTTCTTAACCTTGGTGTATCTGGAGTCCAGTCACTGTTAAATGATGCTTTATTTAAAGAAGGTGTGGGTATGTGAATGTGGGGGGTAAGGTAGGGGAAGGTATCTTTTCTTGAGAATCTTTAACTGTTCTATAGCAACTCAAAGGAGAATGAGATGGCAATTTAAGGGGGTGGAGAGAAAAGATGAGTTAATTACAAGGAATTTCCAACTTGAGTCAAATTTCAAGTCATAAGAACTTAAGCTGTTTTTCTCCAGTCACCTCACAAACCCATCCTCTCTAGTCTCAGATTAAACAGAGCTGCATAAAATCAATGTAGAAATTTTTCTCCATTTTCCCCAAAGCGTATTCAACATTGGGGGTTCCTGCTTACCTGGTTTCTCCTCTTCCAATTACCAAATTACAGGAAAGAAAAGTCAGCTTGGGATCACCAATGATCCCATAAATCATCCTAAGAATGCAACACCGTCTCTGAATTCTTCCTAAACATAGTTGATGCAGAATGGTATCATGCTAAAGAGAACCTCCTAGACTCTCAGCACAAGGGCAAGTTCACTTGATCCATTTTCTGAAATTACACATTTACCGATTCTCTCTGTACTATAAGAGCACTACGGAAGAGTTTTGAGCAGCACTGTCCAACAGCACTTTCTGCAATGATGGAAATGTTCCAATGACAGCAGTCACTAACCATTTGTGGTTACCGAGCACTGAAAATGTGGCTAGAGTAACTCAGAAATGGAATTTAAATTTTGTTCATTAATTTTCACTAATTTAAATTTATTTATTTATTTTAATTAATTTGTGTTTTTTGTTTTGTTTTTTTTTTGAGACGGAGTCTCGCTTTGTCGCCCAGGCTGGAGTGCAGTGGCACAATCTCGGCTCACTGCAAGCTCCGCCTCCCGGGTTCACGCCATTCTCCTGCCTCAGCCTCCTGAGTAGCTGGGACTTCAGGTGCCCGCCACCATGCCTGGCTAATTTTTTTTTGTATTTTTAGTAGAGACGGGGTTTCACCATGTTAGCCAGGATGGTCTCGATCTCCTGACCTCGTGATCCACCCGCCACAGCCTCCCAAAGTGCTGGGATTACAGGCGTGAGCCACCTCGCTCAGCCAATTAATTATTTTTTAAAAAAATTTTTGAGACAGAGTCTCGCTCTGTCACCCAGGCTGGAGTGCAGTGGCATGATCTCATCTCACTGCAACCTCCGCCTCCTGGGTCCAAGTGATTCTCCTGCCTCAGCCTCCCAAGTAGCTGGGATTACAGGTGCCCACCACCATGCCAGCCCACTCCAGCGTGAGCAACAGAGCGAGACGGATGGATGGACGGACGGAAGGATTAGTGTACTGAAAACAGAGATAAGGAATTACCCATAGTAAAGCATATAAAGAACTGGAAAATACAAAAGAGTTTAAGAAACAGGAAGGCAGACAGAAGGCCCAATATAAAATTTCTAGGATTTTCAAAAGGAGGGATGGGAAAGAATAAAAGAAAGGTAAAATTTGAAGAGATAACTAGATGATAATTTCTTAGGTGCTGTGAAACACATGATATTTGATATTCAAGGACAAATAGCAAACAGATGTATAAAAATAAATTAAATCCGGAACATATGACAGTAAATTTGGAGAGCACCATGAGTAAAGACAAGATAAAGCAGCCAAGAGAAAAAAACATTAACTCTAAGAGTTGAGAAGACTTTTCAAATGCAGTAATATCAAAAGCTAGAAGATAATGAAACACAATAACATCATCTAATTGCTGAGAAACAGTAACTGCCAACCCAGACTTTTATAACTAGCTAAATTATCCAATGGTTATGACAAATAAAAACACTTTTAGGTAAGCAAAAAGAGTTTAGCACCAATAGACTCTCACTAAAAAACAGTGTTAAAGCCTACCTCTGGAAGAAGGAAATTTAACTCAAAAGGATGAAGTATGATAAAAGAAGGAAGGGAAGGCAAAAAAGTTGGCAAGCAGGTGAGTGAATTCAAATAAGCAGACTTCATCAAATAAGAATAGCAACAACTAATTCCAGGGTATAAAAGCAAAGGGGAAGGCCAGGCGCCTGGCTCACGCCTGTAATCCCAGCATCGTGGGAGGCCGAGGCAGATGGATCACTTGAGGTCAGGAGTTTGAGACCAGCCTGGCCAACGTGGTGAAAGAGTCTCTACTAAAAACACAGAAATTAGCCCGGCATGGTGGCACACACTTGTGATCCCAGCTACTTGCGAGGCTGAGGCAGGAGAATCACTTGAACCCGGGAGGTGGACGTTGCACTGAGCTGAGACCGCCCCATTGCACTCCAGCCTGGGCAACAAAAGCAAAACTCCACCTCAAAAACAAACAAACAAACAAAACAAGGTAGAATTGTAATACCGATCCACAGCAATGTGTAAGACAAACTGTGGATTTCTATTTGGGAAGAGAGTAGAGATATTGATTTAAGATTTTAATGAAGCATGCAAGCCAAAAATTTAAGAGTAGCCTGTAACAGAACTGAAAGTTTCCAAATGGTAGAATAATGAAACCCTTTCTAAGAAAAGACTGAAGGGGCCGGGCGCGGTGGCTCACGCCTGTAATCCCAGCACTTTGGGAGGCCGAGGGCAGCGGATCATGAGGTCAGGAGATCGAGACCTTCCTGGCTAACACGGTGAAACCTTGTCTCCACTAAAAATACAAAAAAATTAGCTGGGTGTGGTGGCGAGCGCCTGTAGTCCCAGCTACTTGGGAGGCTGAAGCAAGAGAATGGCGTGAACCTGGGAGGCGGGGCCTGCAGTGAGCCAAGATCGCGCCACTGAACTCCAGCCTGGGTGACACAGCGAGACTCCATCTCAAAAAAAAAGAAAAGAAAAGAAAAGAAAAGACTGAAAAGGAGAAAAATGCAAACAAAACATGGTCAATAGCACAAAGTAAGATATGAAATAATAATGTATTTAATGATATTAAATAAATTACATAAGGTATCAAATGAGATATTAAGATAATACACAATTGCTATCATAATACTTTTAAATGGGTTAAACATGCCAATCAAAAGACAGTCTCAAAATAGGCTGGAAAAAAATCCAACTATATGTCATTCACAGGAGATACACCTAAGACATTAGGACATAGAGAAAAAGAAAAGGGATAAGAAAAGATGTAGCAGGCAAATATTTACAAAAAGAAAGCTGACATTAATACCAGACAAAAAAAGACCATGAGAAAAAGTACTGTTAGGGATAAAGATGCTCTCTACAATTCTCTAGGAAACAATTCTAAAGAGAACTTCAAATTATATGCAGACACGTTTGACAAAATTATGAAGAGAAGTTCACAAATTCAGTCATTAAAAAAAAACTTTAACATAGTTCTCTCTGGAATTGTTAAATCAAGAACACCTGGCTGGGCGCGGTGGCTCACACCTGTAATCCCAGCACTTTGGGAGGCCAAGGTGGGAGGATCGCCTGAGCCCAGCCTGGGCAACATGGCGAACCCCCATCTCTATAAAAAACACAAAAATTAGCAGGGTGTGGTGGTGTGTGCCTGTGGTTCTAGCTACTCGGGAGGCTGAGGCAGGAGGATCGCTTGAGTCCAAGAGTTTGAGGCTGCAGTGAGCCGCGACTGCACCACTGCACTCCAGCCTGGGCAACAAAGCAAGACCCTGTCTCAACAAACAAACAAACAAAACAAAACAGAACAAAACAAAAATCAAAAGTTGGTAAAATATGGAAGATTTGGACAACATAACTGATAAGCTTGATGTAAGGACATACAGAATAAAACTTCACCCAACATTTTTATTTTTCTGCGTTCCCCAACCCCCTCACCCAACAGTTGTTATACAAACTTCTAAAGTACAAATGAAATATTTATGAAAACTGACTGTGTAGTATGCCACAAATTAAGTATAAATAAAAACGAAACAATCAGTATCATACAGACTGTTCTGTGATTATCATGCAATTAAGTTAGAGGCCAACTTAAAAAAAATTTGAAAATACTACAGTTATGTCTTTGCACTCCAGCATGGGAAGACCCTGTCTCAAGAAAATAAATAAAAAGCTGTATTTTGTCCAGGCATGGTGACTCATACCTGTACTCTCAGCACTTTGGGAGGCCAAGGTGAGAAGATCGCTTGAGACTGGGAGTTCACGACCAGCCTGAGCAACACAGTAGTCTCTACAAAAAAAAAACCCATAGTAGTCTCTACCAAAAAAAAAGCTATATTAATCTTTTTGTTTGTTTTTTGAGACGTCTCACTCTGTCTCCCAGGCTGGAATGCAGTGACACCATCTCAGCTCACTGCAACCTCCGCCTCCTGGGTTCAAGCAGTCATCCTGCCTCAACCTCCTGAGTAGCTGGGATTACAGTCACGCGCCACCACGCCCGGCTAACTTTTATATTTTCAGTAGAGACAGGGTTTCATCATGTTAGCCAGGCTGGTCTTGAACTCCTGAACTCAAATGATCCGCCTGCCTCAGCCTCCCAAAGTGCTGGGATTACAGGCGTGAGCCACCAAGCCTTGCCTTATTAATCTTAGTAAGAGAAGAAAAAGACAGTATAACAAAATTATGAGTGAAATTTTATGACATATGTGCAAAAATCCAAAGGAGAATATTAACGTATTAAATCTGGAAATGTATTAAAAAAATACATCACAACCAAGCAGGATTAATTTCAAGAATATAAGGATAATTTAACATTAGAAAATCTATTAACATAATTCAAATCATTTACAACTGAAAGGAGAAAGCCCAGATGATCATCTGAATAAATACAAGGAAAACTGTTGATAAAATTGCTGTTTGTGATAATTTAGCAAAGTAGGAATAAAAGAGAATAAAGGCAATATACCAAAAACATATGTGATGCTTCCAAAAGCAGGAAACATTCCCTTTAAAAAAAAGCAGGAGAAAAATAAGGATTCCCATGATCATAGATTCTAATACGATTTTTACTGGAGGAACTAGCCAGCAATCTTAAAATAAGAAAGAAAAGTAACACAAAAGAGGATTACAAAAGAGGAAACAAAACAGTCATTATTTGCAAAGGGTGTGATTCTCTGAATTTTCTGTCGATATTTCTCATTAAAACTATGAAACCTACAAGAGCATAACAAGAAACCCGAAACAATTATAAACAATTTTAAAAGCTACTATTAACAGTAAGGACCAAAACTATAGGGTATCCTAACAAAAGGAATTCAAGATCTTCAAAAAAATCATAAAGCTTTATCCAGTGACATTAAATATTAACAGCTTACATTACTGATCACTTACTACCTGCTGGGCACTGTTGTGAGTGATGTGGATATGCTACAAACTCATTTGATTCATATGAGTCCTATATGATAGACACTGTTATTATTGTTAGCTTCACTTTAGAGGTAAAGAAATTAAGGCACAGGTTGTTAGGTCACTTGCCCAAGCTTCCAAAACCAAAAATTAGCAACACTGGGATTCACACCAAAGACAGTCTGGTGCCAAGCCTGTGACCTTAACTACTACCCTATACTGTCTCTCCCAAGAGAGGGTGTCCCATTCCTCCAATAAAGGCATCTCTGGCTCAGCTGAGCCAAACTTCCAGAAGCCATTCTTGTGTCATCCTGATGCCAACTTGATTTGAATTATCTACCCTACAACTGTCTAAGAAGCCCTTCTTTCAACAGATTGGATCCAAGCACCTTGGGAGCAGAGAGTGGCAGTGGATTTATTTCTGTTCACATAAGGATACAGACCAACAATGATTAAAGGAGATCTCAGTTTTAGGCCTAGTCTAAGTGACACCATGTCACTTTTAAGATCACATGGCTCTCCAATTCCCAGGAGCAGATCAATATAGATTTCTTAAACTTGAAAAGTTGTATTTATTAAGATCTTAAGCTGCTTTCCAGACTCAAGAACATAATGGATGTCAATGATTTATCTTTCTGATAACCTTTGAGAATTCTGGGAGATGGATATGTAATATTTATTTGTATAAGTTCTGCAACTTTTCTGTAAGTCTGAAATTATTTCCAAAAATTTTAAATGTAAATAAAATGTTTAAAATTTTTATTTTTATATCTGTAAATCAATTCTATCAGATTCATGGATAAGCCCAAATTTACAAAAATGGCTTATTGATAAACTCAATTTAATTCTAATAAATATCCTAACAGTTTTTTCTCCTCACAGAAAGTTAACAAAGCTGATTCTAAAATTTATCTGGAAGCACAAAGTGCCAAAAATAGCTAACCAGTTTTTGTTGTTTTTACTGTTGTTGTCTGTAACATACAGAACTGTTTACTCTGCTGTTTGCAATACAAAGACATCAGGAAATGTTATTGTTTGTGCAATATAGTAGGGAAAAAAATGAAACTGCCCATTAGGGTGGGTTTGCCAGATGTCCTATCATTAAAAAAGAATACCAGCTTTAAACAGAGCAGTTCCTGGTACTCTGTACTTCACTGTGTTTATTCTATCTGGATTCCCTTATTTGTCCCTTAGAAAGATTCAGTTAGCCAACACAGTTTTGCCCTTCCATGTAGCAAGACCTATTACAAAACGATAGTAAATAAAACAGTAGGCCGGCCGCGGTGGCTCACGCCTGTAATCCCAGCACTCTGGGAGGCCGAGGCAGGTGAATCACCTGAGGTCAGGAGTTCGAGACCAGCCTGACCAACATGGTGAAACCCCATCTCTACTCATACAAAAAAAAAAAAAAAAAAAAGCCAGGCATGGTGACAGACGCCTGTAGTCCCAGCTACTCTGGAGGCTATGGCATGAGAATTGCTTGAACCCGGGAGGCAGACGTTGCAGTCAGTCGAGATCAGGCCACTGCACTCCGGCCTGGGTGACAGAGCAAGACTCTGTCTCAAAAAATAAAAATAGGCTGGGTGCAGTGGCTCAAGCCTGTAATCCCAGCACTTTGGAAGGCCAAGGCAGGCAGATCACTTGAGGTCAGGAGTACAAGACCAGCCTGGCCAACATGGTGAGACCATGTCTCTACTAAAACTACAGAAAATTAGTAGGGTGTGGTGGCGTGTGCCTGTAATCCCAGCTACTCGGGAGGCTGAGGTGGGAGAATTGCTTGAACCCGGGAGGTGGAGGTTGCAGTGAGCCGAGATAACGCCACTGCACTCCAGCCTGGGCGACAGAGTGAGACTCCGTCTCAAAAATAAAAAAATAAAAATAAAAGAGTATTAGCGGCCGGGCGCGGTGGCTCATGCCTGTAATCCCAGCACTTTGGGAGACCGAGGCGGTGGACGGGTCACGAGGTCAGGAGATCAAGACCATCCTGGCTAACACGGTGAAACCCCGTCTCTACTAAAAATACAAAAAATTAGCTGGGTGTGGTGGCAGGCGCCTGTAGTCCCAGCTACTCGGGAGGCTGAGGGAGGAGAATGGTATGAACCCGGGAGGCGGAGCTTGCAGTGAGAGGAGATCGCGCCATTGCATTCCAGCCTGGGTGGACAGAGCAACACTCCGTCTCAAAAAAAAAAAAAAAAGAAAAGAAAAGCGTATTAGCACAAGGATAGATGACTTTACTACTCCTCAAATGCTGCTGAGAGAGCTGGTTATTCACATATGGAAAAATATATATATCCCTATCTTGCCCCATTCTAATTTAATTATAGGCTGGGAGCTGTGGCTCACGTCTATTATCCCAGTACTTTGAATCAGTCGGATATGGCGGTGCACACCTGTAGTCCCAGCTACCCAGGAGACTGAGGTGGGAGGACTATCTGACTCCAGGAGTTTCAGGCTGCAGTAAGCGGTGATGGCGCCACTACAGTCCAGCCTGGGCAACAGAGTGAGATCCTGTCTTGAGACTAAATACACGATTTTTTTTTAAAGACAGAATTTCACTCTTGTTGCCCAGGCTGGAGTGCAATGGTGCAATCTCGGCTCACCACGACCTCCACCTCCCAGGTTCAAACGATTCTCCTGCCTCAGCCTCCTGAGTAGCTGGGATTACAAGCATGTGCCACCACGCCCAGCTCATTTTGTATTTTTAGTAGAGATGAGGTTTGTCCATGTTGGTCAAGCTGGTCTCGAACCGCCTCGGCCTCCCAAAGTGCTGGGATTACAGGCATGAGCTACCTCGCCCGGCCAATAAACCTTTTTTTTAATTACCCATGGATTAAGGATTTAAATACAAAGTGCAAATTTTTAAAACTTTTAGAAGAAAACATAACATCTTTATGACCTCAGGTAAATAAAATATTTCTTAACACATAAAATGCATAAGCCATAAGAGAAAATACTTGAATATTCAGTTATTTCAAAATTAAGTAACCATAAGAAATCACAAAGAGAATAAAGAGATAAGCCACAAACTGAGAGAAGACACATCTACATTACATATGACAACAAAGAATTATTATCCACAGACAAAACAAAAACAAATTCGTACAAACCAGTAAGAAACAGTTAAACCACCCAATATAAACATGAATCAAAGACATGAACAAGTATTTCACAGAAGAAACACAATGATTAAACATACAATATTAATACATTAATTATAGATAAATATATTATCAAATATATAAATAACAAATAAAATCACAATATTATACTATTTATACCCACTAGAGCTTGGCAAAAATTAAGGTATGACAATATCAAATTTTGGCAAGGACACAGAACAAGCAAAAATATGTTATTTCAGGAGTGTAAACTGGTATAAGCACATTGGGGATTTACTGGGCAATATTTAATTATGAGTTGAAGATACACACACATGCACGCATGCACACATACACATACCCTGTAACCCCACTATTTCATGACTAAGGATGTACCCTAGAAAAACTCATTCACGTATGTAATGAAACAAAATTTTCAAAAACTAAAAATAACTTTAATATCCACTGATAACAGAATAGATCAATAGATCAATAAATAGATCAATAGAGTATAGCTGTGAAAATAAATGTGCTATAGCAATAAGTAGTAAAATGAATTTATATACTACCTCCATTTTGAGGTAGCATATATACACACACACACCTCATAATATCTTTCTCCTTCCATGTCTATACAGTTTACATGAAGTTTACAGAAAACAAATGGTGTTTTGGATAGCTACAGGGAGCAAAAGCATGAACATATATGGCGGGAAAAACACGAGTGAGGGCAGTCGTTCCCTTTGGAGAGGGAAAGAGAAAATGGGAATAAGCCAGGGTACATACAATTATACCTGTAATGTTTTAGTTATTATAATCTGCTTGGTAGGTGAGCATATTATCTTTCTTGAATGCCTAAAATATTTCATTTTTAAAAAAATAATTCCAGGCTAGGCGCGGCAGCTCACACCTCTAATCCCAGCACTTTGGGAAGATAAGGCGGGTGGATCATCTGAGGTCAGGAGTTCAAGACCGGCCTGGCCAACACGGTGAAACACGGCCTCTACTAAAAATACAAAAAATTAGTCGGGTGTGGTGGTGTTTGCCTGTAATCCCAACTACTCGGGAGGCTGAGGCAGGAGAATTACTTGAACCTGGGAGGCAGAGGTTGCAGTGAGCCAAAACCACACCACTGCCCCCTAGCCTGGGCGATACAGTGAGACTCCGTCTCGAAAAAAAAAATAAAATTAAATTAAAAATAAATAAATAAATAATTCCAAGACACCAAAGAGTTCCCATTTTCAGAGTCACACAGCTATTTGAGTTCCTGAAATGTACAAGTGAACCAAATTGAAATAGCACAAATCTCTGACTTTTCCATTTAGTAACCGCAGGACTAAAACTTCAGAGTTCATTACTAAAACTGAATGGACAGGCCTGGCGCGGTGGCTCACGCCTGTAATCCCAGCACTCTGGGAGGCCAAGGCGGGTGGATCACGAGGTCAACAGATTGAGACCATCCTGGCTAACATGGTAAAACCCCATCTCTCCTAAAAATACAAAAATTAGCTAGGCATGGTGGCATGCACCTGCAGTCCCAGCTACTCGGGAGGCTGAGGCAGAAGAATCGCTTGAACCCGGGAGGCAGAGGTTGCAGTGAGCTGAGATCACGCCACTGCACTCCAGCCTGGCGACAGAGTGAGACTCCATCTCGGAAAAAAAAAAAAAATTGAATGGACAGAAAAAGTAAGAGTCAGGGCTCCAGGCTGGAACTCATGATAAGACTTACCCTGTGGGCCCTCAAGTAAAGAGACAGAGAAGTAATTCTTACTCCTTTATAAAGGTGATCATCACTTTTCTCTGTGTTCTGAACTCCTTAGGCAAAAGATACTTTATAATTACTTGTATGCTGTCATATGAAAGTGTTGAACCTCTACTATATAACCTAAGAAAAATTGGTCCTTTCTGAACAGAGGTTCCTAATTGCTTTTTCCTTGTTTGAAGGAGTTAAAAGTCATTGTTGAAGGATGTATCTCTAATCCTACAGAACTGATGCCTTCAAGAAAACTCACTCCCACAATTCTCTCTCCTGGTTCCATGCCTGTGCCCTTTATTATGTTTTGCTGGCTCTTATGCATCAAATGCTCACTTCCTGTTTCCCCTTTATTGAGCTCTGGAGACCTGGAACCGGTAACAGGCTTTGAAGAAAAGTACAAAGCCAGGAAAACACAGAAGACAGGCCATGACTCTCCAAAGGAAAGCAAATCTTAACACATTTCTAATAACCGTTCAGCCCTTCCCGTCTGTAGCTTATGTAAGATAGTGGTTCAGACATGAGTCCCGAGAAACTGTAAATAATGAAGTTGAAAACAGCTAAAACTCACGCTAGGTTGGCAGAAAAGTTTAAGACAGGCAACTGAGATTTGATATCATAATTCTGGCTTGTTCTAAGCTCTCAGTATCCCTAAATGTTTCATTTTCACTATGCCACAAGGAGGCTGACTGGGTGGCGTCTCCTCTGGGCGCCACTCTAAATGCTTTAGACCTAAAATCTTAGAAGAGCACAGACGACCTTATATGAATCCACTTTTTGTAAAGTGTGCCATGATCAGTGCCAAGCACCAAGCTGACCATATGGAAAAGGGGGGCACAGACAGTAAGGAAATTCCCCATGACCTCTAGATTCTCATCATTAGGTCCACAGCCATCCTTTAATCCAGAAAGCTGATGTTCTGCCTATAAATGGCTTCTGGCTCTCTAACCCAAGGCCTCCTTCCATCTCATGATCCTTTTACACTACAACGGTGTTTTAATTGAAACTCCAGTCTCACTGGTCATGCTACTGCAGCAATTCACTGAGCACAGGCTTCTCTGTTCTATTCTGCTGTCCTGCACTTTGAATTCAGGGCTTGGTGTCAGCATGGAAAGCACCAGCGTTCTGATATGGCAGCCTTTGGTTATGTTCCCCTCAAGGGATTTATCATCCACAACCTACTCAAATCCCTCCCCCAACAGCTACCAAAAATTCCCCTGGTGAGAAATGCTATTATGAGAAGGGGTGGTGGCTGCTTTATGACTCACACTGTTTCATTAAAAAGATTTTTTTTTCAAACAAATTTTCAGTAGAGGAATCCAAAGGTTTTCCAAAGCCACAGCAAAACAGAACAGCTCATAATACTATTTCTCAAAGGTCTGCCACTTCATAGGAGATTCCTATACCTCAAAAAACTGGAGACATTTAGATTCACTATCCTTTTGTGCTGCCCTTGGCCTCTGGGTTGAGGAAGCAAGTAGGAAATGGATCAATTAAACACAGCCAACATGACTGGGCTCGTCAGATATTAAGATGGATGGCAGCTAGCTTGCAAGTCAGCCCTTATCACAGGTCTTAAGACTTGCTTATAGCTTTCCAGGGCACTGGCTGCAATGGCATGAATGTTTCAGTCATAGCTAACCAGAGTTGAGGAAATCTAATAATATAGGATGTACATGGGTATTTAGGAACACTTGTTATAGCAGCAGGCAGAGCTATAAAAAAGTGTCTTTGGCCAGGCATGGTGGCGTGTGCCCACAGTCCCAGCTACTCAGGAGGCTAGGGTAGGAGGATGTCTTAAGCCCAGGAGTTCATGTCCAGCCTGGGCAACATAGTGAGACCTTGTCTCTGAAAAAAAGTTTGTTTTTAGTTAAAAAATAAAAGTTTCTTCGAAAAGCTGACTTAAATGCTGTTATACTTTTGATATTAAATGGTTACACCATTTAGATCATTTACACAATCTAAATGGACTAGAACAATATTACAGAAAACTAATTTGTTAGGTTGGAATCCCAAGGGCTCCCTCAAATCCTTGTAGGATTCCCAGAATACTCAGGCAGGCAGCAGGATAAAAGAATCTTAATGGCTCTCTCCAAAAAAGGCACCTTCTC
Organism: Homo sapiens; assembly: GCF_000001405.40. Classification (NCBI taxonomy): domain Eukaryota; kingdom Metazoa; phylum Chordata; class Mammalia; order Primates; family Hominidae; genus Homo; species Homo sapiens. The sequence continues at coordinate 75,011,154 of NC_000016.10, read as the reverse complement.
CACAGGGAAAAGGTTATTTAAGATGGAAACAAAATGAAAAGATCTCCAAAAAGCTAAGAAGTATGTGCAAAATGACCACGTCAGATGAGGCCTGTGATCTTAGGTTCTCCTACCTCTGTTCCTGAATCCAGGTTAAAGCTTCTCCCAGCTGGGCATGGTGGCTCACGCCTGCAATCCCAGCACTCTGGGAGGCCAAGGTGGGCGGATCACTTGAGGTCAGGAGTTCAAGACCAGCCTGGCCAATTGGCGAAACCCCATCTCTACTAAAAGTACAAAATTAGCCGGCTGTGGTGGCACATGCCTGTAATTCCAGCTACTTGGGAGGCTGAAGCAAGAGAATTGCTTGAGCCCAGGAGGCAGAGGTTGCAGTGAGTGGAGATCATGCCACTGCACTCCAGCCTGGTGACAGAGCGAGACTCCTCAAAAAAAAAAAAACAAAAAAACAAAAAAAAACAGTACAGTACAGAGGTGACTAATTTCAGAACAACTCTTTATGAAGTATGGATTAATTACTTTTCAGAGGGCTCAAGCTACTACCAACAAGAAAGTTGGAGCACTCCTATGACAAGTCTGATTCACCAAGACCAAGATGAGAGACCATACATACCTAAATACGAAGTGAAATTTCTCCAAAAATTATCCTTCTGAAAGTAAGGCACTACCAACAGCCAAAGTACTCATAAAATCTCTTGGCATGAGACAATTCGTTAAATTCTTTATTTTGAGCAAAATGTACTCAAATATAACACAGATTTATTACTTATTCCCGAGGGGAATACATTACAGTCACTAGTGTTGGCTATCATAAACAAGGCTTTAAAAAGTTTCTTAAAACTGCACTAAAATCAACAACGAAAGAAAAAAGCAACCCAGGCCGGGTGTGGTGGCTCACACCTGTAATCCCTGCACTTTGGGAGGCTGAGGCGGGTGGATCACCTGAGGCCAGGAGTTCGAGACCAGCCTGGCCAATATGGTGAAACCTTGTCTCTACTAAAAATACAAAAATTAGCAGGGCATGATGGTAGGCGCCTATAATCCCAGCTACTCTGGAGGCTGAGGCAGGAGAATCGCTTGAACCCGGGGGGCAGAGGTTGTAGTGAGCTGAGACTGAACCACTGCACTTCAGCCTGGGCAACAGGGCAAAACTCCGTATCAAAAGAAAAGAAAAGAGGCAACCTGATTCAAACATGGACATATAAATAGATTATTTCTCCAAAAAAGATATACAAATGGCCAATAAACACATGAAAAGATGCTCAATATCACTAATTCATTAGAGAAATGCAAATGAATACTATGGGATACTACCTCACATCCATTAAGATGGCTACTATTAAAAAAAAAAACAGAAAATAACAAGTATTGGCAAGGATGTGGAGAAACTGGAAGCCTGTGCACTGTTGGTAGGAATATAAAATGGTGCAGCTACTGTGGAAAACAGTATGGTGGTTCCTCAAAAAATTAAAAATAGAATCACCAAATGATGGAGCAATTCCACTTCTGGGTATATTCTCAAAAGGAGTGAAAGCAGGGTCTTGAAGAGATATTAAGAAATTCACATTTCTAACAATGAATTACAGCTATTTACAATAGCTAAAATATGGAAGCAACCCAAGCGTCCAGCAACAGATGAATGGAAAAGTAAAACGTGGTAGACAGACAATGGAATACGATTCAACCTTTAAAAGAAAGGAAATTCTGAAATATGCTACAATGCAGATGAACCTTGAGGACACTACGCTAAGTGAAATAGGACAGCCACAAAAAGACAAATACTGTACGAGTCCACTTACATGCAGTACTTAGAATACCACTGAACTGTACACTTAAAAACGGTTAAGATAGTAAATTTTGTTACATATATTTTATGACAGTTAAAAAAACAAAACAAAACTGGGGAGGTGGGGGAGAGGGGAGCCAGCACAGAAGTGTAGATGTTGTGAAGTTCAGAGACATAGACTTATAATACCAAGGATGAAATTTCCTTATGGGTATTTGTGGCTTGGGATAAATTTTACAGAGACAGATTTAAAAAGTGGTGAATCATGCTTCTAGAAAATAGTGTTCAATGACCAGAAAGAAAAGTGGCTCTAGGGATGACAAAGATACTGAAATTAAAGATGCACATGAAGAGTCTGAAAATCAGTTTTTCTTTTGATATTCTCACTGAGAGGACAGAGGACCCCTCATACTGAGACATACGAGGAATTTCTTGGTAGGTACTTAGCTGGAATCACAAAGAAAAGATCACCTGCCCCAACCCAGAAATAGGGCTTTGGAAAAAAATGAGTGAAGAGAAGTATATCCTTGCAGCAGCCTTATGGACAAACACCTACATTTATTTGTTTATTCAACAGAGGAGCTGATGAAAAGGTAAAATCTCCCAGAAGCTAAAATATTCAGACTCTTAAGGAGTGAGGAAGCAAAGATTCTTGGAAAGAATAAGTTAATTGCTCTATAATAAATATATATATTCTCAGCACCTACCATAGGTCCTGGTATACCAGAGGCTATCAATGGAATAAATGAACGTTTTTGTTCAACAGATCATCACACACAAAGAAAAAAAAGTCTTATACTTTTGGGTCAGTCAGAGAAAAGGAAAAACAGGTCTTCCAACCTCTTTAAAGCCTAGATTCATCCTAAGCTCTTGACTTGTCTAGCTGCCTGGCTGAAGATGTAGGAAAGAGGGTAACTCAGGAAGCCCTTCTGTAGCACCAGAGCCAAAGAAGAAAAGTCAGGAGGAAGACAAGTGCAGAAGGAAAGGCGACACTGACACCATTACCTTCTGTTCAGAGCAACTTCAATTCTCAGACCAAGGCAGATTGGCTTGGCCCTATATGTAGGCAATAATGCTTAGTCCCATGTAAAAGAAAACCATCAAATAGCCAACAATGTTGTTCCTGGTTGAACCTACCTTCTGCGAGCTGTAGAGATTGCTTAGCAAATATCTGACTAGAAATACTGAAAATAAAGGCCAGGCACAGTGGCTTCACACTTATAATCCCAGTATTTTGGGAAGCTGAGGTGGAAGGCTCACTTGAGGCCAGGAGTTCAAGACCAGCCTGGGCAACATGGTGAGACCCCTTCTCTACCGAAAAAAGAAAAAAAAAGTAAAAAAATTATCTGGTCATGGTAGCATAGCATCTGTAGTCCCAGATACTCCAGAGGCTAAGGCTTGAGAATTGCTTGAGACCAGGAGTTCCAGGCTGCAGTGAGCGTGATCTTGCTATTGCACTCCAGCCCGGGCAACAGAAGAAAAACCTTTCTCTAAAGAAAAATAAGAAGAAAAAACAAATAAAAAGAAAGCTAATGAATACACCAAAAAAGGATTCAAAGTTTATTTCTCTGTTTGGGGAGAGAAAAACTAAATGCTTGGTGGAGTTTAGTTTCAGATGTAGAAGGTCTTCTTGTTTTCAGGTTCATTTGTTACAAACTTAGATTCTTGGGTCTCCAGCTCTACTGAATTCTGTGAGTGGGGTCCAGTCATCTGCATCGTTAACTACCTCCCTAGAGAATACTGAGCACCTTTAAGAACCCTTCTGAACCATTCACAGAAATCAGGAGAGCTCTTGTTTTTATCTGCCTCTTTCTTGTTACAGATCCAAGAGGTCACTATAAATTCTTATCATGCCTCCCCTAAGTTGGAATTCACAGGGATCCAGTGAATTATTCCTTCCTCCTTTCTCCCAACAGAGGAAAGCTGTGTGTTCAAGACTAACGACTCTAGGGAGGTCTCAAGGTAAACAGTCTCATCAGTCTAGAAACTATTTCAGCTGCTGCTTTAGGATTAAATTTGGGGTCTGGCATCGTCGCTGACACCTGTAATCCCAGCACTTTAGGAGGCTGAGGCAGGAGGATCGCTTGAGCCCAGGAGTTTAAGACCAGCCTGGGCAACAAATGGAGACCCCATCTACACAAAATTAAAAATTAGCCAGGCGTAGCGGCATCCGCCTGTAGTCCCAGCTACTCAGGAGGCTGAGGAAGGAGGATCGCTTGAGCCCTACAGGCTGAGGCTGCAGTGAGCCATGATCGTGCCACTGCACTCCAGCCTGAACAAAGCGAGACCCTGTCTTAAAAAAAAAAAAAAAAAAAGATTAAACTTGGTTATTTGCTTCACACTTCACACTTGAGGGCTGGTCTTCAGGTTATTCACTCATACCCACAACTCATCCTTCATCCATACAGCACATAAAGGACAGAAACCCAACTGCTGGATTCAAGGATAAACCTGTGTTCTAGTGAGAACCTAAGATTCAGAAGTGAAAACTGCTGGGTCTCTAAGAATCCCCTTCTCACACTCAAGACTGAACCCATGGTAATTACTATGAACCATCTGATTCAGACTAGGCCATGAGAAAGCTTGGAAAAGAAACAGACTGAAATTTATATTCACCCATCATCCTAAAAGACTGAGGTGGCCAGGCACGGTAGCTCATGCCTGTAATGCCAGCACTCTGGGAGGCCAAGGCAGGTGGATCACCCGAGGTCAGGAGTTCGAGACCAGCCTGGCCAACATGGTGAAACCCTGTCTCTACTAAAAATACAAAAACTAGTCAGGCGTGGTGGTGCATGCCTGTAATCCCAGCTACTTGGGAGGCTGGGGCAGGCCAATCACTTGAACCCGGGAAGTGGACGTTGCAGTGAGCTCAGATCATGCCACTGCACTCCAGCCTGGGTGACAGAGTGAGACTCTGTCTCAATAAACAAACAAACAAACAAACAAACTGACTGAGGTTAAGATTTAGGTTTTGGGCTAACTTCAAGATTCTAGAACCACAACCTTAGTGATCCACTGTCATTAAAAACACCCCTACCTAAGGATGAGTAGGAGCAGAATCAATATCCCATTTAAGTTACCACCACTTCCCTATGAAGTTTTTCTAATTTTGAAGCTGTCAAAATTGAAGCTTAGTTTTATAATTGGGTATACAGCAGTACCCCTTGTCCAAGGCTTCACTTTCCATAGTTTCAGTTACCCGTGGTCAATGGAGGTCTAAAATATTAAGATACCATGACGCACCACCCTACATGCATGGGTCAACAAGCAACTGCATACATGATGGTGGTCCCGTAAGACTATATCCTGTACCTTTTCTATGTTTAGACACACAAATACTTACAACTGTATTACAATTGCCAACAGTGTTCAATACAGTCACATGTTGCACAGGTTTGTAGCCTAGGAGCACTAGGAGCAACATATAATCTAGGTATGTAGCAGGCTATACCACCTAGGTCCGTGTATGTACACCCTATGATGTTTGCCCAGTGACAAAATCCCTTAATGACCCATTTCTCAGAAAGTATCCCTGTCATTAAGCAATGCATGACTGTACTTTCGAGACAGGGAGAGAGAGAGAGAGAACACATTCACATAACTTTTATCACAGTATATTGTTATAATTGTTCTATTATTAGTTACTGCTGTCGAGCTTTTATTGTGCCTAATTTATAAATAAAACTTTATCAAAGGTATGTATATACAGGAAAAGACATAGTAGATATAGGGTTCAGGTGAGGTACTATCCACGGTTTCAGGCATCCACTGTGGGTATTGGAACGAATCCCCTTTGGATAGGGAGTAACTACTATACTCAAATTTCTGTGCCCAATAAGCTTGGGGTGAATACCACATATGTAAAATACAAAGCATGTTCCTTTTCCCAAAAGGAACTAGAGCTTGCTTCATTTCTTTGGCTAAGAATGGCCTAAGTATTCCTTGTGACATGATATATTGAGGTGGGTCTTTGTTTAATATCAAAATGTAGTATCCCATAAAGCAAACGCTTTAAGAGCTAAGCCACTGTTTCTTACAACACCATTCAAACCTCAATAAGCAAGAGTTAACTATGACCTTCAAGAAATTATCTTTGCCTCGGGGTAACTTTTGTATTTTAAGAAAATAAGCCCTCATGGTAATAAAGAGCTAAAAATTCTGCTTTTTAATACAAGTTTTCATTAACAATAGAACTTTTGCAGGGCAGGAGACCCATCATGCTCTTTGGAGACCACAGAATGCTTTTCCTTCTCCAGAAACCATGTGAAGGCCCATTACTTCTAGCACACCTATGGCGGGACACAAAGGCTTTCTGATTCACTCCAAGGGAGCTGGCAATTCTCCCCCATTAGCTAACAATAAAAGAAAATTAAATCACTTGAGAACCCTACAGTGGCAGCAAAATAGAGCCCAAGAGATACCTCCTAGCATGTTCAAAGACTTATTAAAAGCCACGTTGGGCCAGGCGTGGTGGCTTATGCCTATAATCCCAATACCTTGGGAGGTTGAGGTGGGAGGATTGCTTAAAGCCCGGAGTTTGAGGCCAGCCTAGGCAACATAGTGAGACCTCATCTCTACAAAAGATTGTATAAAATTTAGCCAGGTGTAGTGGTGCGCACCTGAGTCCCAGCTACTCTGGAAGCTGAGATGGGAAGACGGCTTGAGCCCAAGAGTTTGAGGCTACAGTGAACCATGATTGCACCATGGCACTCCAGCCTGGGCAACAGAGCAAGACCCTGTCTCAAAAATAAATAAATAACAAAAACAAAACACAATCACCTTGTATCAGTCTCAGTTGATGGCTTGATGACAATAAAGAACAGTTTAGACTTTCTGAAAGTGCATACATATATATACACATATGACTAAGAAGGTGAAGTGAAGCCCTCAATGGCCAGCCCTTTTATAGTAGAACCTAGAAAACAGCAACTTCTTTCAACATGGTGGATGGTGCATGTTTTGTACCCCACATTTAGAAATCCATACTCTGAGACAAACAGAACTACCGAAAGAGAATGACCAGGCCTCCAGAATAGCACCGAGGCAGCCATCAGGAGTTATAGCAAAACTTTTTAACGTGGAAAGGGAGTCACTCTGCTTCTATAAAGCAGCCCTTATCAGCGGCATTATGAGTAAAAGCAGCCCACTAATGCAGGCCAGACTTTAGGACACAGAACCAGATTCCATTTGGGGGCTACAGCTAGCACAGCTGTAAACCTCTCTCCACCCATCAAATTCTGAGACCATTAGGCCTGGCACGGTGGCTCATGCCTGTGGTCCCAGCACTTTGGGAAGCCAAGCTGGGAGGATCAACTGAGCCCAGGAGTCTGAGACTGCAGTGAGCTATGATCTCGCCACTGCACTCCAGCCTGGGTGACAGAATAAGACCCTGTCTCAAAAGAAAAAAAAAAAAAATCTGAGGCGATTGAAGGCAGACAACTATAAGAGAGTGCCCCCATAGGAACTCCACCACTCTCCATTTAGAATGTCCTTTGACTTTTGTGCACATTATCTCATGAGACCCTCACTATGACTCTGAGAGGTAAGCAGGACAGGCGTCTTCTACATTTTACAGATGAATAAATTGTGACTGAGGTTAAATGACTCGCTTGCCCAAGGTCACAAATCATGCAGCTAATCAGCTGCCTAACCAGGAGATGAGCCTAGCACTCTGACTCGTAGGCCAGCGCAATCTCCAGGACACCATGCGGCTTTGTGATGTTTTCAGATAAGAGGCGGAAGAGGGTACTGGTTAAGAGCCCAGGTTCTGGCACCAGCCAACCTGCATTCCAATCCCATCTCCACCACCTACTAACCACCTGATCTTGTGTGAGTTCCTTAACCTCCCCAAACCTGTTTCCTTACCTGCACAATGGGGGTGGGAGAGAACAGTCTTACTCCATAGAGTCAGAGTGATGATTAAGTGAGATGATGAACATAAAGTACTCAAATTCATGTACTCAAAAAATGTGAGTGGCAGGCACAGTGCAGGACCCACAACAGAGATCAAGGAACACAGTCCTGCTCTCACGGAGCTTAGACTTTAGGCAAACCATACACAGAAAAAAGTAAACAGATAAAATACTTACAAAGTGTGTTAAGAATGATTAAGGTGCAGGGCGCAGTGGCTCACGCCTGTAATCCTATCACTTTGGGAGGCCGGGTCAGGCAGATCACCTGAGGTCGGGAGTTTGAGACCAGCCTGATAAACATGGAGAAATCCCGTCTCTACAAAAAACAAAATTAGCCCCAAGCTTATTGGGCATGGTGGCGCATGCCAGTAATCCCAGCTACTCGGGAGGCTGAGGCAGGAGAATTGCTTGAACCCGGGAGGCGGAGACTGCAGTGAGCAGAGGTCGCACCACTGCACTCCAGCCTGGGCAACAAGAGCGAAACTCTGTCTCAAAAAAAAGAATGATTAAGGTAACAGGTGAGTGACTGGAGAGAATAACCGGAGGGGCCAATTTTTAAGAGTGGTCTCTAAGCCCTAAGGGATCAGAAAGAGAAATTCGTGTGAAGAACGGAGAGAAAAGCACTCTAGGATTAGGGAATGGTATACGTGGGGGTCACAGCACAGGGAAGTCAGGAACCTAGAGAAGACAAATGTGACTACAGCGCTTCCTCTCCCGGGATTTGCGGAGCAAGGCTGGAGCTCGTGAGGGTGACCACAACTATTTTAAAAACGACAAAGATAAGGCTCAAGAGAGGGGATATGTCTTGCCCAAGGTCACAGCTGCTCAGAGGAGTAGCTGGGACCAGGGCCCTTCAGTATTCTACCTCCAGACCCAGCCTAAGCCCACGCTCTCTGAGAAGGCCTTGTATACACTGAACTCCCTCATGTATTTCACTGACAACTGTTTTCTGTGCCCATGAAGAGTTGCAAGAGCACCTTGAAAACACAAGCAAACATATCATATCAACTTCCAGGCATCTAATTAATTGTGCACCAAAATCGTTACCCTTCCAATCTTGCAACAGAAGAGCAAAAGCTGCTTAGACCTTACTCAAAGGCTCCAAAGCAGAAACAAGTTTTGCTTCTTGCAGCAATGTGTAACAGAGGAAACAGATGTCCTGGAAGATCCCATGGTCTGTTTCAGGTGAGATGGAACCAATGCTGCACACGAAGATTCATCTCAAATGAAATGCACAGGAAAAGCCAATTACTTTATGTGAATAAAAGAATAAATCCCTAAAGCAGTGGTTCTCAACCAGAGTGATACCACCCACACCCCAGAGGGCATTTGGGAATTCTTGGGGACATTTTGGGGTGACACACTGAACTGCTGGATGCTATCAGCATTTAGTAGGTATGCTCGATGTCTTGCAGAAGGACATGATGGTCCTACACAGTAAGGAATGGATTACCTACAATATTAATAGCAGCCTCCCATACACACTTTTGACACCCTTCCCTAAAGGATTAATATGCTCCAACCTTCCTGTCCCCACAGTTCAGTGGCTCTCCCTACCCTCACCATGATCGGATGAAAAAAAATAAGGTTTCACAGCTTAAGAGTGAAATTCTGGAATCCAACTACAAGCTCATAACTGTAGCATGGAACCTGGTAGTAGCATAATAAATAAATTTTTAGTAAGAGGCTTAAGAAATTTTAGCAAAAAAAGCACTCCCTTTCTTCCTCCCTACATATCTCATATGTTTTTCAACACAAAAAATTCTGTGATTTTAGAGAAACTTCTTACAGTACTTTTAAGTTCAAAACCAGATGCTCATTACAGTTCTTTTAAACACCAAACTAGTCATCTCAAAAATATGGCTAACTCTCTGGACTAAATTCCATAGGAAAAATTATTAATTTCAAAATGCCTAATTTTGATCAAATGCCTGAAAGAGCCAAAGGCAATCATGTCCTGCTTCTCACTCAGGGCAGAGTTCCATGAGGTCAGAAAAGCTCCAATGATATCCGGAGGTCTGTCAGAGATTAAAATATCATCCTAACAATTCACAAGCTACTTCTAAGTGTTACCCTAAATTAGTCACTAATCGTTTCTCCCCCAACACTATTTCACAAATTAAAGTTTACAGAATTGACAAAAAACCAAACCAAATGAAAACAAACCCCAGGCTATTTGCAGGGGGGGGGAAAGAGATACCCCAAAAGTCAACCCTATTTCACAGTAGTTAAAAGAGTGATCCAACAGATATTACCCTCCATAAAGTACCCTAAAGGCAGGAGCAATCTTTCCCCTACACTATCTAAATTTTCCCAACTCACCCAAAAGAATCTTAAGATGTAACTTCATCACTCAACTTGCCAATTAGCAAATAGCGGCCCCCACATCCCTTTTGGCCAATTTTCTAGATGCCTGACCTAGCAGACAGACCTGTTTTCCTCCTGCCAGGCCTTTTTTGCCCTCCCGCTAGGAGCCTGGGAAATCCCCCTCCAACCTTTTGCTGGCCTGTCACCAGAAGTTCATAAAATGAATTCATCCAGATTCTCTGAATCCTCCTTTTCCCCAGTCATGTGCCAACAGCCAGGCAATAATGCCCCACCGTGACAGGCTCCCTGTTACAAAAAGATGCAGATTCACGGGAAGACCAAGCACTTAGCATGGAGCAGAAGAAAAAAAGATGGAGGGAGGCGAGAGTCGCGGAGCCAAGCCTGCTGCATGCAGTACGGGTGACCACAGCCCGGGTCCTGCAAAGCCCCCGCGAGACTCGCCGGCTGGGCCCTCCGTACAGCAGCCACACCTGTCTATGCCAGCCGCCTGCCGGCTGCTCCATTTTAAACATTTCAAACAGATCTCCAGCAGGGTGGCAAAACTGGGCACCTCTCTCTCCCAGCAAGAGTGAGAGCCCTAATCCAGGCATCACTTGCCCCTGATTTTATTTCATTTTCACACACTCTGTTTAGGAGACACTGCTTGCTCCAACTGGCTCCATCTCTCCGTTACCGGTGAGGCAGGCACAGTGCTGCAGTGGCAGAATGGAAGTACCCAGGCTGACTTGCTCTCAGCCAGACACGACCTCTTCTCTGAGGAGGGTGATGCCAATAAATGGAACTCCAATAGGTAGGCTTCGCTCTGCCCTTCCACAAGTGAACACACGCCGTGAGTCCCTAAATCGCCAGGCTCCGCAGCCTCGCAGAAAGCCTAGTTTCCAGACGGTAGGTATCCCATTTATCCCTTGGCATCGGGAACCAAAGGGAATGCAGACAGATCCCGGTCGTGCACTACATTCCCAAACCTTGGCACGCACGCGAAGGCTTGGGGCGCCCCGGCGCGCCCTCCCTCCGAGGCCTCCACCACCCGCGGACTCACCACTATGCGAGCTGAACCACCTGGGTGCGATGTGCAGAGGTAGAGCATCCGCCAGCGAGGCTCGGGAGCCCAGGTACAGCATCCCGTCTCTATGGTGACCGCCGCCCGTCTCCTGGTAACCATTGCCATGGGCATAGGTGGAGTCGGACGCAGACCCTCCGCCGCCGGGCGCCCTCTCGGAGTCGCCGGTGCCCCGGGAGGCGGGGGTGTAGAGGCCAAAGGGCACCCCCCCGGCCGTGCTGGGGTCCATGCCCATGCCTGCCACCGAGCTGACCGAGCGGCTGCGCAGCCCCATGGCCCCGCCGCCCGTCCGGTAGTGCCCGAAATGGGGCGCCCCTCCCGGCGGCGGCACGGCGCTGTCATCGGTGGAGACCCCCGGGAAGGGGCCCCGGGAGCGGGCCGCCGTGCTCTGCTTGCCCCCCATGCTCGCCCGGGCCCCGGTGGGGCGGGAACCTGGAGGCCGAGACCCTCCCCCACTTCTCAGCAGCAGGGGGAGGGCTGGGCGAGCATAAAGGGGGAGGGAGTCAAAAAGGAGACCCGGAGGGAGAAAAGGAAAAAAAGCAAAAGGAAAAAAGGAAAAAACCCGCGGGGCGGAAGAGGCAGGCGGGCGGGCGGGGATCCCAAACTCAGAATTTCAAACGATCCAAGGCAAACGCATGTTTCCCCTCAAGGTCCAAAGAGGCGCAGTCCGGCGCGGGCTCCGCGCGCCACAGGCCGCCCCCGGGCTCCGAAAGCCGGGGGAGCCGCAGGGAAGGAGGGAGGGAGGCGGCGGCGAGCGGCGGGCGGGCGCGGGGAGGCGCCGGAGGAGGCCGCCCGCCCCGCGGGAGGAGGCGGAGGAGGGCCGGGGGCGCCGGGCGCGTCCCCCGCCTCAGGACGCCGCGACCATGGACGGCGGCCCGGACCCCTCCAGGCCTCGGGCGGGCCGCGGCGCTGGGCGGCCAGGCGCAGCTCGGGAAGCCGCGGTCGCGTCGCGTCGCGCTCTCGCTTCAGCCGCCGCCGGCCCCGCCAGCCGCGCCGCCCCGCTCGGTCCCGGGCTGCGCTCGCCGGCGCTCCTCGCCGCCGTGGAGACAATGGAGGGCGGCAGAGCGCAGGCGCGGCCCGCGCCCCCTCCCCCTCCCCCCGCCGGGTTAACCCTTTCGCGGTCCCTGCGGCGCCTGGGCCGCTGACGCCCCAGCAGTCCCCACCCACCGCCCGCCCCCGGCCGGCCTGTGACCTGGGCGGCCTGACCACTGGGCGTTAGCCACAGAAACCAGATGTCTTTCAAAAGCAAACACTTCTTAAGTCCCCGAAAGTGGCAAATTATTCAGGGGGAACCAAGTATGGGGGAGGGGCAGCAATGGTTCGAGGGGGTGGGAAGGAAACACCGGGAAGAAGGAGATTTACTCCTTACGCCTACCTGGCTCTGAGGGTCACCGGTCGAGCTCCCCTCCTGGCACAAATTTGCCCCCACAGCACCCTCTGGTGGACGTGATGTCCATTCTTTCGGGGGTTCCCCATCCAAGCACCCCTCACGTCCGGAATCTCAACATTTGGCGGGGTTTAGTTATTTGGGGGTAAACAGCGCCATGGGGACACTTGTGAATCCGGCGTTTTGCTGACACTAGATCATAACTTCCTATTTTGGGCTTAAGCAAATGAGTAGATTCCTTAGCTAAAATGTAATTTTCAGAATCAATAGATGTACCATAAAAAGTGAATAGATATGGGTATGGAAATAGAACAACGCAGCTAGAAGTGATTATAGAAACCTTCTGTCCAAGGCTGGAGCCCTGTTTTGTTTACCATGTGCTGTGTTTCGGCCCTCACCACGGGCCAAGGACACGGTGGGTACTCAATAGGTGTATTGTTGACCAAGCCTGAATCATTTGCAAGGGAGTGTTCCTTTGCTACCTCAAGCCGTCTTTCTCCTATATTCACATTCATTTATTGAACAACTGTTTTTTTTGTTTTGTTTTGTTTTTGTTTTTGAGACGTAATCTCGCCCTGTCACCCAGGCTGGAGTGGTGTGGCGTAACCTCGGCTCACCGCAACCTCCGCCTCCCGGATTCAAGTGATTCTCCTGCCTCAGCCTCCCGAGTAGCTGGGATTACAGGCACATGCCACACTGCACCTGGCTAATTTTTTGTATTTTTAGTAGAGGCGGGGTTTCACCGTATTGGCCAGGCTGGTCTTGAACTCCTGACCTCAGGTAATCCACCTGCCTTGGCCTCCCAAAGTGTTAGGATTACAGGCATGAGCCACCGCGCCCGCCCTGTTTTTCTTTTTCTTTTTTTTCTTTTCTTTTTTTTTTTTTTTGAGACGGAGCCTTGCTCCTCCCAGGCTGGACAACCTCCGCCTTCCAGGTTCAAGTGATTCTTCTGCCTCAGCCTCCCGAGTAAAAGTCTGTTAAAAATTTCAAAATCAGGCCGGGCACGGTGGCTCATGCTTGTAATTCCAGCACTGTGGGAGGCTGGGGGTGGGGGGGTGGGGGGAGATGGGGCAGGGGATCACCTGAGGTTAGGAGTTTGCAACCAGCCTGACCAACATGGTGAAACCTCATTTCTACTAAAAAAAAATGAAAATAAAAAATAAATAAATTAGCCAGGTGTGGTAGCTCACGCCTGTGATCCCAGCTACTTGGGTAGCTGAGGCAGGAGAATGGCTTGAACCCGCGAGACAGAGGTTGCAATGGGCTGAGATCGCGTCACTGCACTCCAGACTGGGCAACAGAACGAGACTGTCTCAAAATATACATATGATATATATATATGTGTATATACATACATATATAGTAGAGATGGGAGTTTCCCCATGTTGTCCAGGCCGGTACTCCTGGCCTCAAGCAGTCCTCCCACTTCGGCTTCACAAAGTGCTGGGATTACATCATGAGCCACTGTGACTGCTGAACAACTATTTATCAAGTGCTAGGTGCTGGCTGTGAGTATCACACAGTCCCTGGCTTAGCTGACTTCCACCTATTAAATGACCCCAGATACTTCTAAACTGGGGGACCAAAACAGGATGTTCAGAAATATTAAAAGAAAACCAAAAAGAGCAAGGCTAGCCCGTCACAGGTATTGATTGTTCCATTGTGGCCAGCCTGGAAACAGGAGGAAACCTATTTGCAAGCATGAAATACCTGGAGGTGAGCAAACAGCCCTGTAGAAGTAAGAATTTTTGCAAGAGAAGTAAAAATAGGAAGAAACAAAATGTGCCAACATCTAATAAATTATCTGTAGGTGCCTATATGAGTATGTGTATACCTAAAGAGGAAAAACAAGAAAGCTTAAATTTAATCCCATTTCCTCCTAGAAGAAAGACTATGGTATCAGAAGAGTGGTTCAGTACTATACTAAAAAAAAAAAAGGTATTAGACCCCGTGGAAGATCCCTATTAGAGAGATAAATACATGATACCCATTGTAACTATCCAAACAGCTTTTGATTTATCCATTCACTGAACAGTTTTTTAGTGTATTTAACACAATATTTAGTATGTAATAAATTCCAGGCACTGTAGTAGGTTCTGGGATACAGTACTGAACCAGAACCAGACAGATGGAGTCCCTGTTCTCATAGAACATCAGAAGAAACACTTCCCACCCACTTGAATGGCTATGATCAAAGAGAAGGGCAATAGTAAGTATTGATGAGAGGTGGAGAAATTGGAACCCTTGTACCTTGCTGGTGGAAATGTAAAATGGTGCAGCTGCTTTGGAAAACAGCCTGACAGTTCCTCAAAAAGATTAAATGTGGAGTTACATGACCCAGCAATTCTGCTCCTACCTAGGTAGAGTTCCAAGAGAAAGCAAAACATATGTCTGCAGAAAAATGTGTACGTAAATGTTCATAGCAGCATTATTCAAAAGAGCTAAAAAGTGGAAACAACCCAAATGCTCATCAACTGATGAAGAGGTAAACCAAATGTGGTGTATCTATACAATGAAATATTATTCAGCCATGAAAAGGAATAAAGTACTGATTCATATTACAACATGGATGAATCTTGTAAAAGCATATTAACTAAAAGAAGCCAGCCATAAAAGACTATGTATTGTATGATTTCACTTATATGAAATGTCCAGAATAGGCAAATCCATTGAGACAGATTGATTAGTGGTTGCCATGGCCTGGGGGGAGGGGAGAATGGAAAATGACTAATAATAGGTCTCTTTCTATTTTTTCTTTTTTTCCTTTTTTTTTTTTTTGAGACGGAGTCTTGCTCTGTTACCCAAGCTGGGGCACAGTGGCATGATCTCGGCTCACTGCAACCCCTACCTCCACCTCCCAGGTTCAAGTGATTCTTCTGCCTCAGCCTCCCAAGTAGCTGGGATTACAGGCATGCGCCACCATGCCACGCTAAATTTTTTTTTTTTTTAAGACGGTGTCTTGATCTGTTCTCACCCAGGCTGGAGTGCAGTGGTGCAATCTTCACTGCAACCTCCGCCTCCCGGGTTCAAGCGATTCTCCAGCCTCAGCCTCCTGAGTAGTTGGGATTACAGGCGCGCGCCACCACACCCGGCTAATTTTTGTATTTTTAGTAGAGATGGGGTTTCACCATGTTTGGTCAGGCTTGTATCAAATTCCTGACCTCGTGATTCATCCGCCTTGGCCTCCCAAAGTGCTGGGATTACAGGCATGAGCCACTGTGCCTGGCCACTAATTATTTTTTGAGACAAGTCTTGCTCTGTCGCCCAGGCTGGAGTGCATTGGCATGAACTTGGCTCACTGCAACCTCTACCTCATGGGTTCAAGTGATTCTCCTGCCTCAGCCTCCCTAGTAGCTCGGATAACAGGCACGTGGCATCATAACCAGCTAATTTTTGTATTTTTAGTAGAGACGGGGTTTCACCATGTTGGCCAGGCTGGTCTTGAACTCCTGACCTCAGATGATCCACCTGCCTCAGCCTCCCAGAGTGGCTGGGATTACAGGCTTGAGCCACTGCACCTAGCCTCTTTCTGTTATGTATTTATTTGTTATTTATTATTTTTTAATTGTGTGGTTACAAAGTGGTGTCTTTCTGTTTTATGCATTTACTTATTTAGAGACAGAGTCTCACTCTGTCACCCAGGCTGGAGTGCAGTGGTATGATCTCAGCTCACTGCAACCTCTGCCTCCGGGTTCAAACAATTCTCACGCCTCAGCCTCCTGAGTAGCTGGGATTACAGGTATGTGCCACCATGCCTAGCTAATTTTTTTTTTTCTTTTTTGTAGAGATGAGGTTTCACTATGTTGGCCAGGCTGGTCTTGAACTCCTGGCCTCAAGCGATCCACCCGCCTTGGCCTCTCAAAGTGCTGGGATTACAGCCATGAGCCACCACACCTGGCCTTGTTTTTTTAAATCACATTTTTTGGTAATTGAATGGATTTCTTTTTGAAGTGATGAAAATGTTTGGGAATTGGGTAATGGTGATGCTTGCACAGACTTGTGGATATACTAAGAACTGCTGAATTATACACTTAGAAGGGTGAATTTTATGGCATCTGAATTACACTAGCATACCATATAGATCAATAAGTATTGGTGGGGCGTGGTGGCTTAAGCCTGTAATCCCAGCACTTAGGTAGGCTGGGCGGGTGGATCACTTGAGGTCAGGAGTTCGAGACCAGCCTGGCCAACATGGTGAAACCCCCTCTCTACTAAAAATACAAAAATTAGCCAGGTTTGGTTGTGCAGGCATGTAATCTCAGCTACTCAGGAGGCGGAGGCAAGAGAATCGCTTGAACCAGAGAGGCAGAGGTTGCAGTGAGCCAAGAGCACACCACTGCACTCCTGCCTGGGCAGCAGAGTGAAACTCTGTCTTAAAAAAAAAAAAAAAAGTACTGAAGCAGGCAGTGACAATACAGTATGACAGGTAAGCCTAGAATGGTGCCTGACATGTACTAGGCACTCAATAAATATTGTTGAATTAATGAATGAATGAATGACTAAATGGTATGAGGGAGAAAGAGTATGGTGCTGAAAGAAAGGCAAGAGACAGGAATAGACCATTCCAAGCTGATGCCTGAAAGGTGAGTTGGAGATCAGCCAGGCAAGGAGGCAGGGCAGGGAAAAAAACTGTGTTTCAGGAAGAGAATACTGTTCCAGGCAAAGGGAACAGCCCAGATGTGAGAGAACATGGCATATTCAAGGAACTGAAAGAGGCTATAGTGCTGCAATGCAAGGGGGTGAGAGCCAAAGATGAATCTGTTCCTCAGGGGCAGGCAAGAGGGTCCTGTGAGCCATGGCAAGGAGCGTGGTCCCCATCCCAAGGGCATGGGGAGCTGGAAAGCCTTTATCAGCATCATGAGATGCTGTCTATCTAGCACCAGCATCATTGGTGCTATCATCAGCACCAATAGGAATGGCCTCCCAGCACTTTGGGAGGTCGAGGCAGACAGATTACTTGAGCCCAAGAGTTCAAGACCAGCTTGGGCAACAGCAAGACCCTGCTCTATAAACAATACGAAAATTAGCCAGGTGTGTTGGCACGTGCCTGTGGTCCCAGCTACTTGGGAGGCTGAGGTGGGAGGATCGCCCAAACCTAGGGAGATTGAGGCTGCAGAAAGCCGTTATCTCAAAAATAAAAAAAAGGAAAAAATAAATTTTGATAGATGATAGACAAAACATACTACATGCACATTAATGGTCATGCAGCTAGTAAGAGCAGAGCTGGGCTTTTTATTTTATTTTTTTGAGATGGAGTTTCGCTCTGTCGCCCAGGCTGGAGTGCAGGGGCACCATCTCAGCTCACTGCAAACTCCCCCTGCCGGGTTCACACCATTCTCCTACCTCAGCCTCCAGAGTAGCTAGGAGTACAGGCACCCGCCACCATGCCCAGCTAATTTTTTGTATTTTTAGTAGAGATGGGGTTTCACGTGTTAGCCAGGATGGTCTCGATCTCCTGACCTCGTGATCCGCCCGCCTCGGCCTCCCAAAGTGCTGGGATTACAGGCGTGAGCCACGACGCTGGGCCAGAGCTGGGCTCTTAAGTTTTACGGTGAACATGCTCATCAAAGAATTTTTTTTTTTTCTTGAGAACAGGGTCTTAACTCTGTCACCCAGCTCGAAGTGCAGTGGTGCAATCTGGGCTTACTGCAACCTCTGCCTCCCAGGCTAAAGGGATACTACCACCTCACCCTCCTGAGTAGCTGGGACCACACGTGCGTGCCACCGTGCCTGGCTAAGTTTTGTATTTTTTTAGAGACAGGGTTTCACCATGTTGCCCAGACTGGTCTTGAACTCCTGGGCTCAAGCAATCCTCCCGTCTCAGCCTCTCAAAGTGTTGGGATTACAGGTGTGAGCCACTGCACCCAGCAGAGGAATTCTTCCAATGACAATTTTGTTTTCTCTGTATACTTTCCAAAGGGGTGAAAAAGACTAGATCTACTTAACAGCTGTATTTCTTTTTGTGAATTAATTATTTGGCCTTAAGATTTACATTCTAGTGTGCTGATTATTATAAGTCACCTCTCTCATAGCTGGCACCACTGAACAGCTGAGATCTTGTACTGCAAAGGTGAAGCCCCTGCTCTGTGCAATGTGATTGCACTCAGCTTAGGTGCCCTGTGGGACCCCGAATGGTAGCCTATCTCAGAAAATGTCCTGTTATGGCTGGGCACAGCGGCTCATGCCTGACCAACATGGTGAAACCCTGTCTCTAGTAAAAATACAAAAATTAGCCAGGCATGGTGTCAGTTGCCTGTAATCCCAGCTACTCGGGAGGCTGAGGCGGGAGAATCGCTTGAACCCGGGAGGCAGAGGTTGCCGTGAGCGGAGATCGCGCTACTGCACCCCAGCCTGGGCAACAAAGGGCGACTCTGTCTCAAAAAAAAAAAAGAAAAGAAAATGTCCTGTTATCTTGTTTTGTACTAACAATAAACCACTGATCCACTTACCACAACAGTCAGGAGGAAGAGCTGATAAAATTTTTGCTGCCAAAGCCCTTTGGAAATGCGAGTGCATATCTATTCTATTATAGAAAGCCTGGGACTTTCACTATTCAGAAAATAGGGGAAAGGGCTTGTGAGGGCCTACTCCTGAGAAGCAGTGGGGAACTCCCGTCCACCTCCCTGTTTCTGTGAGCCAGAGGAAGGCGAGGGTTTCCCATGGCTTTGGAGGGCATCCCCAGCACCCCTATCACCCCACTGGGGGTGGACAAATGCCTTTTAGTGAGAAACTTCCTCCCAGGCCCTCTCGGAGCTCTTTAAATTTTATTGTTTTGCTTGAAAGGAGACAGCTTAGAGAAATCAGGATAATGAGTAACCAAATACACATGGCCGGGAGGCTGAGCACAGGACCATGTTCATAAATATTTGTTGATTGATGAAGAGAGGGAAATTATTACTGGGACTCAGGGCCAGGGTCCAAGGTTCCCAGATGTAAATGAACTGAGTAGTCAGCTAGCTCCAAATTCTGCAGAAGAGCAAACAGAAGACTAGAAAGATAAAGGATCATGTTCAAATTGCATGGCTAGTTGCTGATAAGAGCCCAGCCCAGGCCCTGGATTTCTGGGTTTGCTGTGTACCCTGCTTTCCTGCCGCTTGGCTAGCAAGTGTCCTGAAAAAACACAGTTTCATGATAAATCCTCTGTGGCAAAGTGGGATCTACTTGACAAAGGACCCTCAGTGGTCCCCAGCCTCTGATTCAGATGCAAAATCCTAAGTCCCCCAAGTTACAGAATGGACCACCCTCCCCCAGGCCAAGGGGACTCCAGAGAAACCTGAAAAACTGAATTTCTGGCCATCGTGGGAAAGAAGGTCATTATACCCCCCACCTTTTCGAGTTTAGGCACAACTGATCAGCGTTAAGGTTGAAATAGAGATCATAAGACTGACAGAACAGACGCTTTGTGGCAATAAGATACCGAATTCCAACCTGACTCTGGTATAGCATCATATAACAGACAGCAGACCCTGAAGGAAATAAAAGTATTTTACCCCAAAATATATTTCTTTGGCGTAGTTTGAAATGGCTCTTCAAAGCACTCTGTTGTGGGGGAAATTTTGCATCGTAGAGAACGCAGCTGAGACTTTCCTGCATTTAAGAGAGATTAAGAGGCCGAGCGTGGTGGCTCACACCTGCAATCCCAGTACTTTGGGAGGCCAGCGGGGCGGGAGGATCGCTTGAGCCCAAGAGTTAGAGATCAGCCTAGGCAACATAGTGAAACCCCATCCTAATTTTTTTTTTGAGACAAGGTCTTGCTCTGTCACCCAAGCTGGAATGCAGCAGCGCCATCTTGGCTCACTGCTCTGCCTCCCGGGTTCAAGCAATTCTCCTGCCTCAGCCTCTGGAGTAGCTGGGACTGCAGGCATGTGCCACCACGCCCGGCTAAATTTTTTTTGTATTTTTATTAGAGATGTGGCTTCACCATGTGGTCTGGAACTCCTGACCTCAAATGATCCACCTGCCTTGGCCTCCCAAAGTGCTGAGATTACAGGCGTGAGCCACCTTGCCTGGCCTTAATTTTTTTTTTTTAAAGAGATAAACTGATATTGACACCTTTTAAGGCCCTGAGAAATTTACTGCCTATTCTCTCTGAAGGCTGATGCCTGTGAAACTTTGTCTTCATAACAAGAACCTTGGTCTCTATAGCGTCCCTCATATTAACTGAAACATTTCTTTCTATTGACTTCAAGTCTTTAGACACAGTTGAACTCTTTTAACCAATTGCCAATCAGAAAATCTTAGACTCCACCTAAGACCTGTAACCACCCCCTCCAAGGTATCTTGCTTCTTTAGGCTGAATCAATGTATACCTTCCATGTATTGACTTATGATTTTACCTAAAATTCCTGTCTCCCTAAAATGTACAAAACCAATGTATACCCTGACCGCCTTGGGCACACTTTCTCAGGATCTCTTGAGACTGTCCCCCAGGCCATGGTCACTCATATGGCACGCATATGGGCTCAGAATAAACCTCTTTAAATATTTTACAGAGCAGTAATTTGGGAGGCTAAGGTGAGTGGATCACTTGAGCTCAGTAGTTTGAGACCAGCCTGGGCAACACGGCCAAACCCCATCTCTATAAAAAATACAAAAATTAGCCAGGTGTGGTGGTATGCACCTGTGGTCCCAGCTACTTGAGAGGCTGAGGTGGGAGGATTGCTTAAGCCTGGGAAGTTGAGGCTGCAGTAAACCGAGATGGCACCATTGCCACTGCACTCCAGCCTGAGTCTGGAAATATAGTCTCCAAATACATACAAAAAGTCTCCAAAATACATACAAAAAGTTTGATTTTGATTTTGTTTGATTTTTTTGGTCAACATGGAAAGAACACTTACATGGGGATCTCAGGGGTGAATAGCAATGAAGAAGCAGCCAGAGAGCTCTGGATGTTGCTCCAGAGTCCCCACTCTTTCTCTCTCTCCTTCCTTCCTTCCTTTCTTTCTCTTCCTTCCTTCCTTTCTTCTTTTCTTTCCTTTCTTTTTTTTTTTTTTTTTTTTTTTTTCTGAGACGGAGTCTTGCTCCGTTGCCTGGGCTGGAGTGCAGTGACTTGATCTTGGCTCACTGCAACCTCTGCCTCCCGGGTTCAAGCGATTCTCCTGCCTCAGCCTCCGGAGTAGTTGGGATTACAGGGCACCTGCCCCCACACCTGGCTATTTTTGTATTTTTAGTAGAGATGGGGTTTCTCCATGTTGGCCAGGCTGGTCTCAAACTCCTGACCTCAGGTAATCCGCCCGCCTTGGCCTCCTAAAGTGTTGGGATTACAGGCGTGAGCCACTGCACCTGGCAGAGTCCCCACTACTTCATGACAGTGTCATGACATATGGGTGGGAGACTCCAAAGCAGGATCCGAGGAGGCAATTGGAAAGGTTCTCCTGCTCCCTCTCCCCAAAATTCTGCTGAACCTTTTTCCTACTTAAGAAAAAAAAAACATTGGGAGAACAGAGTGCACCAAGGACTTGAAAGCCAAAGTACTATCTTTGCCTATGAACCATGACAGGCAGATTTTGAGAACTAGATAAATATGAACTAAAGAGGTGGGAGTGGGGGAGGGTTGCAGAAATGCTCAGGCACGATGATCTTAGATCCCACTCATTTTGGTGGGAAGCAAATTAACAAGCTATGTACACAAAGACAGAGAGCTTTAGAAGAGCTATGTCTCTATTTGTATGTATGTCCAAAGTAAAACTCAAACGCCTAAGCAGGGCTTTCTTTTTTTTTTTTTGAGACAGATTCTCACTCTGTTGCCCAGGCTGGAGAGCAGTGACCCTATCTCCGCTCACTGCAAACTCCGTCTCCCGGGTTCAAGCGATTCTCCCGGCCTCAGCCTCCTGAGTAGCTGGGATTACAGGCGCCTGCCACCATGCCTGGCTAATTTTTTAATTTTTTAATTTTATGTATGTATGTATTTATTTTTTTTTGAGACGGAGTTTCTCTGTGTCGCCCAGGCTGGAGTGCAGTGGTGCCATCTCGGCTCACTGCAAGCTCCGCCTCCTGGGTTCACGCCATTCTCCTGCCTCAGCCTCCCTAGTAGCTGGGACTACAGGCGCCCGCCACCACGCCCGGCTAATTTTTTGTATTTTTAGTAGAGACGGGGTTTCACCATGTTAGCCAGGATGGTCTTGATCTCCTGACCTCGTGATCCGCCCTCCTTGGCCTCCCAAAGTGCTGGATTACAGGCGTGAGCCACCGCACCTGGCCTACGGTGGGTTTCTAAAGAAAAAGAAGGGGCAGTTCCTAAAGTCTTTACTAAGAATTTACCTCAAAATAACATAAGCTACTGATTGGCTATACGTTGTTCTTTGTATCACAAATTCGAGAAACATGAAGATAATGGATGAGGTAGCCAGTCAGGAATGAAATGACTTTAATTTTAATTTTTTTTTAGAGACAGGGTTTTGTTCTGTCACCCAGGCTGGAGCACAGTGGCGCGATCATAGCTTTTTGCAGCCTCAACCTCCCAGACTCAAGCAGTCCTCTCACCTCACCTTCCCATGTAGTTGGGACTACAGATGCATGCCACCACGCCTGGCTAATTTTAATTTTTTTTTTTTTAGAGATGGGGTCTTGCCATGTTGTCCAGGCTGGTCTCGAACTCCTGGACTTAAATGATTCTGTCAAATAACAGGTGTGAGCAAACACGTCCAGCCTTTGCTCACACTCTTAATGGTGAAGTGTTTTTTTTTTTTTCATAGTGTACTGTATCAATATCTTAACATTATACTGAAAAGCTCAGATGTCGGGCCGGATGCAGTGGCTCACGCCTGTAATCCCAGCACTTTGGGAGGCCGAGGTGGGCAGATCACGAGGTCAGGAGATCAAGACCATCCTGGCTAACACGGTAAAACCCCATCTCTACTAAAAATACAAAAAATTAGCCGGATGTGGCAGCGTGCGCCTGTAGTCCCAGCTACTTGGGAGCTGAGGCAGGAGAATGGCGTGAACCCGGGAGGCGGATCTTGCAGTGATCCACCCACCACTGCACTCCAGCCTGGGCGACAGAAGGAGACTCCGTCTCAAAACAAAACAAAACAAAACAAAACAAAACAAAACAAAGCTCAGATGTCATATTCTTCAAGATTTCAAGATGCCATTTCGGGTCGCCTATTTAGGCTTTTCTCTCCTGCCATATTGCTTGCAAATCTATTATAATATACAAGTCATTCTGCCAAGCACATTCCTGTTGTAGAGTAACCAGTTGTCCCAGTTTGCCTGGAACTTATGGGTTTCTTGGGATGCAAGACTTTTTGGTGATGCAGTGCTAGAATATGAAAAGGGATCAGGCATGGTGGCTCACACCTATGGTCCCAGCTAATCCAGAGGCTGAGGCCGGAGGATCACTTGCTTGAAGCCACTACTTTGAAACCACCCTGGGCAACACAACGAGACCATCTCTACAAAAAGTAAAAAAAAAAAAAAAAAAAAATAGCTGGGCATAGTAGCACATGCCTGTAGTCCCAGTTACTTGGGAGGCTGAGGCAGGAGGATTGCTTGGGCCCAGGAGTTGGAGGCTGTGGTGAGCTATGCTCACACCACTGCACTCCAGCCTCAGTGACAGAACGAGACCCTTTCTCCAAAAAAATAAAAATAAAACATGAAACGGTCCAGGCAACAAGTTAGTCACCGTAATCTGTCAACAAGTCTGTCTTCCCCCTTATAGCCAATACTCCAGGAGGGAAGAGACCACACTTTCTTACCTCTATTCATACAATGACTTGCACATACAAATAGTGATAATATTAACAACAACAATAACAGTTTATTTTATTTTATTTTTATTGATTTCCTGGCTTCTAGAACTGAATTAATAGTTTATAGTTGAGCTTTTCTACATCCCAGGCCCTGTGCTTAGTTCCTTACAACAATCCAATGAGGTAAGCCATTTTTCCCTTCTATAGGGAAACTGAAGCTAAACCAGTTAAATCAACATTTAAGAGTGTGGGACTGAAAAGGAAACTTAATCACCACCCACCATGTTAGTACAGTGGTTCTCAAACTTTTTGATCTTGGAATCCCTTTACACTGCTGTTAAAAATTACTGAAAATCCCAAAAAAACTTTTTTTTTTTTTTTGACAAGGTCTTGCTCTGTCGCCCAGGCTGGAGTACAGTAATGTGATCCTAGCTTACTGCAGCCTCCTTCTGGGCTCAAGCCATCCGTCCACGTCAGCCTCCCAAAGTGCTGGGATTACAGGCATGAGCCACTGCGTCCGGCCCCCAAAAACTTTTATATGTAGTATACAGAATTTAAAAAATATATTCATTATTTCATTTAAACATTAAGGCCCTTCACATGAATACATTTTAAAATGAAAAAGAACAATATTTTCAAAAAAAAAAAAAAACAACAAAAAATTCTGGCAAATCTGTTTTAATGTTTGGTTTATCAGAAAACAGCGGCCGGGCGCGGTGGCTCACGCCTGTAATCCCAGCACTTTGGGAGGCCGAGACGGGCAGATCACGAGGTCAGAAGATCGAGACCATCCTGGCTAAAACGGTGAAACCCCGTCTCTACTAAAAATACAAAAAAATTAGCCGGGCGTAGTGGCGGGCGCCTGTAGTCCCAGCTACTCCGGAGGCTGAGTCAAGAGAATGGCGTGAAGCCAGGAGGCGGATCTTGCAGTGAGCCGAGATCGCGCCACTGCACTCCAGCCTGGGCGACTGAG
Organism: Homo sapiens; assembly: GCF_000001405.40. Classification (NCBI taxonomy): domain Eukaryota; kingdom Metazoa; phylum Chordata; class Mammalia; order Primates; family Hominidae; genus Homo; species Homo sapiens. Next base: position 74,986,024 of record NC_000016.10, on the reverse strand, counting down.
CAAGACTCTGTCTCAAAAAAAAAAAAAAAAAAAAAAAAAGAAAAGGAAAGAAAGCAGCTGGATTGCAGGAGGGGGTATAGCTCACAGGTAGAGCATTGGACTACAGATCAAGAAAACAGCTGGATTCTCACATTTAAGTCTACCTTCATTGTTACGGGAGGCGCTGCTGTATTGTATGAAACAATAAATTGCACATTCAGACTTTTAAATATCTCGATGGGATAGGCATCAGGAGAAGAGGTATCTTCGGTTTGCACGAGCTTTGATTTTTCTTTTTTCTTTTTTTTTCCGAGACGGAGTCTCGCTCTTGTCACCCAGGCTGGAGTATAATGGCGTGATCTCGGCTCACTGCAATCTCCGCCTCCCGGGTTCAAGCGATTCTCCTGCCCCAGCCTCCCAAGTAGCTGGGATTACAGGCGCCCGCCACCCGGCTAATTTTTGTATTTTTAGTAGAGACGGGGTTTCACTATGTTGTTTAGGCTGGTCTCGAACTCCTGACTTCGGCCTCCCAAAGCGCTAGGATTACAGGCGTGAGTCACCGCACCCGCCCCGAACGTTGATTTTGATTTGAGACTGGGTCTGGACGAATGCTGGGGACTCCAGCGAGGAGCTAGTCAGGACAACAGGCACCTCACCTCACCCAAACCCAAACCTGCGAGCCCTTCCCAGGTCACCCACGCTTGCTCGAGCTTGGACTACAACTCCCGGCAGAGCTCGCGGCAGGGGGTGTGCCCGCAATCGCGAGGAGCGTGGGTGACTCAAACCAAGTGACGGAAGTGAGCGAGGGCGTGCCTGTTTGTTGCAGGCGCGGTGTAGCAATTGGAGGACCCAGGAAGAAGGGGCGGAGCCTATGCTTGGGTCAACCAATGGCTTGAGCTCAGGAGCAACCAGGGCACGGGGCGTGTCGGGGCTGATTCTCTGGCTGTGTGGGGCGCACGGTCCCGGGATACTGGGGACGGCGGGGTGGGAGGGCGCCGTCCTGGGGCCGCGGCGGCCGGGCGGGGGAGATGGCGGCGCGATGGAGCAGCGAAAACGTGGTTGTAGAGTTCCGTGACTCCCAGGTGAGCTAGAGGCCGAGTGGAGCCCTCTGGGCATGCGTCCTCCCCGCTTCCCCTCCCCCACGCGGCTGCTTCCGTCCCGGGGGGCTACGGGGAGACCCTAGGCCCCGTACTGAGGAGGTGGGCGGGGCTTAGCCGACCTCTTAGGCCCCGTCGGGGGAGGGAAGACGACCATCGGGGGCAATCGGGGCGAGCATGGACGGAGTTTCGGGGCTCCCTACGCGGGTAGGGGAGTGGGGTCCGCCTTGTGACACTGAGGCAGAGACTGCGCATCGTGAGTGCTGAGGGGAGGCTTCCCACAATCAGGGTACGGAGCGAGGGCGTGACGGCTTCCCGAGGCCCTAGCCGCGTGTGGCGACTTAAGGCAAGTCGCGGGACTTTTCTAAGTCTCAGCTGCGTGGACGTAACCCTGTTGGGGTGAATTCGATGAAACACTGTTTGCAAAGTGCCTGTTGCAGCGTCTACGCGGTTAAGTGGTTCTTAATGCCATCATACTGGAAAATACCGTGTAGTGGATAGGAGTGACACTGCACGTGTTGCCCGAGTTCGAATCCCGCAGCCCCTACCCTGTCATCACTCCGTACACGTCAGTTTTCTCACCTGTAGAAGGGAGATGGTCGTACTTACAAGATTGGCTTAAAGATTTTATTTTTTAATTTTCTATTTAATTTAATTTAATTTATTTTTTTTGAGATGGAGAGTCACTCTGTTGCCCAGGCTGGAGTGCAGTGGTGCCATCTTGGCTCACTGCAACCTCCGCCTCCGGGATTCAAGCAATTCTCCTGCCTCAGCCTCCCAAGTAGCTGGGATTACAGGTGCGCACCACCACGCCCGGCTAATTTTTGTATTTTTAGTAGAGACGGGGTTTCACCTTGTTGGTCAGGCTGGTCTTGAACTCCTGACCTCAGGTGATCCACCCACCTCAGCCTCCCAAAGTGCTGGGATTACAGGCGTGGGCCACCGTGCCTGGCCTATTTTACTTCATTTGAGACAGGGTCTGGCTCTGTCACCCAGGCTTGAGTGCAGAGGCGTGAATCACCGCTCAGTTCAGCTTCGACCTCCTGGGCTCAAGCTATCCTCCCACCTCAGCCTCCCCAGTAGCTGAGACTACAGGCGCATGCCAACACGCCCGACTAAATTTTTCATTTTTTTTTGTAGAGACGGGGTCTCCCTATGTTGTCCAGGCTGGTATGGAACTCCTGGGCTCAAGCGAACCCCCTGCCTCAGCGTCCCAAAGTGTTGGGATTACAGGTGTGATTCACTGAGCACAGCCTCGAGTGAAGATTTTATGTGGTTGTATGTTGAGGATGTGTGGCACACACAGCATTGGGATTTGGATGCTGGATCCTACCCCAGAGCCCTTGTTTAGCTCATTGGACTACTTTACTCATAGTGGGTAGCTCTGAACCGGTCATATACATCCCCTCTTCCCCAGCACCTAGGACAGTGTCTTGGTGATTCTCTTCAATTTTAAATTTATTTACCTTTTTTTTTGAGACAGAGTCTCACTCTATGACCCAGACTGTAGTGTAGTGGCATGATCTTGGTTCACTGCAACCTCTGCCTCCCAGGTTCAAACGATTCTTGTGCCTCAGCCTCCCGAGTAGCTGGGATTACAGGCACGTGCCACCATGCCTGGCTAAGTTTTGTATTTTTTGTAGAGACGGGGTTTCGCTCTGTTGGCCAGGCTGGTCTTGAACTCCTGGCCTCAAGTGATCCATCTGCCTTGGCCTCCTAAAGTGCTGGGATTACAGGTGTGAGCCACTACACCTGGCCTATTATTTTTTGTAGAGACAGAGTCTCTTTGTGTTGCCCAGGCTGGTCTTGAACCCCTGGCCTCAGGCGATTCTCCCACTTTGGCCTCCCAAAATATTGGGATTACAGGTGTGAGCGACTGTGCCTGGCCATTCTTTTCATTTATTCAACTAATATTTATCAAATACCTTCTGTGTGCCACACTTTTATTCACTCATTTATTCAACAAGGATTTACTGAGCTCCCTTCAGGTATACACTATACCATGCACAGGTGATTCATACTGAGGGAGATCTGGATAAGTATGAATGGGTGATGTGGTTTCTTCTTTCCAAAACCCCATCCTGTCTTTTGCCGGAGAATGAGTGAGTGGAGGAGCTACCCACCATTTTGCTCTGTGGTGCCCTCTGATCAGTAGCCTCTACTGAGAATTTGAGCAGTAGCATTTGGATTAAGGACCCCCAAGTACTGTCAGCACAGAGTCTCCGTGAGACCTGCTCTCCCTAGGGAGGCGCCAGACTCCTTGGAAAAGGAACCATATTCCTGTTTTCTTTCTTGTTAATTGCTTTTACTGGCAACTAGGACAGAATAGAATCATGTATCATGCCTCTAAGCCTGCTAATTTGGAAGCTACTAATCTGCAAACCCTTTAATTTTCACAGAAACCCAGGTAGTCTCACCCCTGCCTGTTTATAGAGATGTAATTGAAGAGACCTGCAGAGAGGGTGCTGACACATATATTAGGATGCTATGAAGTCGTAGCAAATAATTAAACCTCAACAGCAGTTGTCACAGTAAGAGAACAAAGTAAATTGGGTAATTTTACTGCCTTGTGGGAGTTTCTGTTTTTTTGTTCTGATTTTCCTATTTACAAGGCTTCCTCTTTATGTGAATTAGCATGGTTTTGTGGGTGATTCTGGTGATGATTGGAAGGGGCAGGAACCCATTTTATTAACTATTTTGTTAATGTAGAAAGACAAAGTTAAAACTCTTCATAATGCCTTTATGAATAGGAGCAATAAACTTTTCAAAACACTCCACATCTTTTAAATAATAATTTTATTAAAAAATTTTTAATTAAAATATTTAAATTTCTTTCATTTTGCATTTTTTTTTTAAATAGGGATAGGAGTCTCTGTATCTTGCCCAGGTGGTCTTGAACTCCGAGGTTCAAGTGATTTTCCTGCTGCAGCTTCCCAAAGTGCTGGGATTACAGGCGTGAGCCACCGTGCCTGGCCTAAAAAATATACATATATGGCCAGGCGTGGTGGCTCACGCCTGTAATCCCACCACTTTGGGAGGCCGAGGTAGGCGGATCACCTGAGGTCAGGAGTTTGAGACCAGCCTGGCCAACATGGTGAAACCCTATCTCTACTAAAGATACAAAAATTAGCCGACCATAGTGGCATGCACCTGTAATCCCAGCTACTTGGGAGGCTAAGGCAGGAGAATAGCTTGAACCTGGGAGGCAGAGGTTGCAGTGAGCCAAGATCTCACCACTGTACTCCAGCCTGGGCGACAGAGTGAGACTCCATCTAAAAAAAAAAAAAATATATATATATATATATATATATATATATATATATATATATATATATGTAAATGTATATGTATTGTCTAAAAAAATACAAAAAATATATATGTATATATGTGTAAGACAGGGTCTTGCTCTGTCACCCAGGCTGGAATGCAGTGGTGCAATCTTGGCTCACCTCAGCCTCAACCTTATGGTATCAAGTGATCTTCCCACCTCAGTCTCCTGAGTAGCTGTGAATACAGGTGCACACCACCAAGCCCCACAATTTTGTGTGTGTGTGTTTTTTTTGTTTTTTTTTTGAGACAGAGTCTCTCTCTGTCGCCCAGGCTGGAGTGCAGTGGCATGATCTCTGCTCACTGCAAACTCTGCCTCCCAGGTTCACGGCATTCTCCTGCCTCAACCTCCCAAGTAGCTGGGACTACAGGCGCCCACCACCACGCCTGGCTAATTTTTTGTATATATATATTTTTTTTAGTAGAGACAGGGTTTCACCGTGTTAGCCAGGATGGTCTCGATCTCCTGACCTTGTGATCCGCCCGCCTCAGCCTCCCAAAGTGCTGGGATTACAGGCGTGAGCCACCGCACCCGGCCTTTTTGTGTGTTTTTTTTTGCAGAGATGGGGCTTTACGTTCTTGTTCAGGCTGGTCTTGAACTCCTGAGCTGAAGTGATCCTCCCACCTTGGCCTAAAAATATATATTTTTTTATTTTTGAGATGGAGTCTCGCTCTGTTGCCCAGGCTGGAGTGCAGTGGCGCAATCTCAGCTCGCTGTCACCTCCACCTCCTGGGTTCAAGTGCTTCTCCTGCCTCCTGAGTAGCTGGGATTACAGGCGTGCCCCACCACACCGGGCTAATTTTTGTATTTTAGTAGAGATGGGGTTTCGTCATGTTGGCCAGGCTGGTCTTGAACTCCTTACCTGAAGTGATATGCCTGCCTCAGCCTCCCAAAGCGCTGGATTACAGATGTGAGCCATTGCACCTGGTCTGAAAATAATTTTTTAAAATTAAAACTTTTAGATTTTTTGGCTGGGCGTAGGCTAACGCCTGTAATCCTAGCACTTTAGGAGGCCAAGGCAGGTAGATCACCTGAGGTCAGGAGTTTGAGACCAGCCTGGCCAACATGGTGAAACCCCATCTCTACTAAAAATACAAAAATTAGCCAGGCATGGTGGCGTGTGCCTGTAATTCCACCTACTCGGGAGGCTGAGGCAGGAGAGTCACTTGAACCTGGGAGGCGGAGGTTGCAGCGAGCCAAATCGCACCGTTGCACTACAGCCTGGGCAAGAGCGAAACTCTGTCTCAAAAAAAAAAAAAAAAAAGACTTAGATTTTTCAGAGGAAAACCCCAGTCTGAAGTGTGAAAGTCTTTTTTATAGTTTATAAAAGTGCCATTTATTTTATGAAACAATGCTTTGGGCTATTACTGTCACTAATTAATAATCAAGAGCCTGTGCTGCTTGGCAACTACTGTGAAGTGCTTCCTGGCATCAATGAGTGTTAACACTATAAGAAAACTTAGGCCAGGCATGGTGGCTCACGCGTATAACTCCAGCACTTTGGGAGGCCGAGGCAGGTGGATCACCTGTGTCAGGAGTCGAGACCAGCCTGGCTAACATGGTGAAAGCCCGTTTCTACTAAAAATACTAAAAATACAATAAAAATTAGCTGGGCGTGGTGGTGCATGCCTGTCATCCCAGCTACTCGGGAGGCTGAGGGAGGAGAATTGCTTGAGCCCAGGAGTTGGAGGTTGTGGTGAGCTGAGATCACGCCATTGCACTCCAGCTTGGGTGACAAGGTGAAGCTCTGTCTCAAAGAAAAAAAAAAAAAAAAAAAAAAAAGGCCGGGTGTGGTGACTCACACCTGTAATCCCAGCACTTTGGGAGGCTGAGGCAGGCGGATCTTGAGGTTGGGAGTTCGAGACCAGCCTGGCCAATATGGTGAAACCCCATCTGTACTAAAAATACAAAAATTAGCCGGGTGTGGTGGTGGGTGCCTGTAATCCCAGCTACTCGGGTGGCTGAGGCAGAAGAATCGCTTGAACCCAGGAGGTGGAGGTTGCAGTGAGCCTAGATCGTGCCACTGCACTCCAGCCTGGGTGACAAGAGCGAGACTCCATCTGAAAAAAACAAAAAAAACACACAACTTGCAGGTAATCTTCCAGAGCAACACTGTTTTTTTGTTTGTTTGTTTTGTTTTGTTTTGTTTTGTTTTGAGACAGAGTCTCACTCTGTCGCCCAGGCTGGAGTGCAGTGGCTCGATCTTGGCTCACTGTAAGCTCCGCCTCCCGGGTTCATGCCATTCTCCTGCCTCAGCCTCCCGAGTAGCTGGGACTACAGGCGCCCGCCACCATGCCTGGCTAATTTTTTTGTATTTTTTAGTAGAGATGGGGTTTCACTGTGTTAGCCAGGATTGTCTCAATCTCCTGATCTCGTGATCTGCCCGCCTTGGCCTCCCAAAATGCTGCCACCGCGCCTGGCCCAGAGCATCACTGTTTTGTAGAACTTCCAGTGATGATGGAAATGGGGCTAGTGCGACAGATGTATTTTCAATTTTATGGCATTTTAATTGCCATTTAAATAGCCACTGTGGCTAATGGCTATGATATTGGAAAGTACAGTTCAGAGTACTGAGAAGTGTGGAGATTAGTTTTCACTCTCAAGGAAAGGTAAGATGCTGGAATGTGCAGTTACAAGGCTAACCTAATGATATTTGCAAAAGTGCTGCAGTGGATGACTCCTGTGTTGAAGAGAAGAACTGCAGACCCACGGTGGCTGCCTACTTCGTGTCTCCACTTCAGGATCTGCGAGAAAATCAAGCTCTGTATGTCCAAAGCAGCTGAACATACTTGGAGACAACTCTTCCCTCACAGTAGCATTTCCTTCTTCCATTTTATCTTCCATATAGCCAGAGTGATTAAAAAAAAAAAATCCAGGTTTATGCAGGTATAATTGTAGAGTTTGTTGGGTTTTGACAAATGGATGTAGTCATGTAACCACTGCCGTAATCATGATGTAGAACGTTTCCATCACTCCAAACAGTTCCTTGGTCCCCCTGTGTACTCAATCTCCATCCCTTATCTCTGGCAGCTGCTGATGGGATTTCTATAACAAATGGAATCATGTGATATGATGTGTAGCCTTTTGAGTCTGGCTTTCATTTTTGTTTTGTTTTGTTTTGTTTTTTGAAGGGACAGAATCTTTCTCAGTTGCCCAGGCTGGAGTGCAGTTGCACAGTCCTTGCTGAGTGCAGCCTCCAGCTCCTGGGCTCAAGTGTCCTCCCATCTCAGCCTCCTGAATAACTGAGTCGACAGGCATATGCCACCAGGCCTGGCTCTTTTTTTTTTTTTTTTTTTTTTTGAGACAGAGTCTCACTCTGTCACCAGGCTGGAGTGCAGTCGCACGATCTCGGCTCACCGTAACCTCTGCCTCCTGAGTTCAAGCGATTCTCTGCCTCAGCCTCCTGAGTAGCTGGGATTACAGGAGCCCATCACCACGCCTGGCTAACCATCTTTGCCAGGCTGGTCTTGAACTCCTGACCTCACGATCCACCCACCTTGGCCTCCCAAAGTGCTGGGATTACAGGCGTGAGCCACTGTGCCTGGCCAGTCCTGGGTAATTTTTAAAAATTTTTTGTGGGGGTGGAATCTGGCTGTTGATGCCCAGGCTGGTCTTGAACTCCTGGCCTCACACAGCCCTCCCACCTTGGCCTCCCAAAGTTTTGGGATTACAGGCATGAGCCACCACCCTACCTGGCGTCTTTTGCTTAGCCTAGTGCTTTTGAGATTCATTCTTGTTGTTGAGCCTATCTGTTAGTGCATTCCTTCTTCTTGCTGAGTAGTGTTCCAGTATATAGACTGCAATTTGTGTATTCATTCACCTGTTTATGGACATTTAGTTTTTTTCCAGTTTTTAGTGACTGAAGAAAGCTGCTATAAGTAGATAAGTATCAAGGCCAATTTTTATTTATTGATTTATTTATTTTTCTTTTTTGAGACAGAATCTTGCTCTGTTATCTACGCTGGAGTGCAGTGGCACGATCTCAGCTCACTGCAAGCTCCGCCTCCCGGGTTCACGCCATTCTCCTGCCTTAGCTTCCCGAGTGGCTGGGACTACATGCGCCCGCCACCACACCCTGCTATTTTTTTGTAGTTTTGGTAGAGATGGAGTTTCACCGTGTTAGTCAGGATGGTCTCGATCTCCTGACATCGTGATCTGCCCGCCTCGGCCTCCCAAAGTGCTGGGATTACAGACGCGAGCCACCGCGCCCGGCTGCATTGTCTCTTTCTTATAGATTAAGAAGAGTGTAAAAATTTTTCTGGATTCCAGTTCTGTATGGTTATATATATTGTAAATCCATTCTCCCAAGTTGTAGCTTGCCTTTTCATTCTTTTTATGGTATTAAAAATTTTTTTTTAATTTAAATTAAAATTTTTTTTTTGAGATGCGATCTCGCTGTTACTGTGGCTGGAGTGCCTATTCACAGTCACGATCATGGTGCACTGCCTCCTTGAACTCCTGGTCTCAAATGATCCTCCTGGTTCTGCCTCCCAAGTAACTGTGTCTGTATTTGTGAGTTACCACTCCCAGCTATGTGCTGTCTTTTGATGAACAGAACTTTAATTTTAATGCAGTTAAATTTATGGATTATGCTTTTTCAGTCTTGTTGTTTTTGTTTTCAGACAGGGTCTCGCAATGTCGCCCAGGCTGGAGTGCCGTGATTTTGAATCAGTGCAACCTCTGCCTCCTGGGCTCAAATGATCCTCCTGCCTTGGCCTCTTAAGTAGTTGGAAATGCAGGCACACACCACCAGGCCGGGCTAATGTTTGTATTTTTTATAGAGCCATGTTGGCCAGGCTGGTCTCGAACTCCTGGGCTCAAATGATCCACCTACCATGGCCTCCCAAATTCTTTTTAAGTCTTCTTAAGAAAAATGTTTAGGCCGGGCTTGGTCGCTCACACCTGTAATCCCAGCACTTTGGGAGGCCAAGGTGGGCGGATCACAAGGTCAGAAGATCGAGACCATCCTGGCTAACACAGTGAAACCCTGTCTCTACTAAAAATACAGAAAATTAGCCAGGTGTGGTGGTGGGCACCTGTAGTCCCAGCTACTCAGGAGGCTGAGGCAGGAGAATCGCTCGAACCCAAAAGGTGGAGGTTCAGGGAGCCAAGATTGCGCCCTTGGACTCCAGCCTGGGCGACAGGGTAAGGCTGCGTCTCAAAAGAAAAAAAAAAAAAAAGAAAAGAAAAAGAAAAACGTTCGTATCCTAGATTCATAAAGAAATTCCTCAATATTTTCTTTTATCTTGAAATTGAAAATGAATCATCTCAGCAGAAAGTATACTCTCTTCTGACCTAATAATGGTTGGTGATTTATTAGTCTCAGCATTGCAACAGCTTTGCCACAAAGATAAAGATTGAGGACTGTGTTTTACTCTAATAAAAACTAAAATAAAAAAGCACAACTCAAATTATTTGGCTAGGAGCAAAATTATAAGTAATTAATAATCTGTGTGTTTTTCTGGAGCAATCCAGCTTCGGTTCCTACTTTTTTAGTTTCATACAATGTTCATTTTGAAAAACTATAGAGATGGAGGGGCAGAATAGGACTTTTTGGTGTAAGTGACTATTAATATGTATACTGTGAAATATTTTTTCTTTTTTAAATAAATTTATATATGTGTATTTTAACATCGAGATGGGGGTCTCACTGTGTTGCCCAGGCTGGTGTCAAACTCCTGAGTTTAAGTGATCCTCCCACCTTAGCCTCCCAAAGTGCTGTGATCACAGGCATGAGCCACTGCACCTGGCCTATTTTTTTTTTCTAGAAAATTTAATATAAAGATGTGGTGATGAATGGGAGAAGAACAAAGACGTTAAGGATTTCGTGCCAGACTGTGTTAAGATTTAGGTTATGCCACCTGTCTTCCATGTGATCTTGGGCAAGTTACTTCCTTTCTAAGCTTCAGTTTTCTTTTTTAAATTTTTTTTTCTTTTTTTTACTTTTTTTTTTTTTGAGACGGAGTTTCACTCTTGTTGCCCAGACTGGAGTGCAGTGGCATGATCTCGGCTCAGTGCATCCTCCACCTCCCAGGTTCAAGCAATTCTCCTGCCTCAGCCTCCCAAGTAGCTGGGATTACAGGCGCCTGCCATCATGTCCGGCTAATTTTTTGTATTTTTAGTAGAGACGGGGTTTTACCATGTTGGCCAGGCTAGTCTCAAACTCCTGACCTTAGGTGATCCACCCGTCTTGGCCTCCCAAAGTGCTGGAATTACAGGCATAAGCCACTGTGCCCAGCCTTGTTTTTTTTTGTTGTTTTTTGAGACAGAGTATTGCTGTCTCCCAGGCTGGAGTGCAGTGGCGCGATATAGGCTCACTGCATTCTCCAACTCCTGGGTTCAAGCGATTCTCCTGTCTCAGCCTCCCGAGTAGCTGGAATTACAGGTGTGTGCTGCCATGCCTGGCTAATTTTTGTATTTTTAGTAGAGACGAGGTATCGCCATGTTGGCCAGGCTGGTCTTGAACTCCTGACCTCAGGTGATCCACCGACCTTGGCATCCCAAGGTGCTGGGATTACAGGTGTGAGCCTCTGCGCCCGACTGACTTCCTTCATTCATAAAACAAGGATAGTAGTGCCTACTTGTGTTGGGGGTTCCCCAGGCCATGCCAGGCTCAGTGACTTATAAGGAGGCTTCACAGTCATATTTGCAGTCATTACATATTACAGCAAAAGGACACAATGCAGAATCAAAGGGAAAAGGCAAATGGCATGAGGTCAGAAGGAAACCAGGCCGAAGCTTCCCAGAGTCCCCTCACTGTAGACGCACACAGTATATGCTTAATTCCTTTCGTGTGTAACTGGAACAATGTGTGAGAGACATTGTGTACCAAGGAAGTTCATTAGGGACTCAGTACCCACAATTTCTATTTAGGGCTGGTCATGTAGGCACCGTCTGCCTTAACAGGTACCAAAATTCCAGACCTTCAGAAGGAAAGTAGGCACTCAGCGTAAACTACGTCGTTTGTACATACAGTTGAGGCACAGGGAGGCTCTCTTACTAGTTAAGGAGCAGTGGAACCCTCCTAAAATCCACGTTCTAGATAGCAGCCAAGAGCCACCCTTGCAAGCAGGCCTCGCAAGGATAGTAGTAGCCTCATGCCCGCTGTGCCAACTCTTTTCTGCATACTACCTTGTAGACTAGCTGTGAGGATTAAATGACAATATCAGTTTGGAACACCTAGCGTAGTGGTCGGTATATGTTAAGCAGTTGATAAATGTTGATTACCATTATTATTAAATTAGAAAACTGGCCTAAGGAAGCAACACACTTGGCCTGACAAAATAGCCCTCTCCTCTGCCCTGTCATTTTGCAGGTGAGGAGTGTGAGCCCCAGAAAGATTAGGTGACGTACCTAGTAGTACCCAGTGTGGGCCATTTTAGTGTGTGGGAAAGTGAGACTGTTTCCATTTAATTAAATTTAATTAATCAATTGATTTTTTTCTTTGTTTTTGAGATGGAGTCTTGCTTTTCGCCCATGTTGGAGTGCAGTGGCATAATCTCAGCTCACTGCAAACTCTGCCTCCTGGGTTGAAGCAATTCTCCTGCCTCAGCCTCCTGAGTAGCTGGGATTACAGGTGCCTGCCACCATGCCCAGCTAATTTTTGTATTTTTAGTAGAGACGAGGTTTCACCATGTTGGCCAGGCTGGTCTCGAACTCTTGACCTCAGGTGATCCACCTGCTTCAGCCTCCCAAAGTGCTAGGATTACAGGTGTGGGCCACTGCGCCTGGCCAATTTTTGTGTTTTAGTAGAGACAGGGTATCACCATGTTGGCCAGGCTGGTCTTGAACTCTTGACCTCAGGCGATCTGCCTGCCTTGGCCTCCCAAAGTACTGGGATTACAGGTATGAGCCACTGCGCCTGGCCGAATTAATTAATTTTTAATTTTACAATCCACCATGACATTCAAAGAATGTTCTCATTTAAAAGAGAAGACTTCCTGAGCAACACCCCTATTGCTGAGCGTGTGAACAAGAGTCTCCGATAGGTAACGTGTAGTGAGTATTAGACAAGGATGGCTCAGAAACTGTTGGGCCAAGCATGGTGGCTCACGCCTTGTAATCTTAGCACTTTGAGAGGCCAGGGCCGGTGCATCACTTGAGCCCAGGGGTTCGAGACCAGCCGGGGCAACAGAGTGAGACCCCATCCCTACAGAAAATGAAAAACTTAGCTGAGCATGGTGGCTTGTGCCTGTGGTACCATTTACTCAGGAGGCTGAGGCAGGAGAATTGCTTGAGCCCAGGAGTTTGAGGCTGCAACGCCACTGTGCTCCAGCTGGGGTGATGGAGAGAGACCGGCCCCCCCGCCAACCCCAATCTAAAAAGCAAAACAACAAACCAGCTTTGGCAGCAGTGTTCATGTATAATTTTATGGTTTTTGAGACAGAGTTTTGCTCTTGTTGCTCAGGCTGGAGTGCAATGGCGCAATCTTGGCTCACTGCAACCTCTACCTCCCGGGTTCAAGCGATTCTCCTGCCTTAGTCTTCTGAGTAGCTGGGATTACAAGCATGCGCCACAACACCTGGCTAATTTTTTGTGTTTTTAGTAGAGATGGGGTTTCTCCTTGTTGGTCAGGCTGGTCTCAAACTCCCGACCTCAGACCTCAGGTGATCTGCCCGCCTCGGCCTCCCAAAGTGCTGGGATTACAGGCGTGAGCGACCGTGCCTGGCCAATATCTAATTTGAATAGAAATTGGATCTTGTCCTCTGAAATGGTCGGACCCTTTTAATAATCAGTGGTTTTCAGTTTGTGGCTTTAGTCTGTAAAACCTCTTTTTTTTTTTTTTTTTTTTTTTTTTTTAAGACAGAGTCCTGCTCTGTCACCCAGGCTGGAATGCAGTGGCTCCATCTCGGCTCACTGCAATCTCCATCTCCCAGGTTTCAAGTGAATCTTGTGCCTCAGCCTCCTGAGTAGCTGGGATTACAGGTGTGCGCCACCACGCCTGGCTAATTTTTGTATTTTTAGTAGCCATGTTGGCCAGGCTGGTCTCAAACTCCTAACCTGAAATGATCCACCCACCTTGGCCTCCCATCGTGCTGAGATTACAGGTGTGAGCCACCGTGCCTGGCCTAGACATGAGTTTTAATCTAATTCTGACTGCAAAGCCGATGCATACCGTTTCTGCTGCACCAGGCTACCTCCATTTTATGCCTGGAGAAAGGGCAGAGTTTTTCCTCCCTTTGATAAATTGTGGTCTGTTGCTTTGGATTGCTGAAACCAAGTGCTTCAGAACACTGTTGCCTTTGGAAGTTGACTCACCAAGAAATTTTTTAAACGAGGACAGCAGCAATTTGTAGTCTAATAGAGTCTCATGGAATTGATTTCCTTCATTAGCCATCAGTTAGCTTGACGTTTCCAAATTATTATATTTACTCCAAGAGAATCAGAATCAAATATCACCATCAATTCTCATTTCATAAAGGGCATGTAAATCCTAAAGTGTTAAGTGTGCCAAAAGTCACCATCCTTCTTTGCAGTTGAAGGAACAAAGACTTCTAAGAACTTCATTCTCTTCTGTTTAAAGATACCTGTTTTGATAGAGAGCAGTCCTGGACAATAAGTTTGTTTTCCTACAATTGAGGAGGACTTTTCAGTATGGAAAAGCAAGAGTTTGGCTGGGCATGGTGGCACATGCCCATAACCCTAGCCCCTTGGGAGGCTGAGGCAGGAAGATTGCTTGAACCCAGGAGTTCAACACCAGACTGGGCTACATAGCGACCCCCCATCTCTACACAAAATTTTAAAATTAGCCGGGTGTGGTGGTGTGCATCTGTAGTCCCAGTTACTTGGGAGCCTGAGGCAGGTTAATCACTTGAGCCCAGAAGTTTGGGGTTACAGTGAGTACCACTGCACTCCAGCCTTGGCGACAGAGTGAGACACTTTCTTAGAGGCTGGGTGCTGTGGCTCACACCTGTAATCCCTGCACTTTGGGAGGCCCAGGCAGGTGGATCACTTAAGGTCAGTAGTTCGAGACCAGCCTGGCCGACATGGTGAAACCCCATCTCTATTAAAAATACAAAAAACAGCCAGGCACGGTGACAGGTACTTGTAATCCCAGCTACTCAGGAGGCTGAGGCGGGAGAATTGCTTGAACTCAGGAGGCAGAGGTTGCAGTGAGCCGAGATTGCGCCACTGCACTCCAGCCTGGGTGACAGAGCAAGACTCCATCTCAAAAAAAAAAAAAAAAAAAAAAAAGGAAGGAAAGAAGGAAGGAAAACTGATGAAAATTTTACAGTATAAAGTGTATGGGTAAGGTACACAAATCTTTTTTTTCTCTTTTTTTTGGGACCACTGTCAGAAACAAAATTTTGTTCATCACATTATTCTAATAGAACGTCTCACACAGCATGCAGTGAGCTATTGAAGTTTATTGTCCTAGGAGGTATTAACGAAACGAATGAACTTTAAAAGTTTAGATAAACTCGTGGGTGATAAATTATTAAGGGGAATTATCAAGAGAAACCACCAAAAATATTCTCAGAGATGTCGAGGAACACCTTGGCACATTGTGAGCTGGAAGGACCTTGATTTTGACTTGGTTCTGACCTACCATCTTTTTTTTGGCTTTTTTTTTAGACAGGGTCTTGCTTTGTCGTTTAGCCAGGAGTGTAGTGGTGTGAACATTGCTCATTGTAGCCACAACCTCTCGGGCTCAAGTTATCCTCCCCTCAGCCCCCCAAGTAGCTGGGAGTACAAGTGCATACACCATTCCTGGCTAATTTTTTTTTTTTTTAAAAGGTGTGGTTTAATCATGTTGTCCAGGCTGGTCTCGAACTCCTGGGCTCCAAGCAATCCTCCTGCGTTGGCTTCCCAAAGTCCTGGGATTATAGGTGTGCACCACCATGCCCAGCTGCAACCATCTTTCATACTACAGAGTTTTACAGAGCACCTCTGTGTACAAAGCAACTTGCTGGGTGCTCTGGGAGAAATGAAATAGACCATGCTCAGCAGGGGCTCATCAGCTAGTGGGAGAAGAAAGATGTGTATAGCAATAACTAAACACAGCAAGCTGTGGCAAGTTCTGTGATGCAGGGGCAGAGAAAGTGCTTTCGGAAAAGGTGGAACCTGCTTAGAGAGGTCCTTGGGAGAGCTGCTTTTTTTTTTTTTTTTTTTTTTTTTTTTTTTTGGAGACAGAGTCTCTCTCTGTCACCCAGGCTGGAGTGCAGTGGCGCATCTTGGCTCACTGCAAGCTCCGCCTCCTGGGTTCATGCCATTCTGGGAGAGCTTCTTAGGGGAGGTATGTCTTGGGACTTAGAAGATAAGTAGAATTAAGTGAAATGACAAATGACAAGGTATCACATTGCCTGCCTTTAAATTATACTACAAGGCTGTGGTAACTCAAACAGCATGGTACTGCTAGAAAACTAGACATATAGACCAATGGAACAGAATAGAGAACACAAAAATAAAGCTACATACCTACAACCAACTGATCTTTGACAAAGTTGACAAAAATTAACAATAGGGAAAGGAGTTCTAGACTAGCCTAGGCAGCATGGTGAAACACTATCTCTACCAAAAATACAAAAAATTAGCTGGGTGTGGTGGCATGCGCCTGTGGTCCCAGGTATTTGGGAGGCTGAGGTGACAGGATCACTTGAACCCAGGAGACGGAGGTTGCAGTGAGCTGAGATTGAGCCACTGCACTCCAGTCTGGGCAAAAAATTGAGACCCTGTCTCAAGAAAACCCCCCAAAATCCCACAAAAATTAGCAGGCTGAGGTGGGAGGATCATTTGAATCTAGGAGTTTGAGGCTGCAGTGAGCTGAGATCATGCCACTGTACTCCAACCTGTGTGACAATTTGGGAGGCTGAGGTGGCGATCACCTTAGGTCAGGAGTTCAAGACCAGCCTGGGAAACATGGTGAAACCCTAAAAATACAAAAATGAGCCGGGCGTGGTGGCACATGCCTGTAATCTCAGTACTTGGGAGGCTGAGGCAGGAGAATCACTTTAACGCGGGAGGCAGAGGTGGCAGTGAGCTAAAGCCATTGCACTCCAGCCTGGGCAACGAGAGTGAAACTCCATCTCAAAAATAAAAACAAAAAAACAGGCCGGGTGCAGTGGCTCACACCTGTAGTCCCAGTACTTTGGGAGGCTGAGGTGGGTGGATCACAGGGTCAGGAGATTGAGACCATCCTGGCTAACACGGTGAAACCCCGTCTCTACTAAAAATAAAAAAATTAGCCGAGCGTAGTGGCATGCACCTGTAATCCCACCTACTCAGGAGGCTGAGGCCTGAGAATCACTTGAACCTGGGAGGTGGAGGTTGCAGTGAGCCAAGATCGTGCCATTGCACTCCAGCCTGGGTGACAGAGTGAGACTCCGTCTCAAAAGACAAAACAAATATGTATAATATATATATATTTATAAGTAGCCAGTTTAAATTTTAGTCTGTAAGTGGATATAAAATGCCACTTTACACCTCTAACCTGTCTTTAATCCCCAGCAGGCACCTTTCTTCAGACTGCTGGGAAATCCTATCTCAGTCATTGCAGGGCTTCCCCTCCTCACTTGCAGTGTGGTCATACAAAAATTCCACAGTCCCGTGGTTCTTAACCCACGTCTAGAATTCCCCACCTGGTGTGCTGAGGGTGGAGAGGGCTTGGATTGCAGACTCCTTTCCCCCACAAAGCACTGACTTTCTCTGGTTAGGTCGTTTTCACTTCCTCTGCTCAGTGTTCCCTTTCTCCATTCCTTCTTTGGGACAGCTTAGTGTAAGCTTCCTCAGTGTGCTCCTGCAAACATGGTGGTAACCTGTTTTTTCTAGGGTAGTGGTGGGAAAAATCACGTAGGTGGTGTTGTGGTGGTAGTTTTTCTTTTTTTTAAATAACTTCCTCTGATATGGGTGAGTTATGATAGTCTATTTGCCGTTTTTGTTTTGTTTTGTTTTGTTTTGAGACAGAGTCTTGCTCTGTCGCCCAGGCTGGAGTGCAGTGGCAAGATCTCAGCTTACTGCATGCAGCCTCCACTTCCTGGGTTCAAGCGATCCTCCTACCTCAGCCTCCTGAGCAGCTGGGACTGCAGATGCATGCCACCACGCCTGGCTGATTTTTGTATATTTAGTAGAAATGGGGTTTCGCCATGTTGGCCAGGCTGGTCTTGAACTCCTTACCTCAGGTGATCCGCCTGCCTCGGCCTCCCAAAGTGCTGGGATTACAGGTGTGAGCTACTGCACCCGGTCCATATTTAGCATCTTACAACAACATCCATTTATTAGCTCACAGTTCTGTAGGTCAGAAGTCGAGGCACTCTCAGCTCCTACATGCTGTCTCAGGTCCTTGCCATGTCCTTCTGTCTTTGCAGCCAGCAATGCGAATCTTCATGTTGAATCTCTCACCCTTTTAATCTCTGACTTCCTGTCTCTGACATCTAGACATAGATTTAAAGGACTGATGAGACTAAATCTCTCAGTCTCCCCGTCCTCTAAATTTTCATCATCCCAAATAGGAGCTCTGTACCCATTAAACAGTAACTCCGCATTCTCTACTTCCCCAGACCCTGGCAACCTCCATTCTACTTTTTGTTTCTATGAGTTCATCTGCTTTAGGTGGAGTCATATAATGTTTGTCCTTTTGCATCTGGGATACTCTACTTAGCATGTTTCCGAGCTCCATCCATGTTGTAGCATGTATCAGAATTTCCTTCCCTTTTAAGGCTGAATAATATTCCATTATATGTCTGTACCACATTTTGTTTATCTGTTCCTCCATTGGTGGACATTTGGGTTGTTTGAGGTCTTCTATCTTTTTTTTTTTTTTTTTTGAGACCGAGTCTCGCTTTATTGCCCAAGCTGGAGTGCAGTGGCATGTCTCGGCTCACTGCAACCTCTGCTTCCCGGGGTCAAGTGATTCTCCTGCCTCAGCCTCCTGAGTAGCTGGGATTACAGGTGCCTGCCACCATGCCCGGCTAATTTTTGTATTTTTAGTAGAGATGAGGTTTCACCATGTTGGCCAGGCTGGTCTCGAACTTCTGACCTCAGGTGATCCATCCGTCTTGGCCTCCCAAATTGCCAGGATTACAGGCATGAGCCGCCGCGCCCAGCCGAGTTCTATCTTAAGGTCAATTGATTGGGACCTTAATTACATCCATAAAATCCCTTCCCAATAGTAGCTAGATTTGTGTTCAGTGAATGTTGAATAGCAGGGAAGAGGTGTGTATATACCAAGGGCCTGGAATCTTGGGGGCTGTTAGGATTCTGCCTACCACAGACTCCCCAGAAAGATTACACAGATCTTGTTAGAGGAACCATCTTGCCCTCCTCCTTATCATCTCCTTACTGTCTGTAAATTGCACAGAGGAATCCTGGAAATGGCATCTCATTTCACTGCCTGCCTTTCCTTCTGGGCTTCGCTCTGCTCCTGACTCTGGTGCACTGAAGGATGCATGTTAATCACTTTGCAGCCTCCGGTGAGAGTACTCTGGCTTCTTGTCCCCAATGTTACTTGTGATGTTTCTTGAGGGTAGATGACTTGAGAAATCCACTAAATAAGGCCAGCGAGGGTGAGGGAAAGAAGGTGCTTACCATTTGTGATTTGTGATTGTCGCAGAATGTATAAAATGGATTCTTCGTTGATACTGTCTTGGAGAGAACTTAGAGCATTTAATAACCAAACAGTGGCACAAACTGTTTCATGATACTGGCATGAGAGTGCAGCAGGATTTGAACTTGTCCAAAGAAATTCAGGGCAATAACTGCCTGGATTAAAATAAGCCTTGTGCTCAGCCTGAATGCACATTCTTTGGACTCATTGCAGTCTCTTGGGAGTTAGACGTTGGCTCCTGAAACGATGTGATAGTGCTCCCTGGGAATTGGGAGACCCGGGAAATAGAAACCAGTTAAATGCACTAGAAATTTCAGAGCGAATGTGACCTGGGGATGTCAGTATCCAGAATATGACCTTGGATTCAGCAGGGGTGGTGTCTGAATATTGCCAACTGCCATATGGCTTGAGGAGAAGTCCATGCCCTTTGGAAAGTCACGGGTGTCTTGGGTGTGTGTGGGGTGGGGGTGTCCAGGTTAGGTTTCACTTGCAAGAAGGCTCTTTGTTCATAGTAGCTGCTGTTTTCTCTGAGCTAGTCAGCCTCCCCATGGGCTCCAGGACTTCTGTCTCTTCAATTTATTTATTTTTATTTATTTTTTGAGATGGAGTCTCAGTCTGTTGCCCAGGCTGGAGTGCAGTGGCTCAATCTCGAGTCACTGCACCCTCCACCTCCCACGTTCAAGCGATTCTCCTGCCTCATCCTCCCGAATAGCTGGGATTACAGGTGTCCACCACAACACCGGGCTAATTTTTGTATTTTTAGTAGAGTTGGGGTTTCACCATGTTGGCCAAGCTGGTCTTGAACTCCTGACCTCAGGTGATCTGCCTGCCTTGGCCTCCCAAAGTGCTGGGATTACAGGTGTGAGCCACCCCGCCCAGCCTGTCTTTTCAATTTAGAATGTACCAGCTTGGTTGCATGTAGTCTTGGTGTGGGGGTAACAGGTAGCAACTGCCCTATTGTCAAAAATGAATGTGTACTTGGGAGGCTGAAATGGGAGGATCACTTGAGACCAGGAGTTGGAGTCCAGCCTGGGCAACATAGCAAGACCCTGTCTCTACAAAAAATAAAAAAAGTGAATGTGGAATTGGGTTGTAAATTAGAAGTGGGTGGGTAGAAGCATCCACTGTAGAGAACTAATGATACCTGCGAGCTGGGGACTTCTTGGGAGACAGGAAGAGGAAGAGCCACAGAGACCTCTGCCTTCTATCCCCGGCTGGGTTTGCTGGCAGCACTGACTCTGTGTTCTCTCTCTCAGGCAACTGCGATGTCTGTGGACTGTCTTGGGCAGCATGCAGTGCTTTCTGGGTAAGTAAGCTTGCCGAGTTTGTCTGCCATGATTTCTGGAAACGATTTGCAAATCGGGGTTTCTGGGAACTTGGAAGCTATTCTTATATTTACGGATTATGATCATAGGGTTTAGTTCTGATATCCTGTTTGCCTCAGGGCTACTCGGAGGGATTATTTGCAGTTTATTTTAATCTCTGCCCTAATAGGTAAGCAATAAAACACCTTTGAAGTTTTAGTGACTGGTAGCTTGAACTTGAAATTGCAGTTTTCTGTTTACTGCAAGACTCAAGGATGTTTGCTACTACATACCTGAAGGATGAAATCTATTTTGGTGAAGCAGGTGGTTCCTAGGATTGAAGGAATCTGAGTTCCAGTTTGACGGTGCCACTAACTGTGAGCCCCTGGACATTTATTCAGTTTGGCTTAACTGGACTTTGGTTTTCTCATGAAGGAATTTGATTTCATCATGAAGGAACTGAATGACAAGTTTCTGTAGCATCTTCTGGCTCAAAATTTTTAAGACTGGCAATTAAGGGCCATCTCTGCTTTTCTAATAACCCTAACATCGTACTATTGGGATAAAATGTAATAATCAAGCCAGGCATGGCCTGTAGTCCCAGCTACTTGCGAAGCTGAGGCAGGAGGACCACGTGAGCCAAGGAGTTCAAGACCAGCCTGGGCAACATAGCAAGACCCCATCTCAAAAAAAAATTTTTTTTTTTTTTTGAGACGGAGTTTTGCTCTTGTCGCCCAGGCTGGAGTGCAGTGGCGCGATCTCGGCTCACTGCAACCTCTGCCTCCTGTGTTCAAGTGATTCTCCTGCCTCAGCTTCCCAGGTAGCTGGGATTATAGGCACGTGCCACCACGCCCAGCTCATTTTTTGTATTTTTAGCAGAGACAGGGTTTCACCATGTTGGCCAGGCTGACCTCGAACTCCTGACCTCAGGTGATCTACCTGCCTTGGCCTCCCAAAGTGCCTCCTAAAGTGCTGGGATAACAGGTGTGAGCCACCGTACCCAGCCAAAAATTTTTTTTTGATGGTCATGGTCCCCTTTTCCTTTCGTGTTGCTCTCGAGTACAGTCCTTACCTCTAGGATCCACTGTATTTTCATTAATGTAGTTGTTTATGAACCCATTTACAAATCAGTGAAAATATTTTCTTTTCTATCAGCTTCATTACTTTATTTTGAAATTATGTTTTAATTTACCTTTTTTAAAAAAGTATACAACATGGTAAACGTGTAAAAATTTCAGAAGGATATACAATGAAAAGTAAATTTCCTTCCTACCTCTGACCACCTCCCTGGAGAAAATTATTTATATCATTTTTTTGTGTGTCATACTGGGTGCCTAGATAAGGGAAAGTTGGTATCTCTTTTCTGCCTCCAGCTCCCTGCTCTTTTTTTTTTTTGAGATGATGTTTCGCTCTTGTTGCCCAGGCTGGAGTGCAGTGGCACGATCTCGGCTCACTGCAACCTCCGCCTTCCGGTTTCAAGTGATTCTCCTGCCTCAGCCTCCCGAGTACCTGGGATTATAGGCGCCTGCCACCATGCCCAGCTAATTTTTGTATTTTTAGTAGAGATGGGGTTTCACCATATTGGCCAGGCTGATCTTGAACTCCTGACCTAGTGATCTGCCCGGCTTATTCTCCCAAAGTCCTGGGATTACAGGTGTGAGCCACCGTGCTTGGCACACATTTTTACTATTTTTCAACATGATCTTGAATCTTTATATTTCATTTTCTTTCTTTTTTTCTTTTTTTTAGAGATGAGGGTCTTGCTTTGTTGCCCAGGCTGGTCTTGAACTGCTGGGCTCAAGTAATCCTCTCACCTTGGCCTCATTTCATATTCTCTCTCTCTCTCTTTCTCCCTTTTTCTCTTTCTTTCTTTTGAGACAGGGTCTCACTCTGTCACCCAGGCTGGAGTGTATTCGCTGATGTGATCTCGGCTCACTGCAGCCTTGACATCCCAGACTCAAGCAATCCATCTGCCTCTGCCTTGGCCTCTTGAAGTATTTTCTCTTCTTTTTAAAAAAAATTTAATTTAATTTTAAGTTCCAGGATACATGTGCAGGATGTGCCGGTTTGTTACGTAGGTAAACGTGTGCTATGGTGGTTTGCTGCACCTATCAACCCATCACCTAGGTATTAAGCCCCACATGCATTAGCTATTTATCCCGATGCTCTCCCTCCCCCTGGCCCCCCAACAAGTCCCAGTGTACATTGTTCCTCTCCCTGTGTCCATGTGTTTTCACTGTTCAGCTCACACTTATAAGCGAGAACATGTAGTATTTGGTTTTCTGTTCTTGTGTTAGTTTGCTGAGGATAATGGCTTCCAGCTCCATCCATGTCCCTGCAAAGTACATGATCTCTTTCCTTTTTATAGCTCCATAGTACTCCATGATGTATATGTACCACATTTTCTTTATTCAGTCTATCATTGGTGGGCGTTTGGATTGATTCCATGTCTTTGCTATTGTGAATAGTGCTTCACTGAACATATGCGTGCATGTATCTTTATTTTTATTTGTATTTTTTTTTGAAGACGGAGTCTCTCTGTCACCCAGGCTGGAGTGCAGTGGCATGATCTCTGCTCACTACAACCTCTGCCTCCCGGGTTCAAGCAATTCTGCCTCAACCTCCCGAGTAGCTGGGACTACAGGTGCACGCTGCCATGCCTGGCTAATTTTTTGTATTTTAGTAGAAACGGGGTTTCACCATGTTGCCCAGGCTGGTCTTGATCTCCTGAACTCAGACAATCCACCCACCTCGGCCTCCCAAAGTGCTAGGATTACAGGCATGAGCCACCGTACCTGGCCATATCTTTATAATAGAGTAATTTAGATTCCTCTGGGTACATACCCTATAATGGGATTGCTGGGTCAAATGGTATTTCTGCCTCTAGGTCTTTCAGGAATCTCTCACCTCTCCTACTCAACATAGTATTGAAAGTTCTGGCCAGGGCAATCAGGCAAGAGAAATAATGAATATTCAAATAGGAAGAGAGAAAAAAAAAAAGAAAAAAGAAAAAATAAATAGAGAGGAAGTCAAACTGTCCCTGTTTGCAGATGACATGATCCTATATCTAGGAAACCCCATTGTCTCAGCCCAAAAGCTTCTTAAGCTGATAAGCAACTTTAGCAAAATTTCAGGATACAAAATCAATGTGCAAAAATCACAAGCATTCCTATACACCAACAATAGGCAAGCAGAGAGCCAAATCATGAATGAACTCCCATTCGCAATTGTTACAAAGAGAATAAAATACCTAGGAATACAGCTAACAAGGGAAGTGAAGGACCTCTTCAAGGAGAACTACAAACCACTGTACAAGGAAATCAGAGAGGACAGAAACAAATAGCAAAACATTCCATGCTCATGGATAGGAAGAATCAATATCGTGAAAATGGCCATACCTCCCAAAGTGATTTATAGATTCAATGCTGTTCACATTAAACTACCATTGACATTCTTCACAGAATTAGAAAAACTATGAAATTCATACGGAACCCAAAAAGAGCCTGTATAGCCAAGACAATCCTAAACAAAAATAACAAAGCTGGAGGTATTACGCTACCCGACTTCAAACTATCCTACAAGGCTACAGTAACCAAAACAGCATGGTATTGGCACAAAGCAGACATATAGACCAATGGAATAGAATAGAGATATCAGAAATAAGACTGCACATCTACAACCATCTGATCTTTGACAAACTTGACAAAAACAATCAATGGGGAAAGGATTCCCTGTTTAACAAGTGGTGCTGGAAGAACTGGCTAGCCATATGCAGAAAATGGAAACTGGACCCCTTCCTTAAACCTTATAAAAAAATAAACTCAAGATGGATTAAAGACTTAAATGTAAAATCCAAAACTATAAAAACCCTAGAAGAAAATCTAGGCAGTACCATTCAGGACATAGGCATGGGCAAAGATTTTATGACAAAAACACCAAAAGCAATTGCAACAAGAGCAAAAATTGACAAATGGGATCTGATTAAACTAATAAGCTTCTGCACAGCAAAAGAAACTATCATCAGAGTGAACAGACAGCCTACAGAATGGGAGAAAATTCTTGCAACCTATTCATCTGACAAAGGTCTAATATCCAGAATCTACAAGGAATTTAAACAAATTTACAAGAAATAAACAACCCCGTTAAAAAGTGGGCAAAGGACGTGAACAGACACCTCTCAAAAGAAGACATTTATGCAGCCAACATATGAAAAAAAGCTCATCATTACTGATCATTAGAGAAATGCAAATCAAAACCACAATGAGAGACCATCTCTCGCCAGTCAGAGTGGCAATTATTAAAAAGTCAAGAAACAACAGATGCTGGTGAGGCTGTGGAGAAATAGGAATGCTTTTACACTGTTGATGGGAATGTAAATTAGTTCAACCATTGTGGAAAACAGTGTGGTAATTCTTGAAAGACCTAGAACTTTCATTTTCTTATATTGGGTTTTTTTTGTTGTTGTTGTTGTTTTGAGACAAGGTTTCACTCTGTTGCCTAGGCTGGAATGCAGATCACGGCTCACTGCAGTCTCGACTTCCAGGGCTCAAGTGATCCTTCCACCTCAACCTCCAAACTGCTGGGACTGCCGGCATGTACCACCACGCCTGTCTGGCTAAGTTTTTTTTTTTTGTAGAGACAGGGTCTCCCTGTGTTGCCTAGGCTGATCTTGAACTCCTGGGCTCAAGTTGATCCTCCTGCCTTGGCCCCCCAAAATGCTGGGATTATAGACGTGAGCCACTGCACCTGGCATTTTCTTATACTGAATTTTACAATATGTGTAGTAAATTGTATAAAGTGTGGTAAACTTAAGTAAATAGCTGAAATTTACAAATATATATACTCATGTAATCACCATTCTGATTAAGATACAGAAATTTTTTTTAGAACCTTGGAAGGTCCTTCAAATCTGGAAATCTGTATCTTTTAGTTTAGAGAAATGTTTCTGTATTATGTCTTTGATCATTTTCTCCCTTTTATTTTCCCATTTTCTTTCTCTCTCTCTTTTTTTTTTTTTTTTTATTTTTGAGACGGAATCTTGCTCTGTCACCAAGGCTGGAGTGCAGTGATGAAAACTTGGCTCACTGCAACCACCTCTGCTTCCTGGGTTCAAGCGATTTTCATGCCTCAGCCTCCCAGGTAGCTGGGATTACAGGTGAGCGCCACCAAGCCCAGCTAATTTTTGTAGTTTTATTAGAGATGGGGTTTTGCTGTGTTGGCCGGGCTGATCTCAAACTCCTGACCTTGGGTGATCCACCCACCTCAGCCTCCCAAAGTGCTGGGATTACAGATGTGAACCACGTACCTGACCTCATTTTCTCTTCTCATTCTTTCTTGTTGGAATTCCTACTAGTAGTCAATGTTGGATATCTTGTATGACTTTGCTTCTGGCCTCGTCAGTTTTGCCTTCTGGGAGTTTTAAACTTTAGCTTCTTTCTTTTTTTTAGATGGAGTTTCGCTCTGTTGCCCAAGCTGGAGTGCAGTGGCGCGATGTCGGCTCACTGCAACCTCTGCCTCCTGGGTTCAAGCAATTCTGCTGCCTCAGCCTCCCAAGTAACTGGGATTACAGGCTCACGCTGCCATGCCCAGCTAACTTTTTTGTATTTTAGTAGAAACGGGGTTTCACCGTTTTGCCCAGGCTGGTCTCAAGCCCCTGAGCTCAGGCAGTCTACCCGCCTCGGCCTCCCAAAGTGCTAGGATTACAGGTGTGAGCCACTGCGCCCGGCCTAAACTTTAGCTTCTAACACTACTTTCAGATTTAAAAAAAAAATTTCAACTATTTTAATTTTCAAAAAATTTCAACTATTGTTTTAATGTTTATTATTATTTATATTGTCTCTTAACTCTTGGAAAATATTGGTTCCAAGATTTTTTCTCTTCTGCATTTATCGCCGTTTCCTTTGAATTTCTTCTTTTCTTCTTCCTCTTTTTTTTTTTTTCTTATTGTTATTATTTTGGAGGGCGGTGGGGAGGCAAGGGAGGAGTTTTTTCTTTCCTTTTCTTTTTCTGTTTTGTCACCTAGGCTGGAGTGCAGTGGTGCAATCATGGCTCGCTGCAGCCTTGAATTGCTGGGCAAGCAATCCTCCCATCTCAGCCTTCTCAGTAGCTGGGAGTACAGGCACATGTCACCACACCTGGCTAATTTTATTTTATTTTATTATAATTTTTTTTTCTTTATGCAGATAAGGTCTTGCCAGGTTGCCCAGGCTGGTCTTAACTCCGGGCCTCAAGCGATGCTTCTGCCTCGGCCTGCAGCACTAAGAGTTCCAGTGTGAGCTGCTGCTTCCAACCATGAAGGCTTTTTTCCTTTCTGTTGCATTAGTCCCTATCCTTCAGGTTTCCTCCGGTGACTGAGATCGTTGGCTGCTAATGCTAAAGAGCGACTGGCATCTCTCTTTAAGTGGGTAGACGGTGGAGGAGATCAGGTGGGAACCAGGCCCTGTTAGTGGATGTCCAAATGTCATTGTCTGCAGAGTTTTGTTGTTGTTTGCTTGCTTTTGTTTTTTCCTGGGCTGGTTATTTTCTCCTGAGAAGTCTATCTGAAGAGTAAAAGGCAGAGTCGTGAGTGCTGCATAGAGAGAGGAATGACTTAGTGCAGCACTTCCCACTTCCCAGGTCTGGGGCTGCTCTAGGGGAGAATAGCACCCACTCTCCACTGAGGCAGCCACCTGGGTGGATGGGTTGCACATAACCCTCTCCTTAGTGTTTTTTTGTTGAGATGGAGTTTTGCTTTTGTTGCCCGGGCTGGAGTGCAATGGTGCGATCTCGGCTCACTGCATCCCCTGCTTCCCAGGTTCAAGTGATCCTCCTGCCTTGGTCTCCTGAGTAGCTGGGATTACAGGCATGCACCACCATGCCTGGCTAATTTTTTTTTTATTAGTCAGGGGTTTCTCCATGTTGGTCGGGCTAGTCTCGAACTCCTGACCTCAGGTGATCCATCCGCCTCGGCCTCCCACAGTGCTGGGATTATAGGCGTGGGCCACTGTGCCCGGCCTCCTTAGTGGTCTTTCAAACAGGTGTCCTAGTTTTGTTCTGCTTGTTGTCTTCTAGCCCTACCCCTTGCCCTTGTCTTGAGACAAAAGCCTCCAGTTGGGGGGAAGCAACTTGCTTCACACTCATTTCTCTCTCCATGTACTTTGGCTTTATTTAGCTTGTTTTTTTTTTTTTTTTTTTTTTTTTTTTGAGATGGAGTCTCAGCCTGTCCCCCAGGCTGGAGTGCAGTGGTGTGATCTCAGCTCACTGCAACCTCTGCCTCCCAGGTTCAAGCAATTCTCCTGCCTCAGCCTCCTGAGTGGCTGGGATTACAGGTGCCTGCCACCAATGTTTAGCTAATTTTTTAGTATTTTTAGTAGAGACAGGGTTTCACCATGTTGGCCAGGCTGGTCTCCCACTTCTGACCTGAGGCTATCCACCCACCTTGGCCTCACAAAGTGCTGGGAATAGAGTTGTGAGCCACCATGCCTGGCCTATTTAGCTTTCTTTAGATCAATTACCATTTGTCCACCTGTTTTTCATTTCCTGTCTCATTTTCTTTGTCTTTGGAGGTTTTTTGTCTTCTTTACTCTTATTATAGTGGAGCATTGGGGAAAATGAAGATAAACACCTATGTTCCATCAGGCGTGTTCACCCTGAAGTGCCCACTTTCTGCCTTTGTACATTTGCCCTGTAAAGTCTCTGCAGCCCCCTATTGATACTCACCTCACATGTATAGCTACTAGCCTTGTCCTGTTGTTCTTCTGATGGGACGATGCCAGCTGGCCATCGCAGGATCAGGTGATTCCTTTGGAGCAGGCCAGAGATTCTATGTGATATTTGTTCTGCACTTTCTTAGAAGTCCTGGAAATTCTGTGAAATTGTGTATTCCCCTGGCTTTTCTTCTTCTCCCTCCATCTTCTCTCCTCAGAGTTCTGCTACCACCTAGAGTTTTGTATGCCATTTCCTGGCTCTTCTGAGCAGGGATGATTAATCTTTTTCTTCATTTTTGAGCCTGCCTATTCTCATTGATCTCCAGGGGCTTGGAGTGGTCTCTAGCAAAGAATCAATAGCTGATGGCTGCAGAGATGTTGATTCACACACCAAGGGTATTTTACTTAAAAAGAAAATAGGTGAATGCAGAACCTCCCTGTTTTCAGATCCTTCATGTTGATTGGAACCTTAAACATTACTGGCACTTCATATGTTATTTTAATTATTATTCCTTTTTGTTGTTATTGTTAACCCTCCTGATAGATTTAGTTGAGTTTTCTTGACCAGGAAGTAGTAAGGGGAATTTTGAGATTTTCTGCTTCTACAGGATTTTGGCTTAGTAATAAGTGATATGTTTAATTTAACTCACATTTGTTGAGTGCAGAGCACTGAGCCTGGCGATGTGAAGCATACAGAGATATTCAAGACAGCCGGGCATGGTTCCTTGTGCCTGTAATCCCAGTACTTTGGGAGGCTGAGGCAGGTGGATCACCCGAGGTCAGCAGTTCGAGATCAGCCTGGCCAACATGGTGAAACTCCGTCTCTACAAAAAATGCAAAAATTAGTTAGGCGTGATGGTGGGTGCCTGTAATCCCAGCTACCCGGAAGGCTGAGGTAGGAGAATCGTTTGAACTTGGGAAGCGGAGGTTGCAGTGAGCTGAGATCATACCACAGTACTCCAGCCTGGGTGACAGAGCGAGACTCTGTCTCAAAAAAAAAAAAAAAAAGAAAAAAAAAGATATTCAAGACATAGTTCATTCTCTGAACACTTAGTTGATTCAGGACAAGAGCCTTAAATTATTAGTCCTGCTACAAGATAAATGCTGTGGTCAAAATGCAAACTATGCAATGGGAGTAATGTGGAATTAATTAATTCAGTAATTAACCCTAGCTGGGGGATTGGGAAAGGCTGGGAGAAGGGCAGGTTGGAGGTGAATCCAGACTCTCATGGATGGATGTGGTAGGGAAGGCCATCTCTGGAGGTGGGACTCTCACAGGGACACTTCTTCCCTTTGTGTGACAGCCACCTTGAATTACACTTGTCACTTCTTTGCCTTTCAGAGTAAATAAATGCCATGTGTGTTTGGGTTTTTTGGAGCACTGCTTGCAAATTGTATGCAATTCCAATTGTGCTTTTCTATCTTAATGCTAATGATGTTGTGTTTTTATACTATTATAATGTTGATGTTGGTCTCTAGCCGCAGATTCTTATACATCGTCAATCTAGATGCCCCTTTCGAAGGTCACCGAAAGATCTCTCGCCAGAGCAAATGGGACATTGGAGCTGTGCAGTGGAATCCTCATGACAGCTTTGCACACTATTTTGCGGCTTCGGTGAGCTTATTTAAGGAATACAGGAGAATGCTGTTAAATGTGTCATCTGGGGCTGGCAGATCTATGCCCTGTGTAGAGAAGAGAATGCAGTCCTCATTGCTCATTTGGAAAAGAGGTTTGGATGGTTCTGAGAAAAAGACAGAGGCAAGTTACGGATTAAATATACGTGGGAATGCTCGCTGGTCCCATCGGTGTCAGGCCTTGTATTACTAGGGACTGAATTCAGATTTTGAAAGGGAAACAGGCAGATGCATCCATTTCTGTGAGTGGTGAGAACCTGTTTCATCAGCAGCAATGTAACTAGCCAGCGGACAAATGGCAGATGACTTTGAAAGACATTCTAAGGAGGGTAACTGGCGAGCTGGTGTGGAGTTGACCTTCATTGCTTTCAGAGGGATCAGAAGACTCCCCCTACCCTTCTATTCAAAGGAAGGGATTCTTCCTTGATTGGGAATCATTAGATTTCGTTAACCCCATCAAATTCTATGTGCCTGTTTATGTGTGATTTTTTTTTTCCCTAGGGAAAACATGTATAAGTTTT
Organism: Homo sapiens; assembly: GCF_000001405.40. Classification (NCBI taxonomy): domain Eukaryota; kingdom Metazoa; phylum Chordata; class Mammalia; order Primates; family Hominidae; genus Homo; species Homo sapiens. Next base: position 74,955,933 of record NC_000016.10, on the reverse strand, counting down.
GTTAGGTTTTCTAATACAAAAATCTTTTCTTTATACAAAAAGATTCTGGACTACAACCTGTCTGGCATCTTTCTCCAGATTCTGTGTCACATTGTATTCTAGAATAATGAGAGATCTAAACTTTTTGCTCTTTTTGCATTGGGCTGGCAGGAGAGTATTTAAAGGAATTCTTCTGATTCACCAGGGGCAGGACCACTGTGCAGTCTGTCTCAGTCTGTTCTTGTCAGGAAAGGCAGTCTGCAGAAGGAAAGCAACTGAGCAAGGAAAGAAGAGCAACTTTGTCAGCTTGAGAAGGAACAGAAAGCCGCCCTTCCCAGCTATTTCCAAAATAGAGTCTGCCTTTAACTGTGGATGTCCGAGGTTGCGCTGATTTTCAGGGCTATTCTCAAAGAGAAAGGCAGAGTCAGTCTTCCTGCCTTTCTACTCTCAGGCCTCTTTCCTGAGTGCTAGAAGGAGCTCTTTTAGTTGGTTTATACCTCGGGACCCTTATTTCCCTCTCACCCTCGGCCCCTGATCGTCTAGTCCAGGGTTTTTTAACCTTGGCACTACTGGCTTGTTAGGTCATTCTTTGTGGTGGGGCTGTCCTGTGCGTTGCAGGAAGTTCAGCAGCATCCCTGGCCCTACCTGCTAGATCTCAGTAGTATGCTCCCCACCTGTTGTTATGACAATCAAAAATGTCTCCAGCCACTGTCAGATGTCCTCTGGGAAGCAAAATCACCTCTGATTGGGTTTAGGCTGACGCCTCAGTTGTTGTACTCAGTGGATTAACACTGCATTTGTTCGGGAGTGCTAACAAAGACAGCCTTTTTAAAATTTGTTCCTTCACAATTAATCATTTTAAAGTGAACAATTCAGTATCCTTCACTGCATTCACATGTTGTATAACCACCACCTCTATCCAATTCCCAAACATTTCTATCCCTCCCGGGTAAAACCCTTTATTCATTAAGCAGTTTCTCCCCATTCCTCCCTCCGTTGCAACCCCTGGCAACCACCAGTCTGCGCTCTGTCTCAATGGATTGATCTATTCTGGATCTTCCATAGACATGAAATCATAAAACAAGTGGCCTTTTGTGTCTGACTTCTTTTACTTAGCATAATGTTTTGAAGTTCATCCATGTTATAGCAGGTATCAGAACTTCATTCCTTTTTATCAGTGGATAATATTCCATTGTGTAATTGTTTATCTATCCGTCCATCCATCAGAGGACATTTGACTGGCTATTGAATAGAGCTGGTATGAACATATGTGTGGAGGTACTTGTTTTTGCTTCTTTTGGGTAAACATCTAAGAGTGGAATTGCAGGGTCATATGGTAATTCTGTGTTTAACTTTTGGAGGGAACCACCAAACTATTTCCACAGTGGCTAAACCTTTTATACTCCCATCAGCAATGCACAGAGTTCCAGTTTTTCCACATCCTCTCCAAAATTTATTTTTTGTATTTTTAAAAAAATTATAGCCATCCTAGTGGGTGTGAAGGTGTGAGGTGGTACTTTGTTATGTCTTTTTGTTTGTTTGTTTTGAGACAGAGTTTCACTCTTGTTGCCCAGGCTGGAGTGCAGTGGCATGATCTCGGCTCACCACAACCTCCACCTCCTGGGTTCAAGCGATTCTCCTGCCTCAGCCTCCCAAGTAGCTGGGATTACAAGCACACATGATCACGCCTGGCTAATTTTGTATTTTTAGTAGAGACAGGGTTTCTCCGTGTTGGTCCAGCTGGTCTCAAACTCTCGACCTCAGGTGATCCACCCACCTCAGCCTCCCAAAGTGCTTGGATTACAGGCATGAGCCACCGCACCCAGCCTTATTGTGGTTTTAGTTTATATTCCCCCAGTGACTAAGGATGTTGAGTATCTTATTGGCCACGTATATGTCATTTTTTTGGAGAAATGTCTATTCAAGGCCTCTGCCCTTTTTCTTTTTTTTTTTGAGACGGAGTCTCGCTCTGTCACCCAGGCTGGAGTGCAGTAGTGCTATCTCAGCTCTCTGCAAGCTCCACCTCCCGGGTTCACGCCATTCTCCTGCCTCAGCCTCCCAAGTAGCTGGGACTACAGGCGTCCACCACCATGCCCGGCTAATTTTTTTGTATTTTTAGTAGAGACAGGGTTTCGCCCTGTTAGCCAGGATGGTCTCGATCTCCTCACCTCATGATCCGCCTGCCTCGGCCTCCCAAAGTGCTGGGATTACAGGCATGAGACACCACGCCCGGCCTTGCCTCTGCCCTTTTTCGAATTGGGTTGTTTGCATTTTTACTGTTGAGTTGTAGGAGTTCTTTATATATTCTGGATATTAGACCTTTATCAGATGTATGATTTGCAAATGTTTTCTTCCCTTTTGTTGATTGTCTTTCTGCATTCTTGACAGTGTTCTTTGATGCACAAAAGCTTTAATTTTAATGAAGTTTATCTGTTTTTTTCTTTTGTTCTTGGTTGGAAGGCAACTTTTTTTTTTTTTTTTTGAGACGGAGTCTCGTTCTGTTGCCCAGGCTGGAGTGCAGTGGCGCCATCTCAGTTCATTGCAGCCTCTGCTTCCCAGGTTCAAGGAATTCTCGTGCCTCAGCCTCTCAAGTAGCTGGGACTACAGGCACGTGCCACCATGCCCAGCTAATTTTTGTATTTTTAAGTAGAGATGGGCTTTCACCATGTTGGCCAGGCTGGTCTCTAACTCCTCACCTCAAGCGATCCCCCTGCCTCAGCTTCCCAAAGTGCTGGGATTACAGGCATGAGCCACTGCCCCTGGCTGGAAGGCAACCTTTTGAGAAAGCTTTAGTTAGGGAAATCTGAGGTCAAGTCCTAGTTTTAACATTCTGTCTTTTATCTTGAGAGGCCCCACAATTTTCTGAGCCTTGCTTGCCTCATCTATAATGTGGGTGATGATACCCGCTGTGTCGTGTGCTGGGAGAGGTCAGAGGCCAGATTCGTTAAGGTGGACTGGCACTAGCAGACCCTCCAGAAATGGCAGGGAATATTATTAGAAGAGGGAACTTTTCTTTTCATTCCTATTCTCTTTGGAAGCTATTTTGAATCCTAACCTTTTCACAAGAATCTTACCTTTTTCAATTTGGAAACTGGTATTTCAGGACAAAAATCTCAGAATTTTATACGTCTGTCTGTCTCTGAGCTAAAATGACAATCAGTCTAATGTGTATATATATATATATATAATTTAAAAAATTATTAAGTAGCCTGCCGTTGTTTTCAGCCTACTAGTAATCTTTATCACTTTCAGTGTGTTTCATAAAGTCATGATATGTCGGGAGCCTTTGCTGTTTTGTTGTGTATTTAAGTGAAATGTACTTTGATGGAAGTTATTTTTCTATTGTAGCTGTGGTTTCTTCTGGTCCATTTTCCTTGTCACTTTCTGCTTAACCCTTTAAGAAATTAAATACAGGCATTATTTCAAGGAGTGTTAAATAATTTTGCCTTCTAGGACACCCTTTTGAGGATCTTTCTTCTTTTCTTTTCTTTTTTTTTTTTTTTTTTTTTGTTTGAGATGGGGTCTTGCTGTGTCACCCAGGCTGGAGTACAGTGGCACAATCACAGCTTACTATTGCCTCGACCTCCCAGGCTCAAGCGATCCTCCCACCTCAGCCTGTCAAGTAGCTGAGACCACAGGCATGCACCACCATGACTGGCTAATATTTAATTTTTTTTGTAGAGATGCGATCTGGCTATGTTGCCCAGACTGGTCTTGAACTCCTGGGCTCAAGCAGCCTCTTAAAGTGCTGGGATTACAGGCATGAGCCACCAAGCCCAGCCTCTTTTTTCTCTCTTATGCACCTATGTTTTTAAAGTGACACGGGACCCAGTTGTGATGGCGCAGTCCTCACACCTCACACCTTATCCCAGCTATCCTAGACTCTGAGGCAAGGGGATTGTTTGAGCCTAGGAGTTCTAGAAAAGCGTGGGCAATGTAGATCCCATCTCAAGAAAAAAAAAAAAACAAAAACCTGTGGTAGGTGGACTCTGGGCATTTGGTCATGGAAGGGTGAGCTGGAGACATCCAGTGTACCAGCAGCTGGGGAGACGAGTGTGTGACCTTCAGAGGGAGGAGGTTCCTCTAGTGGCCGGGACATTTTCCTGGCCCATGAAGCTCGTCTGCAGAAGTGCTTCTGCACCTTCAGTTCAGCTGTGACTGTTCAAGATGCATCTCTTAAGATAGTCCTGCCTTTCCATTTTGAGATTCACAGACCTACATACTGAGCTGAAGTTAGCTCAAGCTAATGTTAATTGTACTTATTCCTGATGGCTTTTTAAAGAAAAGTTCAGCCTGAAGGATCTTTGCCATGCATGAGATCCCTGGCTTCCTCTTCACTGCCTTAAGCTGATTGGGGCAAGACCATATATCCCAACATACTTGCCTGTGGCCTTCTTTCCTTTCTTTTCAGAGTAACCAACGAGTAGACCTTTACAAGTGGAAAGACGGCAGTGGGGAAGTTGGCACAACCTTACAAGGCCACACTCGTGTCATCAGGTAGGCACCAGCCCTCCACAGCTCTTTGGCTGTCTTGCTTTGTCACAGTCCCCTGGGAACGAAATGATGATGCCGTCCTCCTTGCATGGCTTGACTGTCTGTGTTGCACAGGTCCCGGGTGGTCAGCGGGTTATTAGCATTCACTGAGATGGTGGTGAAGAGCACAGTGAGGAACAGCCGGCATTTAGGAAGTACCATCGCGTAGCTGTTGACCCCCATCCCAGACCATATCCCGGATGGATATAGTCCAGTCCAGGGTAAAGGATTAGAGCTGACTTTTTTTTTTTTTTTTTTTTTTGAGACGAAGTCTCACTCTGTCGCCCAGGCTGGAGTGCAATGGTGCGATCTTGGCTCACTGCAACCACCGCTTCCTGGGTTCAAGTGATTGTCCTGCCTCAGCCTCCAGAATAGCTGGGATTATAGGTGTGCACCACCACGCCCGGCTAATTTTTTTTTTTTTTTTTTGTGGAGACAGGGTTTTACCACGTTGGCCAGGCTGGTCTTGAACTCCTAACTTGAAGTGACCCACCTGCCTTGGCCTCCCAAAGTGTTGGGATTACAGGCGTGAACCACTGTGCCTGGCCTAGAGCTGATTTTCAACATAGGAGAGGAGTGGTTATGCAGCAGAATCCCCCAGTTCATGATCAGTGGTGCCTGGGAGGACATGTGGATGTCAGGGAGTGGCCCTTGGCTTTCTCTCCGGCAGCAGCGGTTACAGAGCTCCTGCGTCACAGTTCATTACCCAAGGGCACAGCCGCCTCCCAGTCGAGGCTTCCAGTTGGTTTCGAGTTTTCCTTGATCCACTCTTTCCCTGGGTCACTGTTTCTGGGCTAAGCTGACCTGGAAGTGCTGGGAAAGGTGAGACACCTGGGTTGGGTGGAATGTTCTGTGCAGTTGCTGCCTGTCTAGGAAGGAGAACATGGGTAGGGGACACCACAGGCCTCTGGCCCTCTCTGGGTGCTGCATGGCAGTGTGGCAGTTTGCCGCTGCTTAAGGATGTTGGGTTTACCCAAGGTGCCTCTGGTGGAATTTGATTTAGAAAATGATAAAGATTACTTTATGTGTTTTTCCTTTGTTTGTTTATTTAGAGAGAGAAATTTTGTTTGTTTGTTTGTTTGTTTGTTTGTTTTGAGATGGAGTTTCACTCTTGTTGCCCAGGCTGGAGTGCAGTGGCACGATCTCAGCTCACTGCAACATCTGCCTCCCAGGTTCAAATGATTCTCAAGTAGCTGGGATTACAGGTGTGTGCCACCACGCCTGGCTAATTTTTGTGTTATTAGTAGAGACGGGGTTTCACCATACTGGCCAGGCTGGTCTCGAACTTGTGACCTCAAGTGATCTGCCCGCCTCAGCCTCCCAAAGTGCTGGGATTACAGTCGTGAGCCGCTGCGCTCAGCCCAGAGAGAGAATGTTTTAAGTTGAAGCACTCCATTTCTTTTCTGGGAGCAGATGATGGTATAGCTGGCGAAGGACCTGACAGTTTCCTTCCAAACTCATGTTCGTTCCCAAGGAACTTTGGAGATTCTCAGCCTAAACCACATTAAGAAGCCCGTTAATGATGACATTCTGAAGCCACTGGAGACTCGATGTGCTAGTGCTTTGGACCTGGACTCTGAATTTTTTTCCTTTTCTTTGTTCTGTTTATTCTTTGTGTCCCAGCGACTTGGACTGGGCGGTGTTTGAGCCTGACCTCCTGGTTACCAGCTCTGTGGACACCTACATCTACATTTGGGATATCAAGTAAGAACAATTAGGAGGCATAACCACTTGGTTGGGGGTGATTTGGGACCTTTGTTTTAGAGATCAAGTGTCTTAGTTTGGTTTCCCCTCGATACAGACCTCGAGACAAGTTTGAGTGAGAGATTTGAGCGCAAATATATTATTTGAGAGTGAAAGACACAGTTGTAGGGGGATAGAGAAGAGAGCCAGGACCTCTCCAGGCAAGACCTTAAGGAGAACTCTTCCCTAGTTAGAGTCTGTCCTCCCTCCCTCCCTCTCTCCTTCCCTCCCTCCTTCTTTCCCTCCCTCCCTCCTTTCCTCCCTCATTTTCACCCTTCCCCCTTCCTTCCTGTCTTTCCTTCCTTCCTCTCTTTCTTTCCTTTCTTTTTTTTTTTTTTTTTTTTTTTTGAGACAAGGTATTACTCTGTCACCCAGTCTGCAGTGAAGTGATGTCATCTCAGCTCAGTACAGCCTTGAACCCCTGGGCTCAGGTGATCCTCTCACTTCAGCCTCTTGAGTAGCTGGGACCACAGGCACTTGCCACCATGCCCAGCTAATTTTTATTTTTTTATTTTTTATTTTTGTGGGGACAGAGTCTTGCTGTGTTGTCAGGCTGATCTCAAACTCCTGGCCTCAAGCAGTCCTTCCACCTTGGTGTCCCAAAGTGTTGGGATTATAGGTGTGAGCCATTGTACATGGCCTGTAATTTGTTTTCTTTCTTTCTTTCTTTCTTTTTTTCTGAGACAGAGTTTTGCTCTTGTCGTCCTGGCTGGAGTGCAATGGCACGATCTTGGCTCACTGCAACCTCTGCCTCCTGGGTTCAAACAATTCTCCTGCCTCAGTCTCCCGAGTAGCTGGGATTTTAGGTGCCTGCCACACGTGGCTAATTTTTGTATTTTTAGTAGAGATGGGGTTTCATCATGTTGGTCAGGCTGGTCTCGAACTCTGACCTCGGGTGATCCGCCCACCTTAGCCTCCTGAAGTGCTGGAATTACAGGCATGAGTCACCGTACCTGGCCAGCAGGTCTCTCTTTAGACTTCTTTTTAAGGCCCTCACAGCGGATCTACCTACTCCAAGTTCCCACTGAAAGGAAAGCGAAGAATTGTGTGCAAAGGGTGAAAAATACCAGGTGGGTGGTGGCATATAAATTGGGGATTTGATTTTTTATTTTTATATTTCAGAGACACAAGGAAACCTACTGTTGCACTGTCTGCTGTTGGTGAGTGTATGCTTCTCCCACCTCACCCTGGCGCCTTGGTTTGTCTTCATTTTCTTCCTTCCAGTTCTTTCCCGTTCCTTCCTATTCCTTTCCATCTCCCTCTCTAACTGCCTCTGTCTGGGCTGCGCCGTGGCTGAGTGGAATTGTAAGTCTCATGTTGTTGCAAGGGGCTCACTTTAGGCTGCTCCCAGAAGCCACAGTTAGGACTGTTGGGTGTGGAGCAGGACCTCATATCAGAGTCCAAGGACAAGAGCCAAGATGATTTGTTTGTAACCTTTTTATAGTGGAAAATTTCAAACATTCTGTAAAAATAGGGAGAAGAAAATGAACTGCCTGTGTTCATCGTCACCTTCAACACTTGTCATCATACATCCAATTTTATTTCATCTTTTCCTCCACCCACCATTTCACCTCCACCTTCATCCCCCTTGTGATTTTTTTCTTTTCTGAGACAGAGTCTTGCTCTTGTTGCCCAGGCTGAAGTGCAGTAGTGCAGCCTTGGCTCACTGCAGCCTCTGCTTCCCAGGTTCAAGCAATTCTCCTCCCTCAGTCTCCCAAGTAGCTGGGATTACAGGCGCCTGCCACCACACCTGGGTGATTTTTGTATTTTTAGTAGACACAGGTTTCACTGTATTGGCCAGGCTGGTCTTGAACTCCTAACCTCAAGTGATCTTCCTGCCTTGGCCTCCCGAAGTGCTGGGATTACAGGTGTGAGCCACCATGCCCGGCCCTCTTGTGATTATTTTGAAGCTACATATCTTATCATTTCTTCAACAAGTATTTCAGTGTATGTTTTGCAAAAGAAGAATCCCAATATCATACTTAAAAATACCTAAAAATATTAACAGTAACTCTTTAATATCATCAAGTATCTAAGCAGCATTCAGATTTCCCCAATAGTCTCTCTCTCTTTTTTTAGTTACAAATTGTTTGAAAAATGGTTTCAGTGAGAATCTAAATAAAGTCCATACCTGTAAGTGGTTGATATATTTCTCATCTTTTTAAGTCTGTCTCCTTCTCCTTTTTGGGTTTGTGTTTTTCTTTTCCTGTAGTTTATTAAAGCAATAGTTCATCCTGTGGTTTCTCCACAATTAGATTACACTGATTGTATCTGCATATTTTTTTTGTTTTGTTTTGTTTTTGAGACAGAGTTTTGCTCTTGTTGCCCAGGCTGGAGTGCAATGGCGGGACTACAGGCATGTGCCACCATGCCCGGCTAATTTTGTATTTTTAGTAAAGATGGGGTTTCTCCACGTTGGTCAAGCTGGTCTTGAACTCCCGACCTCAGGTGATCCACCCGACTTGGCCTCCCAAAGTGCTGGGATTATAGGCTTGAGCCATCGCGACTGGCCCATGGTGTTGTTTAACATGGATGAACCAAGTCTTTGTAGTTACATTCTGATCTACCTGTTTTCATTGCTTAGTTGGAACTGACCTTTTCTGGAATTCTCAACTGGGGCTACTAGGGAATATTCCCAGCACTTCCTGAGAGTAGAATGTGGAATAGAACTGGTATAACTTATTTACAGAGATAAAGCTAAATTGTCAATATTTTGACATCCTTTATAAAAGCATGTGTTATCTGTCTCTTAAATTCTGTCCGTTTGTATCTCCTTGGTGCATTGGAACACACATTTGGTGTTTGCTCTGAAATGGTTACTGTACATGGTACTTTTTCCCTCTGTACCCCACGCCTTTTTATGTAAAGGCCTTTAGCATCATGACTGTATTAGCAGCTGGATGATATGATTTGTGAAGTTAGAAACCACTTCTTTCTTTCTTTTTTCTTTTTTTTTGAGACAGATCCTCACTCTGTCACCCAGGCTGGAGTGCAGTGGTGGAATCTCAGCTCACTGCAACCTCCACCTCCTGTTGTTCAAGCGTTTCTCCCACCTCCGCCTCCCGAGTAGCTGGGATTACAGGTGCGCACCACCACACCCAGCTAATTTTTGTATTTTTAGTAGAGACAGGGTTTTACCTTGTTGGCCAGGCTGGTCTCGAGCTCCTGACCTCAAGTGATCTGCCTGCCTCGGCCTCCTAAAGTGTTGGGATTATAGGCGGGAGCCACCACACCCGGGCAGAAACCATTTCTTTCTTATTCAGTTCTGTAGACGAGTGTATGTATTTGTGCGCTACAGGCATTTGTGCCTGATCCAAGGAGATACTTAATATAGTAATACAGTAATCCCCCCTCATTCTCAGGGGACACAGTCCAAGACCCCCATTGGATGCCTGAAACCACAGATAATACTGAACCAAATATACTATGTTTCTTTTCTGTACATACATAACTAGGATAAGGTTTAATTTATAAATTAGGCACAGTAAGTGATTAACAGCAACAACTAATAATAATAAAATAGAACAGTTGTAACACTGTACCGCAATAAAGGTTATGTGAATGTGGCCGGGTGTGGTGGCTCACGCCTGTAATCCCAGCACTTTGGGAGGCTGAGGCGGGCGGATCACCTGAGGTCAGGAGTTCGAGACCAGCCTCAACATGGAGAAACCCCGTCTCTACTAAAAATACAAAATTAGCCGGGCGTGGTGGTGCATGCCTGTAATCTCAGCTTCTTGGGAGGCTGAGGCAGGAGAATTGCTTGAACCTGGGAGGTGGAGGTTGCGGTGAGCGAGATCACGCCATTGCACTCTAGCCTGGGCAACAAGAGCAAAACTCTGTCTCAAAAAAAAAAAAAAAAAAAAGTTATGTGAATGTGGCCTGTCTCTCTCTCTCTCAGAACGTCTCCTTGTACTGTACCGGGAGTGACTCACACTGTAGAAGGTGGACCCGCGGATAAGGGGGACTGAGCATTTGTTGCATGGATAGATGAATCAAACCCCTGTGCTTCTGCGCTAAGTGCTTAACAGTTCCACTGCTCTGCCCCCCGCCACCACCTGCTTTAGGTACTTATGATCTGAGACATAGACTGGCTGCAGAGGGCGTATAACTGAATAGAAATACAGGTGGTCTACAGATGCCTCAATCACATTCTCCTGACTTTGTTACTTACATTTATAGGTTTCTTTTTTTTTTTTATTTTTGAGACAGAGTCTCGCTCTGTTGCCCAGGCTGGAGTGCAGTGGCATGATCTCAGCTCACCGCAAGCTCTGCCTCCCAGGTTCTCGCCATTCTCCTGCCTCAGCCTCCCGAGTAGCTGGGACTGCAGGCGCCCGCCACCATGCCCGGCTAATTTTTTTGTATTTTTAGTAGAGACAGGGTTTCACTGTGTTAGCCAGGATGGTCTCGATCTCCTGACCTCATGATCCACCCGCCTCGGCCTCCCAAAGTGCTGGCATTACAGGCGTGAGCCTCTTCGCCCGGCCACATTTATAGGTTTCTAAGTTAGATTAGTTTTAGGGAAACCCTAAAAAGGACGGTGGTTCTTTTTTTATTTGAGATGGAGTCTTGCTCTGTCGGCCAGGCTATAGTGCGGTGACACGATCTTGGCTCACCGCAACCTCCGCCTCCTGGGTTCAAGCGATTCTCCTGCCTCAGCCTCCCGAGCAGCTGGGACTGCAGGCATGGGCCACCACACCCAGCTAATTTTTGTAATTTTAGTAGAGATGGGGTTTCACCATATTGGCCAGGCTGGTCTCTAACTCCTGACTTTGTGGCCTACCTGCCTCGGCCTCCCAAAGTGCTGGGAGTGAGCCTCTGCGCCCAGCTGAAAGTGGTTCTTTTTTTAGCCTGCCTGTTCTCATTGCTTTTTTTTCTGTTATAGATCTTTCTTAAAAAATGGAAGTAGAAGACTTCTTTCCTTTGTACTCAGTGAGGTTTCTCAGTGGTGCAGATCTACCCTGGGGGAAAAGAGGCAAGTGAGAGGCTTGTGGACCTTGATAAGCTGCTGGATCTAGCATACCCCGAGTGGTACAGCCTCGGGTACTGCCTGCTTCCCAGAGCCTGTGGTCCCCATCTCTCAGGGGGCACATTATTCATGCCCTTTGGGATAGGGAGTCACGTTGTGAGTATTCCAGAGTGTTCTCTGTGTCTGAGAGTTCTCATAGCCCGGGACCTCCATTCGACCCTGGTGTAATGATTTTTTTTTTTTTTTTTTGAGACAGTCTTGCTCTGTTGCCCAGGCCTGAGTGCAGTGGTGCAGTCTTAGCTCACTGCAACCTCCCCCTACTAGGTTCAAGCAATTCTCCTGCCTCAGTCTCCCAAGTAGCTGGGATTACAGGTGCACGCCACCACACCTGGCTAATTTTTGTATTTTTAGTAGAAACAGCGTTTTGCCATGTTTGCCAGGCTGGTCTTGAACTGCTGACCTCAGGTAATCCGCCTGTCTCAGCCTTCCAAAGTGCTGGGATTATAGGTGCAAGCCACTGCGCCTGGCCTCTGGTATAATGATCTTGATAAAGCAGGTTGCATTGAGGGGGCTTCCCAGAGTCCCTTGGGAGCCCTCGAGTTCTGATGCCTCCCCACTGGGAAAGGTGTGTTCTCTTGGACTCTTAAGTAACTCTGTCAAGGAGGTAGAGCAAGCTCTTCTCACTCACTTTCTCCTCCAGCTGATATCCTTCCGTGCGAAGAAGCCACCTCCTAATACTCTTCCTTGCTTCATCTTCACTGGTCTCCACCATTTGTTCTAGATGACATAAGATACCTTATGTCTCAAGAAAGAACAAGACAGACAAATAGTGTCATCAAAACCAACACAGCATATCCTTGGACAGGACCAAGTTCTGGGCTTAATGCTGTATGTCCTGTTAGATTCTGAGTCATTGCTCTGTCCTACTCTGGACTTCTTGGATCAAGTAGCTCCCCAAAGCTGTGGATCTACTATGGGCTTCCTCAGTAATAAACACCAGGCAGAGGGACAGGTGTCACAGCAGTAATGTCATGTGTGCTGTGAGCAAGGGCAGGAGGAGACAGGAAGGAGTGCTGTCACTTCAGTTCTGGTTTGGTTCTTGATTAATGATTTATTTTTTAAAAGTCAGCTAGAGGTGCCACTGTGTCCCAGTTTTCCATGTCTCAGCTCTTTCTGGCATCTCACATTATGCCTCCTGTCTTAAGTAGCCCTTTTGTCACTAATGTATCAATGACACTCTGTATTGGCAGAGAGGGAAAAGGACTGAGGTCACATACTGCCAAGGGTGTTCCCTTTCCCTTATCAGTGTGGTGCCAGTGGCCACGGCTGACATAGCTGATGGGGAGTGGGGTGCGGGGAGCATGTAACCCTTAGGACAGAATTGGTCAACATCGGGGCTTATTCTGTAGCTGGTCTTCAGCTAAGGCTGTGTTTTTCTAAGACTATTGCTCAACAATTAAAAAAAAAAAAAAGGGGGCAGGCATAACAGCTGAGGCTGTTCTAATTAGGAGTGCGAGCAGGTGTCATTTGGGGATGAGAAAGGGTCAGGTTGTGTGACAAGTCAATTACTAGCCAGCAGTGCCATGCTCAACTACTGCTCTGTAAGAAACTATGTTTTCCTGCTGATTCTGCTCAGAGTGACCTGTAGATTTTTTCCCCTGAGATTATTTCCTCAATTAGGTGACTATGATCCTGTTCCCATGTGTTAATTCATTTATTTTTTGGCTTCATTTTATCTGGAATAGTGGAGTTGGTGCAGTCACAGAAACTTGAAGGGTTCTGGGCTTATTCAGCCAGAACTCATTATCCAGCTCCCCTGGCTGTGCTCTGCTCTGCTTCCGAAAGCACCAAGGGCAGCAGCTTTCTTCCCTGATTTTTCTTTGCAGCGGGTGCCTCCCAGGTCAAATGGAATAAAAAAAATGCTAACTGCCTTGCCACCAGCCATGACGGCGATGTGCGGATATGGGATAAGAGGGTGAGTAATCTCTTTTTTCGCCCTTATTGGTCTTTGATCCCTCCCAGAGGGTGTGAAGATGATTTTATGAGTGCCAGGACTTGGCTTGAGAGTCTGGGGAACCCTGTGCAGCATGGTAAATGACCATTTTAAGCTCATAGTACCAGACGATATTTGCGTCTCAATCCAGTGTTGAAGGAAACTAGGGAAGTGAGACATTAGGAACAGTGGTTGAAAAAATCAGCTCCATTTTGCCACCTCCTAATTATGACACCAGGTAAGCCACCGTCACTTCTCTTAACCTCAGTTTCCTTCAAAATAAAGACACTAACAGTGTGTGTGTCAGTGGGGTTAAGCCGTGGAGCCCAGGCGCTATTCTAGAATTGTCAGCAGGCTTCTTATCCCTGCCCCTGCTTGCAAAGTGAAATGTATTTGTTCTCGGATGCCTGCCATCCTGAATACTTCCAATAACGATGAGCAAGGTAGGGTGCTCATGATGCTTACATTTACTCTTACAAGCCTAGACATCCCATCAGCCTCAAAGTATTGTGCATATCACTCATACGTTCTTACTGCAGCAGCCCATGGACACCTAGAGATGGAAACAGTGCTGGGTCCTTGGCTGTGGCTGTAATGGAAAGTCTACTGAAGTTGATTGTGTTGGCCTCAGTGAGGGTCGTGGCACAGGGAAAAGGCCTCCCCTGCATTGACTGCCAGACTGTTAGGTAATAATGAACAGAGCCATCACTGCCATGAGACCTGGGTGTAAATCCTGCTTCCTGCCTGTGAGACCTGGGGCTACAGATGCTCAGGCATTGTGGGGATGGCTTGTTCAGGGATGTCCCCACTGTCTTATCTTCCGGCTGCTCCCTTCCCTCCATACGTTTGGAAGAGAAGCGAGAAGTGGAGCAGAGATCAGGCGTGGCAGATCCTGTCTGCTGCATTAGGCTCCAGGACATGCTGGGGAAGCCTTATGTGGCAGAAGCCCTCTGCCTTAGATAGCTCTTAGGTGAGAAGGTGATTTCATAGAGGTTGGGCAGGTGCATCTTCTTTTTTTTTTTTTTCTTGAGACAGAGTCTCATTCTGTCGTCCAGGCTGGAGTACAGTGGGGACCTTGGCTCACTGCAACCTACGCCTCCCAGGTTCAAGCAATTCTCCTGCCTCAGCCTCCCCAGTAGCTGGGACTATAGGTGCACACCACCACGCCCAGCTAATTTTTGTATTTTTTAGTAGAGATGGGGTTTCACATGTTGGCCAGGATGGTCTTGAACTCCCGACCTCAAGTGATCTGCCCACCTCGGCCTCCCAAAGTGCTGGGATTATAGGCGTGAGCCACCACGCCTGGCCACATCTTCTATATGTTAGTTTTTGTCTTCTGTTCCTTTATGGCCATTTTCCCCTTCTTTTTTTTTTTTTTTGAGATGGAGCCTCATTCTGTCACCCAGACTGGAGTGTAGTAGTGTAACTATGGCTCACTGCAGCCTCGACCTCTTGGGCTCAAGCTATTCTCCTGCTTCAGCCTCCTGAGTAACTGGGACTACAGGTACATGCCACCACACCCAGCCAATTAAAAAAAATTTTTTTTTTGTAGAGACAAGGTTGCTGAAGCTGACCTCGAACTCCTGGGGTCAAGCGATCCTCCCACCTCAGCCTCCCAAAGTGCTGGGATTACAGACATGAGCCACTGCTCCTGGCCTTCTTTATTTCCTAACTAGTGATTGGTTTTATTCAGTTTGTCACTATAACAGCATTTTCGGCTGGGCGCGGTGGCTCACACCTGTAATCCCAGCACTTTGGGAGGCTGAGGCGGGTGGATCACGAGGTCAGGAGATCGAGACCATCCTGGCTAACATGGTGAAACCCCGTCTGTACTAAAAATACAAAATTTAGCTGGGCGTGATGGCGGGCGCCTGTAGTCCCAGCTACTCGGGAGGCTGAGGCAGGAGAATCGCTTGAACCCGGGAGGCGGAGCTTGCAGTGAGCCGAGATCGCGCCACTGCACTCCAGCCTGGATGACAGAGCAAGACTCCGTCTCAAAAATTAAATAAATAAATAAAATTAAAATAATGATACTTAGGACTTCTGCTCAGGTGAGTTGTAGAACTTGTTGATTATATTTTCACTTCTCTGGCACTTTGTAGTGTCAAAGCAGCACTGATGGCAGCAAGCATTACAGACTTCACAAAGTTCAGTGTCAGTGCTAACAGTGGATTTTAATCCAGACTCATGTATGACTATCATATTAACATTTACTGAGCATTTATTGTACATAGGCCTTCTTTTAAGAGTTTTACATTTATTGATTAATATCTCTTTATAATTAGCCTTTAAAGTACATGTTTTTGTTTGTTTGTTTTTGTTGTTGTTTTTTTTTTTTTGGGAGACAGAGTCTCACTCTGTTGCCCAGGCTGGAGTGCAATGGCGCATTCTTGGCTCACTGCAACCTCCACCTCCCAGGTTCAAGCGATTCTCCTGCCTCAGCCTCCCGAGTAGCTGGGATTACAGGTGCCCACCACCACGCCTGGCTAATTTTTTTATTTTTAGTAGAGACAGGGTTTCACCGTGTTGGTCAGGCTGGTCTTGAACTCCTGACCTCAGGTGATCCATCCGCCTTTGCCTCCCAAGGTGCTGGGATTACAGGCGTGAGCCACTGCGCCTGGCCAGTGTGTGCTATTATTATCCCTTTTTTACAGATGAGTAAACTGAAGCAAATTTGCTGCCAAAATTTGAACCCAGGCAGGCTGGTTCTAGAGACTGCTCTCTGTTTTTTGTTTTTGAGACAGTCTCCCTCTGTCTCCCAGGTTGGAGTGCAGTTGCACAATCATAGCTCACTGCAGCCTCAAACTCCTGGACTCAAGTGATCCTCCCAGCTGAGTAGCTGGGACTGCAGGTATGCACCACTATGATGAGGTAATTAAAAAAATTTTTTTCTTGTAGAGATGGGAATCTTACTGTGTTGCCCAGGCTGGTCTTGACTTTTGGTCTCAAGTCATCCTCCTGCCTTGGCCTCCCAGAACACTGGGATTATAGGTGTGAGCCACTCCACCCAGCCTGGAGACTGCACTCTTATCCTCATAGACTAATGCTAATTATGGAAGTAATACATGCTCTCTGTAGAAAATATAAATGAAAAAATAAAAATCATTCATAATCCTACTACCCAGAGACAAATGCTAACATTTTGGTGTTTTCTGTTCTTATGCTTTTTTTTTTTAAACTTAGTTTGTCGTACTGTGTACGTAGTTGTGTACACTTTTTTTTCATTTAACATTAGAACAGATGCATTATCCTCGTACTATAAGCTCTAAGTATAATTTTCAGTGGCTACATCATATTGTATCATCATTTGGTGTCGCATAGCTGTAGTATATTGATTCAGCTTCATTATTTCCCATTTGTTGATCATTTAGGTTTTTTTTCTGGTTTTCTAGTGTTTCAGATAACACCAAGATGAACTTCTTTTATATCTAAAGCTTTTTGTGAGTTTGGATTATTCCCTTAAGACAGGAAAAATTTTGGGCTGGGAAAAGTGGCTCAAACCTGTAATCCCAGCACTTTGGGAGGCCATGGCAAGAGGATTGCTTGAGGCCAGGAGTTCGAGACCAGCTTCACCATGTTGGCCAGACTGGTCACAAACTCCTGACCTCAGGTGATCCACCCACCTTGGCCTCCCAAAGTGCTGGAATTACAGGCATGAGCCACCGTGCCCGGCCTGTTTATTTTCTATGCTTATTAATCATGTATTGTTTTTTTTTGTGATGTACATTCATTCTCCTTTGGAATCTTAGTGCTCCATCACTTTAAGATGCATGGTTTTACCCTCTTGTTGAAGCTGAGTCCATTTGGATGTCTCAGTCTCTCTTCTTGGGTGATCATGGGGGAGACGAGTGGGAATTGTCAGACTGCACTGTTAAAGTGTGAGGCCGGGCACAGTGGATCGTGCCTGTAATCCAGACACTTTGGGAGGCCAAAGCAGGGGGTTCGCTTGAGCCCAGGAGTTCAAGACCAGCCTGGACAACATGCAAAACCCCATCTCTAGAAAAAATACAAAAAAATTAGCCAGGCTTAGTGGTGTGCACCTGTAGTCCCAGCTACTTGGAGGGCTGAGGTGGGAGGACTGCTTGAGCCCAGGAAGTTGAGGCTGCAGTGAGCTGTGATCGTGCCACTGCACTCCAACCTGGGTGACAGAGCAAGACTTCGTCTCAAAAAACAAAAAAGGGGGTGAAAAGCACCTACTACCTTGTATCCTTCATTGAAGTGGGAAGAAACGAGGCTCACAGGCGCATTTTCAGAGCATGTGAAGGAGCGTTGGATAAGTCTTTTGGTGATGGTGTTTTGTTTGGCTTAACCAAAACAAACAAAGTCTGTGTAGGGTAGAGACAGTATCTGGTAGTATTTTTGCATCCTCACTCACTACCTAGCAGACTTTTACGTGATAGACACTCAAAGAGTTCTTTCTAAATCGATAATATTAGGTGCTGATCTGTTGCAGAAACCCAGTACAGCAGTGGAATATCTAGCCGCCCACCTCTCCAAAATCCATGGCCTGGACTGGCACCCAGACAGCGAGCACATTCTTGCTACCTCCAGTCAAGACAATTCTGTGAAGGTCAGTGGCACCCATGGGGAAGTTGGAGGAGCAGTGTTTGGGTGGCATCAGGGATGTATGATTCCACCTTGGTTGGAAAGCTGCAGTGTGTTAGCACAGTATGTATTTCACGGTGCATGTGCTTCTTGGGCAACTGAACACATAAATTTGGTTATGCTGACCAGCAAAATGCGACAGAGCGAGACCCAGCATGGTGCTGTTCAGCATAACCACATTGTGTTATGATGGCAGAGTGACATGCCATAGCATCTCCTCTGATACGTCTCTTAGAATTTGTTCAGAAGGTTTTCGTCTTTCCCTTTGTGAAAGGAAGTCAGAGACAAAAGTACTTAGAAAGGGAAAGAAGTTGGCCGGGCATGGTGGCTCACACCTGTAATCCCAGCACTTTGGGAGGCTGAGGCAGGCAGATCACTTAAGGTCAGGAGTTCAAGACCAGCCTGGCCAATATGGTGAAACCTAGTCTCTACTAAAAATACAAAAATTAGCTGGGTGTGGTGGCGCACACCTGTAATTCCATCTACTTGGGAGGCTGAGACACAAGAATCGCTTGAACCTGGGAGGCAAAGGTTGCATTGAGCTGAGATTGATCCACTGCACTCCAACCTGGGCGACCGAGCGAGCCTCTGCCTCAAGAAAGGGAAAGAGGTTCCCTTGCGAAGAAGCTGCAAGGAAGTCAGATATGTATGACAGATATAAGTAAAGGAGAAAAGTCTACAGTTGTTAAGGTTTCAAAGTTTACAATTAGTCTATTCCTGGTGGAAAAACAGCTGCTCCCTCACATGCTTATCGTATGTAGAAAGTTCTGACGTTTTCAGGCATCAGCATTTCACAGTTCAGGGATAGAGTCATTTTATTAGTGATTCTCTAACTTACAGGAAATGCTCAAGATTTTATGTGTTTCAGTAACCCGATTATTTCTGGTTTATCACAAGGTACAGTGTTGTTTGTTTGTCTTTCCTCTCTGTGACATGGGATGTTCACCCTTGGTCAGAATGATGGCAGGGCAGAGTCATCTTTGTTCCAGTAGTTCCTCCTTGTGGTCAGGTCTCTGAGGACAGGGGTTTGACCACAGAAATTGGTTTAGCAATTTTATGATTCAGTGTCATTTATTTAATGCTTTGTTGTATTTATATAGTCATATATGACATCTTTGTGGTATGATTAGCAAAACTACAGTCATATACTAAGTTAAAAGTTAACTCCTGTCTTGAAGTTTGTAAATCTCTTAGGGTTGTAAGTTATTTTTAATGTGTCAGATGTGACTTTTTTGTTTGTTCGTTCGTATTACGTTTGATTTTTTGTTTTTATTTATTTATTTATTTTTTGAGACTGGGTCTCACTTTGTCACCCAGGCTGGAGTGCAGTGGTGTGATCTCGGCTCACTGCAACCTCCGCTCCTGGGTTCAAGCGATTCTCCTGCCTCAGCCTCCTGAGTAGCTGGGATTACAGATGCACGCCATCATGCCTGGCTAATTTTTGTATTTTTAGTACAGACAGGGTTTAACCATGTTGGCCAGGATGGTCTCGAACTCCTAACCTCAAGTGATCCGCCCATCTCGGCCTCCCAAAGTGCTGGGATTACAGGCATGAGCTACCATGCCCGGCTGCATTTGGGTTTCTGTCCCTGTACCCCAATCAGCTTGTCTCCCAAGTTCAGGAACCAGAAGCCATCCAGTTCAACTCTACCTCTTTCTATGAGATGCCCAAGTTTGTTGATACTCAGTGTCATCTTTCCTACCTGTGAGTCTGGGGTTTCCTAGGTAATAAAGCAGGTAACAGCCAGTTTCCTGGGAGGACTTTATATATTTTTTCTTTATATATAGATATATACATATCTATATAGACAAAGAGAAATATAAAGAAATATCAGAAGAGCCTTGGTCAAAAAAGAACCAGGTTTCCTTGAGGGTTGATGTCCTAGGAAACAGACTCAAAGCTACGTGTTTCTCACCAGAATGTACCAAGGGTGGTCGGGCATGGTGGCTCATGCCTATAATCCCAGCACTTTGGGAGGCTGGGGCATTATTTCCCCATACAAAGTCTTCTCTGTTCTTTACCAGCAGGCTTAGCTTATTAATGAAATGAGATTTTTGGCATGGTATTTGATTTATTCCACTATATCCTAGAAGGAAGACAATTTTTTTTTTTTTTTTGAGGTGGAGTCTTGCTCTGTCACCCGGGTTGGAGTGCAGTGGCGCGATCTCGGCTCACTGCAACCTCCGTCTCCCAGGTTCAAGCGATTCTCCTGCCTCAGCCTCCTGAGCAGCTGGGATTATAGGTGCATGCCACCATGTCCAGCTAACTTTTGTGTTTTTAGTAGAGATGGGGTTTCACCATGTTGGCCAGGATGGTCTCAATCTCTTGACCTTGTGCTCTACCTGCCTTGGCCTCCCACAGTGCTAGCAAGACAATTTTTATTGAATGTATGTAAATAGCATGATCATAAAAAGTGAAGAAACTTAGAAAAGGGACTTTGCATAACATTCAACCATTTTTTTAGTAGATAAGGACCAATATGTGTAATTTTTCTACATAATCATTTTTAAGTTTATATGACAATTTATTAGCTCATAATTTATATTAATTATTTTTATTATATTTTTATTTTCTAAATTCTAAGGGGTCAGCTGGAGCAAGGTATCACTAAATGTGTATTTCACTTCAGTTTATAAATTATTTAACTACAAAACAATTGAGTTGAAGGTTAGGGATAGATCAAGAAGAAAGAAAAGAATTTTTCTTATGTGGCCCTTAGAAATAGAACATTAACTACAATTAAATGAGTTTATATCATTTTACATAATCTTTTTTTTTCCCTGATCTTGGGTTAACAGCAGCCTATTTCACAAAATTGCTGCCTTCTAGACAAAGAGAGTCCTGGAAATCCAGACATAGTCACTTGGTACATTCTTTTTTTTTTGAGACAGAGTCTTGCTCTGTTGCCCAGGCTCGATTGCAGTGGTGTGATCTTGGCTCGCTGCAGCCTCTGCCTCCCAGGTTCAAGCAATTCTCATGTCTCAGCCTCCCTCAGTAGCTGGGATTACAAGGGTGCACCAACATGCCAGGCTAATTTTTGTATTTTTAGTAGAGATGGAATTTCACCATGTTTGCCAGGCTGGTTTCAAACTCCTGACCTCAAGCATTCTCCCTGTCTCGGCCTCCCAAAGTGCTGGGATTATAGGCATGAGCCACCATGCCCGACCACCCTTGCTACATTCTGGTGAGAAACATGTAGCTTTGAGTCTGTTTCCTAGGACATCAACCCTCAAGGAAACCTGGTTCTTTTTTGACCAAGGCTCTTCTGATATTTCTTTATATTTCTCTTTGTCTATATAGATATGTATATATCTATATATAAAGAACAAATATATATTTTGTTTCACTGTCTTGCCCAGGCTGGTTTTGAACTCCTGGGCTCAAGCAGTCTTCCTGCTTCAGCCTCCCAAAGTGTTGGGATTACAGGCGTGAGCCACACCTGGCCCCTGATATTTCTTCAGAGGACTTTTTTCTGATCTGTAGCTTGTAGCAGGGACCCTTAGAAAAGGGTAAATGAAAAGGAGAAATTATCTGTGAATGGGGGGATGGAATGGCTCCGGTTAATTTATAATAACTACCTGTATCAGATTGAAATAGAATGAAGTCTTCTGTTTGCAAATGACATATAATCGTTTTATAAGACTGCATCAGTGATTGCCTTGAGAGCAAGAGCATGTTATGAACAGTGAGGATATTATCAAATCTCCAGGGTCCTCTAATTAATCCCATAAATTGTATAATTGTCACCAGTTGGTGAACATATTTAAATCTAGAAACAAAATCTTTCTTTTTTTCTTAAAAAAAAAGGATTAATCTTGCTAACAGTTATATGCCAGTCTTTATGCATGAACGTGAATATGTTTCTATCCAAATTGAAAAGTAAACAGTTGCTGAAATGTATTCATATTAACAACATTTTACTTGTATATAATTAATCTGGGGAGGCTGAACTTTTCTTTGCTAGCTTTCCACATACTGTGGATTTGATAATAGGGAGGCATGCACAGTGTAGAGCTCATTAAAAATCTGCAGAATGACAAGCATATCTAATTATTTTGAGTATCATTCCTTTTATAAGTTGAGGGGCGAATTATAGTTTACCCTGTGGCCATGTGGGAAACCCAAAAGTAGTTTAAGCTGAAAAGACATCTTGACCATTTTATTATTTTGAACATAGGACCTGAATTTGGCAAAAAAGAGTTGTTATATAAGGGTCTAAAGATAAGAAATGGCTGGTGCGGTGGCTCACGCCTGTAATCCCAACACTTTGGGAGGCCGAGGCGGGTGGATCGCCTGAGGTCAGAAGTTCGTGACTAGCCCCACTAACATGGTGTAACTCCATCTCTACTAAAATTACAAAATTAGCTTGGTGTGGTGGTGCAGCCTGTAATCCCAGCTAGTTGGGTGGCTGAGGCAGGAGAATCGCTTGAACCTGGGAGGTGGAGGTTGCAGTGAGCTGAGATCATGCCACATGCACTCCAGCCTGGGCGACAAGAGCTAAACTCCATCTCAATAAATAAATAAATAAAGATAAGAAATGATTGCAGTCTTGATATATAGTGAAACTAAAGTTAAATACAGCAGTAAGTGATAAAAATTATTAAGAATGGTAGCATTTTTAAAAAACAAGGGATTTAGGCATATGATTCATGAGCTTTATGAAAAACACAAAAAGTAACAGTATTTTGGTGAATCTCTGCTCTCTAGGTGTAGACTGAGTTTTTACTGTTTTAAACAAATGATGTGCTCAGAGATCAGTTGCTGTTTAAATGGAAATAAAACCTACATTTTAGGTGTGATTTTTCTTTTTTAGAGACAGGATCTCACTGTGTCACCCAGGCTGCACTCCAAGTGGCATGATCACAGCTCACTGCAGCCTTGAACTCCTGGGCTCAAGTGATCCTCCCACCTCAGCCTCTGAAGTTGCTAGGACTACAGGTGTATGCCACCATGTCAAATTATTTTGTTTTTTTTGTAGAGGTAGGGTCTTGCTATGTTGCCCAGGCTGGCATTTTAATTTTATTCCTTTTGTGTACTATCCATATAATGTTTTGCACAAAAATCTTTTCCACAAGGCATTTTTTACAAGAAAATCCATAACATTTGGCCAGCTTTGTCAACATGTAATATATAAGGCGAAATTATTCCATTTTTCTCCTTGATAAATCAAGAAACACATGTATTATCTTGCAAACACATCCTCTTACAATCATAGATAACATTTGACATTTTTAAGGCAGCAGAAGTAAGCATGTATACTAATGTGATCGAAAGGTATTTGTAAATCCTTTCACCCTATTAACTGGACAATCAATAAACAATCAAGACTGGGCATGGTGGCTCACCCCTGTAATCCCAGCACTTTGGGAGTCTGAGGAGGGAGGATCACTTGAGCCCAGGAGGTGGAGACCAGCCTGGCCAACATAGTGAAACCCCATCTCTACAAAAAATAAACAAATTACCTTGGTGTGATGGTGCATACCAGTAGTCTCAGCCACCCATAAGGCTGAGGTAGGAGGATTGTTGGAGCCGAGGAGGTTGAGGCTGCAGTGAGCTGTGATCACACCACTGCACTCCAACCTGGGTGACAGAGTGAGACCCTGTCTCAGATAAATAAATAGTATCAAAATAAGGAGCCAGGATAGTTGTGTGTGTGTGTGTGTGTGTGTGTGTGTGTGTGTGTAAAAATTATGTTTCATGACTCAATTTTCAAAAGATACTCTTGGCTGGGTATGGTGGCTCATGCCTGTAATCCTGGCACTTTGAGAGGCCGAGGTGGGAGGATCCCTTGAGGACTGGAGTTTGAAATGAGCCTGGACAACATAGTGAGACCCTGTTTCTAAAAAATAAAAAAATAGCTGGGCTGGTAGCATGCACCTGTCATCCCAGCTACTCAGGAAGCTAAGGCAGGAGGATTGCTTGAGCCCAGGAGTTTGAGGCTGCAATGAGCTGTGATCAGACCACTGCACTCCAGTTTAGGTAAGAGTGAGACCCTATCTCTTAAAAAAATAAATAAATAAAATAAATATATATATGTGTATATATAAAATTATGCTTAAACATTATATATTCAAAGGTTATTCATTAATATTAGTTCAAGGTCTTAAAGATTTTGAAATTATAATTTAAGTTGATATTATAACACAGGAGCAAAAGTTTATATTAAGAGTTTGTTAAAGAAATATTAAACATATTTACCTTGATACTGTAATGGAATAGCTAAGTTGTTCTTTTTTTTTTGAGACAAGATCTTGCTCTGTTACCCAGGCTGGAATACAATGGCACAATCACAGCTCACTTCAGGCTTGGCCTCCTGGGCTCAAACGATCTTCCCATGTCAGCCTCCAGAGTAGCTGGGACTACAGGTGCAAGCCACAATGCCTGGCTAATTTTTGAGGTTTTTTTAAGAGATGGGTCTCCCCATGTTCACCAGGCTGTAGACTCAGCTCTTGTGATCCTTATTATTATAGAAAGTTCAGCCGGGTGCAGTGACTCATACCTGTAGTCCCAGCACTTTGGGAGGCTGAAGCGGGCAGATTGCTTGAACTTAGGAGTTTGAGACCAGCCTGGGCAACATGGCAAAACCCCATCTCTGCAACAAATGCAAAAAATTAGCCAGGCATGGTAGCAACCACCTGTAGTCCCAGCTACTTGGGAGGCAGAGGTGGGAGAATAGCTCAAGCCCAAGAGGTCGAGGTTGTATTGAGCCAAGATTGTGCCGCTGCACTCCAACCTGCCTGAAAAAGGGATACCATCTCTCAAAAAAGAAAAAAGAAAGTTCATAAGAGCAAACATTTTTTTAAAAGCATCAGTTGTTTTCATTCATTCGATTTAATGTAATTTTTATATTTTAATAATTTTAAATATTTTGTGGAAATGATAACTCCTGTAATTCATATAAATAGTTACATAATTTAGGAAGTTTAAATTAATTAAGCTTTCCATGAGAAAATAAACCCAAGGCTTATTTAAGTTAGAATAGTATGTTAAAAATCAATGTTTATACTGTGATAAAGTCAGGAAAACACACATAGATATTTATAAATCCAAATTATCAAACTACATAGTCTGATTTCTCCAGGGATTCATCTTCATTAGAACATTACCTGAACTTTTTTCTTCCCTTTTTCCTTTTTTTTTGGAGATGGAGTCTTGCTCCGAGACATTACCTGAACTTTTTTCTTTTCTTTTCTTTTCTGTTTTTTTTTTTTTTTTTTTTTTGAGATGGAGTCTCTCTCTGTCATCCAGGCTAGAGTGTTGTGGCACAATCTCAGCTCACTGCAACCTCCTCCTCCTGGATTCAAATGATTCTCCTGCCTCAGCCGCCCTAGTAGCTGGGATAACAGGTATGTGCCACCACACTTGGCTAGCTTTTGTATTTTTGGTAGAGACAGAGTTTCACCATGTTGGCCAGGCTGGTCTCGAACTCCTGACCTCAGGTGATCTACCCACCTTGACCTCCCAAAGTAGTGGGGTTACAGGAGTGAGCCAGCGTTCCTGGCAGAACTTTTTTCTGTGTTTATATATTAATTAAAAAAAACTTTCATAAAGTTTGTTTCAAGGTACTGGAATTTTTTTCCATTTTTCTTTATTTGATTTTTGTGTTTTGTTTTTACCATGTTTTCAAGCTTCTTATTTTATATTCTACCATTCACAGCCATTAATTTAACTCACTGCTGATTTTTCCCTGAGGTACACCTTCAGCAAGGATTTGAGAGTTTTTTGTTTTGTTCTGTTTTTCGTTTTACTGTTTCCATTTTTTAAAGAGAAATTTATGGGTAGCTAGTAGGTGTATATATGTATGGGGTACATGAGATATTTTGATACAGGCATATAATGAGTAATAATCACATTAGGGCAAATTGGGTGTCCATCACCTCAAGCATTTATCATTTTTTTCTGTTATAAACATTCTAATCATACCCTTTCAGTTGTTCTTAAATGTACAATAAATTATTACTGACTATAATCACCCTGTTGTGTTGTCAAATACTGGCTCTTTTTCATTCTGCCTAACTATATTTTTCTACCCATTAACCATCCCCACTTCTGGCTCCCCCCGCTCTACCCCACTACGCTTCCCAGCCTCTGGTAACCATCATTCTGCTCTCTATCTTCATGAGTTCAATTGTTTTAATTTTTAGCTCCCACAAATGAGTGAGAACATGCAAAGTTTATTTTTCTGTGCCTGGCTTGTTTCACTGAACATAATGTCCTCTAGTTCCTTCCATGTTGTTGTAAATGATAGGATTGCATTCTTTTTCATGGATGAATAGTACTCCATTGTGTATATGCACTACATTTTCTTTTCCGTTTGTCTGTTGATGAACATTTAGGTTGCTTCTAGACCTTGGCTATTGTGAGTAATACTGCAATAAATATGGGCATGCAGATGTCTCTTCGCTATACTGGTTTTTTTTCTTTGGGGTGTATACCTAGCAGTGGGGTTGCTGGATCATATGATAGTTCTATTCTTTGTTTTTTGAGGAATCACCATACTGTTCTCCATAGTGGCCGTACTAATTTACATTCCTACCAACAGTGTATGAGAATTCCCTTTTCTCCACATCCTTGCCAGCGTTCATTATTGCCTGTCTTTTGGATAACAGCCATTTTAATCGGTGTGAGATGATATCTCATTGTAGTTTTGATTTGCATTTCTCTGATGATCAGTGATGTTGAGCATCTTTTCATATACTGTTTGCCATTTGTATGTCTTCCTTTGAGAGATGTCTGTTCAGCCGGGCGCAGTGGCTCACGCCTATAATCCCAGCACTTTGGGAGGCCGAGGCAGGTGGATCACGAGGTCAGGAGATCGAGACCATCCTGGCTAACACAGTGAAACCCCGTCTCTACTAAAAATACAAAAAAATTAGCTGGGCATGGTGGCGGGCGCCTGTAGTCCCAGCTATTCGGAAGGCTGAGGCAGGAGAATGGCATGAACCCGGGAGGACGAGCTTGCCGTGAGCGGAGATTGTACCACTGCACTCCAGCCCGGGCGACAGAGTGAGACTCCGTCTCAAGAAAAGAAAAGAAAAGAGAGATGTCTGTTCAGATCTTTTGCCCATGTTTTAATTGGATTATTAGATTTTTTTCCTATTGAGTTGTTTGAGATTCTTATATATTCTGGTTATTAATCCCTTGTCACATAGATGGTTTGCAGATCATTTCTCCCATTCTGTGTATTGTCTCTTTTATTTTTTTTGAGACAGAGTCTCGCCCTATCATCCAGGCTGGAGTGCAGTGGTGTGATCTCAGCTCACTGCAGCCTCCACCTCCTGGGTTCAAGCGATTCTTGTGCCTCAGCTTCCTGAGTAGCTGGGATTACAGATGCACACCACCACACCCGGATTATTTTTGTATTTTCTTTTTTCAATTGAGACAGGGTTTCGCCATGGTGACCAGGCTGGTCTCGAACTCCTGACCTCAAGTGATCTGCCCGCCTTGGCCTCCCAAAGTGCTGGGATTACAGGCATGAGCCAGTGCACCCATTTCATTGGAGTATTTTAACATAAAACTAAGGATAATTGCATAACTTCTTTCAATGTAGCTATCCCACGTAAGGTAAATCTGGCCTTACAAGAACAGGGAAAAAAGCTGGGCGCAGTGGCTCATACCTGTAATCTCAGCACTTTGGGAGGTTTAGGCAAGCAGATCACTTGAGCCCAGGAGTTCAAGACCAGCCTGCGCAACATAGGGAGACCTCGTCTCTATAGAAAAATAAAAAAAATTAGCCGGATGTGGTGGTGTGCCCTTGTAGTCCCATCTACTCACAAGGCTGCTGAGGCAGGAAGATCACTTGAACTGGGGAGGTCAAGGCTACAGTGAGCCATAATCCTGTCACTATACTTCAGCCTGGGCTGCAAAGTGAGATTCTGTCTTCTGTCTCAAAAAAAAAAAAAAAAAAAACCTGGATGCAGTGGCTCACACCTGTAATCCCAGCACTTTGGGAGGCTGGGGTGAGTGGATCACGATGTCAAGAGATTGAGCTAATCCTGGCCAACATGGTGAAACCCTGTCTCTACTAAAAATACAAAAATTAGCTGGGCGTGGTGGTGCATGCCTGTAGTTCCAGCTACTCGGGAGGCTGAGGCAGGAGATTCGCTTGAACTTGGGAGGCGGAGGTTGCAGTGAGCCGAGATCGCGCTACTGCACTCCAGCCTGGCAACAGAGCAAGACTCCGTCTCAAAAAAAAAAAAAAAAAAGAAAGAAAGAATAAAGAAAAGGGGAAAAAAAGGAATCCTTGATACCTTCCTCTTCAAGTCCAGCATCTGGTTCTTTAAATACACATCTCATGTGACATGGAAACGATCTTTTGAAAAAAACAGCCATGGAGTAGTTTCTCTTGCTGCCACCAAGTGTGTCCCTTGGACTGAAAATGAGAAAGCTGAGTTTTGTGTGTGTGTGTGTGTGTGTGTGTGTGTGTGTGTTTTTTAAAGAGCAGCAAATCTAAAACATCAGAAGTTTTTTAGAAGTTTTATTTTTTTATTTTCTTCCTGGAAATTCTTTTTTTTTTTTTTTTTTTTGAGATGGAGTCTCGCTCTATTGCCCAGGCTGGAGTGCAGTGGCGCGGTCTCAGCTCACTGCAACCTCCACCTCCGGGGTTCAAGCAATTCTCCTGCCTCAGCCTCGCAAGTAGCTGGGACTCCAGGCGTGTGCCACCATGCCTGGCTAATTTGTGTATTTTTAGTAGAGTTGGGGTTTTGCCATGTTGGCCAGGGTGGTCTTTAACTCCTGACCTTAGGTGATCTGCCTACCTCAGCTTCCCAAGTGCTGGGATTATAGGTGTGAGCCACCGTGCCTGGCTTCTTCCTAGAAATTCTTGAGTTTTCTCATTTTATGTTTAGCTACTTGATTATTAGTCTTCATAGTGAATCAAAACAGAGATGCCATTAAATTTAACAGTTATGCCATCTAAACTTTTCAATCTAAATCATTAATTTTTTTTTGGAAATAGGCAAAATTATGCTAACACTTCTGCTCAGAAATGATTGCATTCATCTCTTCCCACGTACTCAATGGAAGAACCTCATCCAGCCCTCAGGCAGGCTGGGGAACTAAGCAGGATTTTACAGCTGGGTGTTTGCCCGTTCATATGTGCTGTGCTCTGTAATGCTTGTTCATTCATATTGTGCATTAAGTAGAGGAACAGCTTCTAAGATTTATTAACACCTCATTGTTGGCACATAGAACTCTCCCTTGCATTCCAGCTTGGCTCATTTATATATTTCCTTGGGATATCCTCATTTTCTTTTGAGAGGAGAAAAAGTCACCCACTTCGAACTCTAAATTTTTCAGAAGGTTATGAAACTCCAGACAAGTCATTTCCATTTCCATTCAGGCTTATTCCCAAAGTTATTAACCAAACCAAGCAAAACCTTTGGAAAGTCTCTTCTTTTGCTCTAAAACAATGTAAAACCAGTTTTAAAACATTTTGATATTTTAAAGTTTAGTAAGAGATTTTTGGGCCTGAATATATATCCCTATACTTTATTAAGTCTCTAAAAGTTTTGAAACAGAGAAGGCCAGTGTGAGAGTACACGTGTGGATCATCCCCTTCTACAGAAAAGGTTATGATTATTAAAGGCCATTATCAAAACTGGTTTCTTTTGTAAGAAGGAGGAAAGTACTTCTTACATCTGTGGCTTGTTGGCCATCCTCACTTTGGGGAAATTTTCAACCTTTATTCTGTCTTCAAATATTACTTCTGTTTCATCCCTTCTCTTTCCTTTCCTCTGGAACAATGATTATACATCAGCTGGGCGCGGTGGCTCATGCCTATAATCCCAGCACTCTGGGAGGCCGAGGTGGGCAGATCACCTGAGGTCAGGAGTTCGAGACCAGCCTGGCCATGGTGAAACCCCGTCTCTACTAAAAATACAAAAAATTAGCCAGGCGTGGTGGTGCGTGCCTGTAATCCCAGCTACGTGGGAGGCTGAGGCAGGAGAATCGCTTGAACCTGGGAGGCGGAGGTTGCAGTGAGCCGAGATCACACCATTGTTCTCCAGCCTGGGCAACAAGAGCAAAATTCCCTCTCAAAAAAAAAAAAAAAAATTTATTAGACTTTTTCACTGTTTTCCATATAGTCTGATATACTTTTTTTTTTTTTTATTAAAAACATTTTTTTTTGAGACAGGATCGTGCTCTGTTGCCCACACTGGAGTGCAGTGGTATGATCATAGCTCACTGTAACCTTGAACCCCTTGACTCAATCATTCCTCCCACTTCAGCCTCCCAATCAGCTAGGTGAGGAGACAGGGTCTTGCTTTGTTGCCCAGGCTGATCTGGAACTCCTGGCCTCAAGTGATCCACCTACCTTAGCCTCCCAAAGCACTGAGATTATAGGCATGAGCCACTGTACGAGCATTGAAAACCTGTGAAATATAACATATGCAGAGTTGCATATAACTGCCCACACAGGGTATCAAACAGTTCCATGACACTGAAGAGCTACCTCGTGTTATTCCTTTGCACTCATACCCTTTCCTACCCCTAACCTCTGGCAACCACTTGTCTGTTCCCCATCACTATAATTTGGTCTTTCTGAGAATGCTTTTTTTTTTTTTTTTTGAGATGGAGTCTTGTTCTGTTGCCCAGGCTGGAGTGCAGTGTTGCCATCTTGGCTCACTACAACCTCTGCCTCCCGGGTTCAAGCAATTCTTGTGCCTCAGCCTCCTGAGTAGCTGGGACTACAAGTGTGTGCCACCATGCCCAGCTAATTTTTGTATTTTTGGTAGAGATGGGGTTTCGCCATGTTGGCCAGGCTGGTCTTGAACTCCTGACCTCAAGTGATCTGCCTGCCTGCCTGCCTTGGCCTCCCAAAGTGCTGGGATTACAGGCATGAGCTACCACACCCGGACTAGTATATAACCTTTTAAGGTTGTCTTTTTTTCATTCAACGTAATGCCTTTAAGAGTCATCTAAGTTGTTTTAAAAATTAATAATGCATAGACTTTTTAGTACTGAGTAGTATTCCACTTATGTATATGCCACCATTAATTTTCTGTTGACTCATTTAAGGACATTTGGACCATTTTTGGTTTTTGGTGATTGTGAATAGAGCCACTATAAACATTCATATATGGGTTTTTGTGTGAACAGATACTTTCAATTTCCTAGGGCAGTTATGTAGGAGTGGTATTGCTGGGTCATATGGTATGTGT
This sequence comes from Homo sapiens, assembly GCF_000001405.40. Classification (NCBI taxonomy): domain Eukaryota; kingdom Metazoa; phylum Chordata; class Mammalia; order Primates; family Hominidae; genus Homo; species Homo sapiens. The sequence goes on along the minus strand of NC_000016.10, from coordinate 74,924,950 downwards.
ACTTTTAACTTTATAGGAAATTGCCAAAGTGGCCGGGAGTGGTAGTTCATACCTGTAATCCCAGCACTTTGGGAGGCCGAGGTGGGAGGATTGCCTGAGCTCAGGAGTTCGAGACCAGCCCGGGCAACATGGCAAGATCCCATCTCTATTAAAAAAAGAAATTGCCATAGCGATTTCCAGAGTGATTGCTGTCATCTATTTTTGAAAAAATTTCCTAAACTTAAGCAGTTCCGAGTTTCACTCTTGGCTTTCCTGCCTTTGTGACAAATGCTGGAGTTCTAAGCGTATGTGTCTCTCACGTTAGAAGCATAGGTGTCTCTAAGGTAGTTTGTGTGGCTCACTTTGTGTGCTCTACAATTTCAAGAACTGCACCTCAGATGTTGGAGGATGACAGCAGGTGTGGACTTGAATGGATTGGCTCCTAGGTTTTCACACAGCTGCCTTTTTTCTTTGTGACCTTGCACATTATGTCGTTTCTTTATATAGCCTCTACATTTGAAAAAGAGATTAATAACATATATGGTTGTTACAAAGATTAAATGGGAAAAAAAAGTTCTAAATATATGTCTGAAATGTAATGAGTAGTCAGGACACTTCAGCTCTTGTTCTTAAATTACCTGCAAGATGTAAACGTGATACAAAATCAAACACGTCACTCTGAATTTTCAGCTCTAAAGGTCATTTCGTAATCAAACCTGTTGACAGTGACCTGCCGCGTTTAGTGGTCCTCATAAAGTCCAGAAATTCTCCTGTAATGTTTTAGAAATAGAAAGGGAGGTTTCTTTGTGTCTCTGTCACAGTGCGTGGTTATAGGAGCTGAACTAAAAATATGTTGTTGAAGTGTATCTTTAGAGGACCAGAAGCAATGAGTTCAAAGGCTGTGCTTATTTCAGTAGAATTTTTTAATGGCATTTATTTCACAAATGATCTTGCTTGCTCTCTTCTAGTTCTGGGATTACCGCCAGCCTCGGAAATACCTCAATATTCTTCCTTGCCAGGTGCCTGTCTGGAAGGCCAGATACACAGTGAGTGAGCCACCCTGCCTCTTGATAAGAAACTTCTTTTTGGGTGTTCCAAAAAGAAGGAGCCCGGGGACATTTTCTCTTATTTTCTTTGTGAGGTGATTTTCTCTTTCTCTGTTGGTTTAGTGGTGGGACAAACGTGATAATGATAGCTTAAATGCTGTTAACTACTTAAAATTTTATTCTTGGCCGGGCGCAGTGGCTCACACCTGGATCCCCTGAGGTCAGGAGTTCGAGACCATCCTGGCCATGGTGAAACCCCGTCTCTACTAAAAATACAAAAATTAGCCAGGTGTGGTGGCATATGCCTGTAGTCCCAGCTACTTGGGAGGCTGAGGCAGGAGAATCGCTTGAACCCGGGAGGCAGAGCTTGCAGTAAGCTGAGATCGCCCCACTGCACTCCAGCCTGGGTGACAGAGCGAGACTCCATCTCCAAAAAAAATAAAAAAATAAAATAAATTTATTCCTGGAGTGTTGGGTAAGTATCTACATCAGAATTGCTGATCAAAGCTCCACAGAGAAGCTAGGCCATGTAAAGATACTCACTAATGGTAGGGCCGGCAGCAGGGTAGATGGAGGAGAGGGTCAGGAGGCTTGAGGTCTGTGAATTGTGGTGGAAGGAACTCTGGCTTTAAATTCAGAAGACCTGGGCTGGGGGCCATGCTCTATCATTTAATACTGGTATGGCCTTGGGCAAGCCATTTGATGTTTTTGAGCAGAAATTTCCTTTACTGTAGAATATGAATAGTAATTTTTACTATGCCCTCCTTTTTTTAAAATTGTGATAAAATCCACCAAAGTATACAATTCTGTAGTTCACAAGCTGACTTTCTTTTGAAATAACTTATATGAATGTGCTTTCTAAACCATTAAATGCTACAAATAGAGTGGGTAGGCTGTTATCAACCTTCTAGTAATTTTCCATTGCCACACGGGTGAGAGATAATGTATTTCCTTTAATGTCAATCTGAAAGCTAGCACAGGGATGGATAAAGCTACCTTTATACATTGGGCTGTCACCATGGAGCATTGTGGAGCAAAAAAGGTAATTTGGGTATTAAGTTGGTTTTGTACCTGGGATCGCTTGCCAAGAAATCAGACACTCTTCTTAGGAACTGAAATACTTTTCTGGATTAATATGTTTGCTTTAAAAAATAAACAGAAAAGTCCAAGAGTGCTACCAGGAGGGGCGGTGAAGATAAATGTGCTCTTTGGTGACTGTGGTTTATTCCTTAAATAACAGAGTCTAATTATCAACTGAATGGAACCCTTAGCTACCCAGTAGTTTGGGTTTTGCCAAGTAAAACATGTCAGTCCTGAAGCGAGCAAGTTTTCCTTTGAGCAGTTGCAGTGCCGGGGGGGCGGGAAGGTGATGCTTCATGTGGATGGCGTTTTTCTGGTGCATTTCCACGTGGCAAGAATTAGGTCTGCTGCTCCAGGGATTTTCCCTGTCAGCCCTGCATGCTCATTCTGGGAAAGCACTCAGTATCTCTTGAGTGGTAACTCATGGAGAGTAGCTAGGATGTGAAACAGTGTGTTTCATTGCATAGCAATCAGTACCATTTGCTTATTTTAGAATTTTCAAAGTTCTTCAAGCGCTTGCCTCAGCCTGAGTTTTCACTTGCTTTGGTCCCTTCCATAAGCAAAGAGAAAAGTAGACGCGATGTGCAGCCTATGGTGTTTGGGAAAAATTTCTCCAGATGAGTTGGGGCCTTCCATTATCTAATTTATTTTACTTAGGAAGAATTCCAGGTTTGGAAACTCAAGACTCAGCTGATTCTCCCTGAAATAATCTAATCACCTGCTTTTCCCTTCCCTGCCTTAGCCTTTCAGCAATGGATTGGTGACTGTGATGGTTCCCCAGCTGCGGAGGGAAAACAGCCTTCTCCTGTGGAATGTCTTTGACTTGAACACCCCAGTCCACACCTTCGTGGGGCATGATGATGTGGTCCTGGAGTTCCAGTGGAGGAAGCAGAAGGAAGGTGAGTGGGAGAGGCCTGCTGCCCACTTTCCTTCTGAGCTCTGGTGACAGCGGTGCCAGTCAGTGTTGCCATGGAGTCCAGTAAAGAAGACATAGAGAGAGCTGGGCTTTAGGAACCAGAGAGCCAGGGCTGTTGCCACCTTTCGTCATAGGTGAGTAAAGGGACTATATAAGGCTGCTGTTACTCTTCCAAATTCTGTCCTCTTCCACAATTGTCAGCGTAGTCTCTCTTGCTTGGAAGAGATATGCTCCAGTAAGAGACGGAAGATAGAGATTTGCTGTTGGATTGTTTCTGGGACTGAAAGACTCTGGGCTCAGAAGTCCAGGGCATTTGCCCCTTGCCACTCTGTTGATGAGGGAGACCCAAGGTGGTCTTTAGTACTGCCTACTACATACCCTCAGTTGTCTTCACAAGCATGTAGTGCTCTGTCTCAAAAAAGAAAAAAAAAAAGAAAACAGATGATGTGATTTCCTCAGTCCAGTGGGGAGGGGTTGACCGGTAGTTTTGGATGGAAATAAAGTTTTTAGGAACCCATTGTTAGTTACCCATGTTGTCTTTAAGCTGGTGGGTGAGTTGTGTAAATTGGAACTGCCTGGCCAGTAGCAAAATTTTGAGTACGAGTTACTATTTAACTTTTTTTTTGTTTTAACTGTGGAAGAGGGGAATAATAAAGACTGGGGCCTACTTGAGGACGGAGGGTGGGAGGGGGAGAGGATCAGAAAAAAATAACCATTGGGTACTAGGCTTAGTACCTGGGTGATGAAATAATCTGTACAACAAACCCCCATGACAGGAGTTTGCCTTTGTAACAAACCTGCACATGAACCCCTGAAGCTAAAATGAAAGTTTAAATAAAAAAAAATTTTTTTTTACTGTGAAATATATCATGTATTTGAAAATTATATGGAACATGTATAGTGTAACAAATAATTATAAAGTGAAAATCTATGTAATTGCCATGCAGGTCAAGAAAGAAAACGATGCCAAGAGCCCCGAAGCTACCTGGTCACCATCCCCTCCCTTCCCTGAGAGTAGTGACTCCTCTAATGCTTACGATAGCCATTGCTGGATTTTTCCTTTGTGGTTTCACTGCCTATTTTTGAATCCCTAAAAGTAGTTTAGGTTTGCCTGTTTCTGAACCTTTTGCAAATTTAATTATTATGCATGTGTTTTTATGCAGGTGTTCCTTATGATGGGGTTATGTCCCGATAAACCCATTGTAAGTTGAAAATATCATAAGTAGAAAATGTATTTTAGGCCAGGCACAGTGGCTTACACCTGTAATCTCAGTACTTTGGGAGGCTGAGGTGGGCGGATCACTTGAGGCCAGGAGTTCTGGCCAACATGGCAAAACCCCATCTCTGCTGAAAATACAAAAATGAGCCAGGTGTGGCAGTGCATGCCTGTAGTCCCAGCTACTTCGGAGGCTGAGGCAGGAGAATCTCTTGAACCCAGGAGGCAGAGGTTTCAGTGAGCTGAGATTGTGCCACTGCACTCCAGCCTGGAGACAGATCGAGACAGTCTCAAAAGAAAAAATATATATATATATTTAACCCACCTAACCCACTGAACATCATAGCTTAAGTAGCCTACCTTAAACATGCTCAGAACACTTCCATCGGCCTACATTTGGGCTAAATCCTCTAATACAAAGCCTATTTTATAAAAAAAAGTGTTGAATATCTCATATACTTTATTGAATACTGTGCATTATGTTAAAATTGTGACAGTTTCACGCCATCATAAAGTCAAAAAATTGTAAGTTGAACCATTGTAAATTGGGAACCATCTGTATTTTACTTCTTTCTCAGCTGAAGGTTGTTCCAGTTTACTTTTACTGCCATGTCTTCGACATCAATTTTTTTTTTTTTTTTTTTTGAGATAGGGTCTCGCTCTGTCACCCAGGCTAGCGTGCAGGCACGAGCATGGCTCACTGCAGCCTCGACCTCCTGGGCTCGAGCAGTGCTTCCACCTCAGCCACCTGAGTAGCTGGCACTACAGGAGTGTGCCACCATGCCAGCTAATTTTTTGTATTTTTGTAGAGATGAGTTTCACCATGTTGCCCAGGCTGGTAGTCATCAATTTTTATTGGACCACTTCATGCTTTGATTTTCACTGTGGGGAAGGATTTCTCAAAGAGGTAGGAAGTGAGTCAGGATATTGTGGCCAGGGGACAAGGATGCCTCCTGAGGGAAGCAGTAGTCCTTGGTTTCAGGTGTTGCTGATAGATCAAAATGTAGAGTAAGAGAAAAGCATTTAACTGACCAAATAGGAAGCCATATAATCATTAAGAAAGGAGTTCCAGGCCAGGTGCGGTGGCTCACGCCTGTAATCCCAGCACTTTGGGAGGCCAAGGCAGGTTGATCACTTGAGGCCAGGAGTTTGAGACCAGCCTGGCCAACATGATGAAACCCCATCTCTACCAAAATATATTAAAAAAAAAAAAATTAGCCAGGTGTGGTGGCACGTGCCTGTAATCTCAGCCACCCTGGAGGCTGAGGCAGGAGAATTTCCTGAACCAGGAGGTGCAGGTTGTTGCAGTGAGCTCAGATTGCATCACTGCACTCCAGCTTGAGTGACAAAGTGAGACCCTATCTCAAAATACAAAAAATTAAAAAAAAAAAGGTGTTCCAAGAGCAAATTGAGGAGAGAAGCCAGATCATAGGGTGGCATGAACAGGGGCAGCAGGAACCGGTTTTAGTGAATGAAGTAACCCTCAAAGGCAAGGCGTAGAATCAGCCAGTTGGGAGAGGCTGCTGCCCTCTCTGTTGGAAGGCAGGGAGAAGATACAAGGGAGTCGGGGAAGCAAAGGGCCCCTTGGGACCAGCGGGGGAGGCACAGGTCGAGGGGTTGAGTTAATTTATAACATTTAGAAAGGAATTAGGCATACCTTTTCGTCAAAGTCAGGGGCAGGAAGAGAAGCCAGATGTAGGGTCAGAAGATTGTTGATGTGGACATGAGGCAAGATGGTGGCACTTGTAACAAGCCGTGGTTCAGAATAGTTGCTGTCTGGCTGGCTGTGCCTAGTGATGTATGAAATATTGAAGAGTGAATTTTTGGTTGAAGGTGGTGATGCAGAGAAGGAACCAATAAGAACTGGCCCTTGTTTTCCTGCCCACTCACCCTGTGACCTTGGACAGATCATATTCTCTTGCCTCAGTTTCCCCATCCATAAAATTAAGAAATTGGATGAAATTATTTCTAAAATCTTTGCTCTCTGAAGGTGGCCATGAAGGAGATTCTAGATACTGCATAATTATCCGCAAATGTCCTGATCTTTCATGAAGTTATTTCATAAAGCACCCTGAACCTTTTCAGGATAATTTCCCTTTGACCAGAGTTAAGATGAAAATATGATTCAGTCAATTAAGTACATTAAGGATTGATTATTCATTTTACAAAGAGATACATCACTTTACCAAAAAATTCTTTTGAATGGTAAGATGCCATGATGCATTTGAAATAACCCGTTTTGCAAAAATATGTTCATCTCCAGCTCTTCGAGAGCATGTAAAAGGACGAACATTTGCAGAGGTGAAAGTTTAGTGTGACATTAAATCCCAGCATCGCTCTTTACCTGCTAATTTGCCAGTTAGTATTTCACATCATTTAAGTTTCTGCTCAAATGTGATTTCCTTGGGGAGTTCTATCTAAAAATAGTTCCACCATCAGTCTCTGTCCTCTTATCCTGTGTTATTCTTTATACCAGATGTTTTATCAGATATTTGTCTCTTTCTACCACTGGAATGCGAGATCTATAAAGATAGAAATTATTTTATTCATGCTGTAGTCCTGGTACCTAGAATAGTGCCTGGCATATGAGAAATGTTCAGTAGATGTTTGTTGAATGGATGGATGAATCTCACTCCATTTCAACCTCTAGCAAATAGACGTTGAATCCAGAAGAATTTCCAGGATTCTTATTTGGTGATTTCTAGGGTCCAAGGACTATCAACTGGTGACGTGGTCCCGGGATCAGACCTTGAGAATGTGGCGGGTGGATTCCCAGATGCAGAGGGTATGTATGCAGTGCTATTGTGGAGAAATGTACCTGAATCCACCAAAAAGTGTAAGATTCAGGATTTGCGGAAATTAGAGGTTACAGGATAAACAATTTTTTTTTTTTTTTTTTTTTTTTGAGAGTGCGTCTCACTGAATCGCCCAGGCTGGAGTGCAGTGGCACGATCTTGGCTCACTGCAACCTCTGCCTCCCGGGTTCAAGCGATTCTCCTGCGTCAGCCTCCTGAGTAGCTGGGATTATAGGCGCCCACCAACACACTCGGCTAATTTTTGTATTTTTAGTAGAGACGGGGTTTCACCAAGTTGGCCAGGCTAGTCTTCAACTCCTGACCTCAAGTGATCCACCTGCCTCAGCCTCCCACAGTGCTGGGATCACTGGTGTGAGCCACCTTCCCCGGCAGGATAGACATTTAATACATACTTACTGGTTGGCTGAGTAGCTGGTGTGTACCACACCAAGGCTTTGAGGTCTTTAAGAACCAACTTCAGTATTCAGCACTTTAAGGCCAGAGAGCCTCTAAATGTCTTTCCCCTCCTTATTCTAGCATAAGATAGTATGGGTAGCTCCCTGAGTATGTGCCCTGTGGGTTCATTTCTTTCTCTTCTAAATGGGCTAAGAAGCCTACCCTTGTACGCTGCAAATGCTTGGAGGCTTCTACATCTATCAGCAACACTGCTTTTATGAAGCTGTTTGTAATTTTTTCCCGATAAATGATATCTGTTTCTTACATGAACCACACACAGTAGTACCTGGCATGAGCTGCTTTGGTGGCCCTTGCTCTGCTCTGCCTTATCACAGGGTTCTGTCCTCTCCTCATTTGATGGCTAAATTTCTTGACAGTGGGAAGGTGTCTCACTTGTATTGGATCTCCCACAGCGCTTGGTACATTGCTTTGCACAGAATGAATAGAAAATACTGGATAAAAATTTCAACACTGCTTAGTATGAAGTCACTCTTGAGCAGTTTGATCAAATCTCATTACCTTATTGCATTTTCAATCTGTTTTTTCCAAAAGGTACAATTTGCACCAAATGCCTTGAGGTTATGGTTTTCGTTTTTTTTTTTTTGAGATGGAGTCTCTCTCTGTTGCCCAGGCTGGAGTGCAGCCACGTGATCTTTGCTCACTGCAACCTCTGCCTCCTGGGTTCAAGTGATTCTCCTGCCTCAGCCTCCCGAGTAGCTGGGACTGTAGGCGTCCGCCACCATGCCTGGCTAGTTTTTGTATTTTTAGTAGAGACGGCATTTCACCCTCTTGGCCAGGCTGGTCTCAAACTCCTAACCTCAGGTGATCCACCTGCCTCGGCCTCCCAAAGTGCTGGGATTACAGGCATGAGCCACTACGCCTGGCCGGTTATGATATTTTTGCTCCTGGATTAGCTGAATAACTCCATCAAAGCTTGGAGTTTAAATTAATTTTTTTTCTGAGGCTTGCATAAACTCTGAACATGATGAAAAAATTTCCAGTGTTGAATAATAGAGTCTGTTATCCCTGGTGTTTAACCAGGGAGAGTTGGCAATGGGTAAAATCTATTTTGATTATGTCAGCTCTTGGCTGACACATCCCCATCCTTTGCCCTTCCCATTTTTAAGTCAGAACTCTTTAATCAGACATGACAATCATTTCCACGGACTTCTCTAGAACTACATCTTCTACCCTTTGTTGCAGCTTTGTGCAAATGACATATTAGATGGTGTTGATGAGTTCATTGAGAGTATTTCCCTTCTGCCGGAACCTGAGAAGACCCTGCACACTGAAGATACAGATCACCAGCACACTGCAAGCCATGGGGAGGAAGAAGGTAATTTGTCAAACTGATGTCTCAGGTAAGGTGCCACTCTACGCATTGCAGAGTTGTGGCAGATACCCCAGACCTGTTCTCTGTTTCATTTTCAAAAATGCTTTCCAACATTGAACTTCTCTCTCCTGCTAGCCCTAAAAGAAGATCCCCCTAGAAATCTCCTGGAAGAGAGGAAATCAGATCAACTGGGGCTGCCTCAGACCTTGCAGCAGGAATTCTCCCTGATCAATGTGCAAATCCGGAATGTCAATGTGGAGGTACTTAGTTTAATCAACTGTATCTCATGTTTGCTGATGGCAGTTTGTGGGAGAGGGAACCATTTCAGCAATGATTTCAGTTAGCAAATAGCTTTGCAGCTTTAACAGAACTCTCTCTGCTTGCTTTTTTATTTCCTGGGTTTTCTGGCCAGGCGCGGTGGCTCACGCCTGTAATCCCAGCACTTTGGGAGTCTGAGGTGGACAGATCACTTGAAACCAGGAAGCCAGGAGTTTGAGACCAGCCTGGCCAACATGGTGAAACCCTGTCTCCACTTAAAAAAAAAAAAAAAAATTAGCCTGTAATTCCAACTACTCGAGAGGCTGAGGCACAGGAATCACTTGAACTTGAGAAGCAGAGGTTGCAGTGAGCCAAGATCGCACCACTGTCCTCCAGCCTGGGTGACAGAGCAAGACTCTGTCTCAAAAAAAATAAATAAAATAATTAAATAAATAAATAAATAAATAAGTAAATAAAGAGATGCAGACTTTCTTTCTACCCCTATTCTTTTCTCCTAAGATGAGCCAAAGGAGAACCTGATGCTCGTGTGCCTTAGCTCCTCCTTAGATGCTCCAGCATCTCATTTTACTGTAGAGGAAGATACTTAGGCCCTGGAGGCTTAGTGATTTGGCAGAGGTTGCTGCTGAAGTTGGGGACAGAGTTGACTTGGGAAGCCAAACCTCCAGCCCGTCCAGGGCACTCTGTGCTGTGCTGTGCTGTGCTGTGCTGGGCTGTGCCATCTTCTCTCACAGGCTGGCCATTTCCTGGTAATTTAGATTCACAGTAAGAAGGCAACCAAAACTTCTTTGTTTGCTTAGCCTGTGGAACAGTTACTTTTTTGGGGGCAAGTATTGAAAGTCTTTGCTTCAGAAAATTGAGTATCTCTCCAGAAAGGAGTTTTAAAGCTTGATTAGTTTTTCCTTTACCCAAATATGTGCTGTTACATAACTATCTCATGTGGCTTTTAAAACAAGTCTGCTGGCCAGGTGCGGTAGCTCACGCCTGTAATTCCAGCACTTTGGGAGGCCAAGGTAGACGGATCACAAGGTGAAGAGATCGACACCTTCTTGGCCAACATGGTAAAACCCCGTCTATACTAAAAATACAAAAATTAGCTGGTCATGGTGGCGTGCGCCTGTAGTCCCGGCTATTCACGAGGCTGAGGCAGGAGAATCGCTTGAACCCAGGAGGCAGAGCTTGCAGTGAGGCCGAGATCACACCACTACACTCCAGCCTGGCGACAGAGCAAGACTCCGTCTCGAAAAAAAAAAAAAAAATAGTCTGCTGTAAGTGGTTTTAGCCTCACTTTACAGCTGAGGAAACGGAGACATCAAGAGAAGAAATGTCCAAGGTCAGCAGCTATTTGGTGGAAGAAACAACATGTGAATCCAGGTCTCCAGATTTGCCACATGTGGTTCTTTTCTCTTTACTCCAGCTGCTGTCTCTAGTTGGCAACACAAGAAATGAAAAGATATAAAGGATTCTTTGCTTAATTAGTGATCTATATCAAGTCAGTTTATACTCCCTTTGTCCCATTTGAGGACAGTGTGGATACCTAGTGATCTAGTTTAAGATCTTGATTCCTTTCTTCGAGAGTACTTTAAAAAAATTATTGAGATATAATTCACACAGTATAAAGTTCATCTTTTTTTTTTTATTGAGATGGAGCCTTGCTCTGTCCGCTCAGACTGGAGTGCAGTGGTGCTACCGTGACTCACTGCAGGCTCTGCCTCTCGGGTTCACGCGATTCTCCTGCCTCAGCTTCCCAGATAGCTGGGATTATGGGCGCACGCCACCACGCTCAGCTAATTTTTTTTCGTATTTTTAGTAGAGATGGGGTTTTTGCCATGTTGGCCAGGTTGGCCTCGAACTCCTGATGTCAGTTGATCTGCCCACCTTGGCCTCCCAAAGTGCTGGGATTACAGGCGTGAGCCACTGTGCCCAGCCAAAATTCCGCTTTTTAAAGTATATAATCTGGCTGTTGTGGGTATATTCACAAAGTTGTACAGCCATTACCATTGTCTGATTCCAGAACATATTCATCATTCCCAGAAGAAACCCCATACCCATGAGCAGTCACTCCCTATTTCCCCTTCCCTCAGCCCGTGGCAATCCCGAATCTACTTTCTTCCCCTATGGATTTTCCCAGGAGCACTTTTTAAGTTGAGTCTGGTATTTAACTTCTTCCTGCTTTATTTTCCCATCTCAAAGTAAATATAACAAGTTTCAGTCTACCCCACAGCTTTGGGAGGGAGGAAGCTTTGTTAAAGTCAGAATACTTTGAACTTCGTGGTGGCTCATGCCTGTAATCCCAGCACTTTAGGAGGCCAAGGTGGGTGGATCACTGGAGGTCAGGAGTTTGAGACCAGCCTGGCCAACATGGCGAAACCCCATCTCTACCAAAACACAAAAAGCAAAACAACAACAACAACAACAAAACAAAGATTTGCTGGGCATGGTGGCCTGTAGTCCCAGTATTTGGGAGGTTGAGGTGGGAGAATCACTTGAACCCAGAAGGTGGAGGTTGCAGTGAGCTGAGATTGTGCCACACTGCACTCCAGCCTGGGTGACAAAGTGAGACCCTGTCTCAAAAAAAAAAAAAAAGAATACTTTGTGTTGGGAACAGGCCCCCTGAAATCTGGCCATAAACTGACCCTCTGTGTTGTTTGTCTTTGTGTAGTCTGCAGATGTGGATCTTGACTCCTGCAAGAAGTAGCTCACCGTGACAAAGCTGCCTTTGCTTTTATCACTTTGCAAATCAAAGAAGGGGGACATGTTGGGAACAGGCCCCCCCCCCCCCCAAAATCTAGCCATAAACTGGCCCCAAAACTGGCCATAAAGTCTCTGCAGCACTGTGACATGTTCATGATGGTGGTGATGCCCACGCTGGAAGGCTGTGGGTTTACCGGAATGAGGGCAAGGAACACCTGGCCCACCCAGGGCAGAAAACCGCTTAAACACGTTCTTAAACCACAAACAATAGCATAAGCAATCTGTGCCTTAAAGACATACTCCTGCTGCAGATAGCTAGCCACAGCCCATCCCTTTATTTCAGCCCATCCCTTTGTTTCCCATAAGGAATACTTTTAGTTAATCTATAATCTATAGAAACAATGCTTATCACTGGCTTGCTGTGGATAAATACATGGGTAAATCTTTGTTCAAGGCTCTCAGCTCTGAAGGCTGTGAGACCCCTGATTTCCCACTCCACACCTCTATATTTCTGTGTGTGTGTCTTTAATTCTTCTGGCACTGCTGGTTTAGGGTCACCCCGACCGAGCTGGTCTCAGCAACTTTGAGCTTATTCCATTGGTTTGAAAATTTTAAGAATCTGGTATGAAAATTTAAGAATCTTTTTGAAAATGAATTGTCTTCCACACACATTTGTCTTTGTAGACTCTTTCCCTTCATTCAATTACCAGGAACATGGAGCGTTCAGTTAAATGTGCTTGCATCGAAAGACGCTTTATGGTTTGTTTCTACAGCAATTGTGGATTTGTCTCTTGCAGATGGATGCGGCAGACAGGAGCTGCACAGTGTCTGTGCACTGCAGCAACCATCGTGTCAAGATGCTGGTGAAGTTCCCTGCACAGTACCCAAACAACGCCGCCCCTTCCTTCCAGTTTATTAACCCCACAACCATCACATCCACCATGAAAGCTAAGCTGCTGAAGGTGGGGGTCTGGGTTCCCAAATTCTCCTTGCTGTTCTGCATCATTGTCTAGATGGATTAGTAAAGAAGAATGAAAACTCCAGTAGATGAGATTCGGAAGTCATCTGTTTCGTACACACACTAGTATTAGCAACGTAACCTCTGAACTTGCCATTTACTTTGTGCAGAAAACATCAGAGCAGTGGTTCTTAACCTTTTTTGGGTCATAGACTTCCTTTGAATTCTAATGAAAATTATGGACCCTTCCTCAGAAAAATCTGCACAATGATTGCATATGATTTGAGAAATATTGCCTGTAAATATGTGAATTGCATAGAATCTGCCCACAGATCTCATTAATACTATGCATTCATCTCCGGTTAGGAGATTTGCAATCCAATTTCATTTAGCAGCCCAGGTTAGGAGCCCTGCAGTCCAATTTCATTTACCTGAAAACAACAAGCAAGATGTATTCTGAAGCTAAAAGATATTTTATAATTAGAAAAAAACATATGTAAGGTCATAAAAAAAATTTTATCCCATAGAAGGAGCTGGTGTTATCCTAGAGACAGGCTGGCTAGCTGCACAGTAGGTGTCCAGGTGGAGGCACCACAGCCTGGCATCTGTGTTTAATTCTGCAGATTCAGAGATTTAATGCATCAGTTCATCCAGAGCAAATCAGGTGGAATCTCCATGACAAAGCCCCATGAGCCTCTTCATACCCGTTCAGTCTGAGCAGTGTCACAAGTGAAGGGACTGAAGTATTCTGACAAACTCAGGCCAAGCTGAATGTTGCTCATTTTTTGTCCAGTTTGGGTCGTGGACACTTGATTGTTCCACCTTGTTGGGGGTATCACATGGAACCAGGAAATTTTCAAGTGGCTTAAGGATCTCTGAAATGCCAGTAACTCAGATCTTGTGGTATTTGACATGTTAAACTTGGAATCTGAATATGCCGTTGCCTAGTTTGGACATACAAAAAAGATAGATTTTTCTGTTAGTATAAAATGATACGATTAGGTTGCGAACTCTTTTGTGTGTGAAAAATCAGACCTTTTCCGGGTGCGGTGGCTCACTCCCGTAATCCCAGCACTTTGAGAGGCTGAGGCGGGTGGATCACCTGAGGTCAGGAGTTCAAGACCAGCCTGGGCAACATGGTGAAACCCCATGTCTACTAAAAATAGAAAAAGTAGCCAGGCGTGGTGGCGCATGCCTGTATTCCCAGCGACTCGGTAGGCTGAGGCAGGAGAATCACTTGAACCCAGGAGGTGGGGGTTGTAGTGAGCCAAGATCACGTGGCTGCACTCCAGTCTGGGCAACAGAGACTGCTGAGGCAGGAGAATGGCTTGAACCTGGGAGGCGGAGGCTGCAGTGAGCGGAGATCATGCCATTGCACTCCAGCCTGGGCAGTAAGAGCGACACTCCTCAAAAAAACAAAGGAAAAATCAGACCTTGGCGATGACTCAGCAGTAGGATATAAATAACTCCCACAAGCTTAGTGTTCCAATAATGGAACATTAGGCATAAATGGGTTTAAAGTGTTAGGATTTATACTTTTGAAGGACAAAAAATATACATTATAATTTTCACTGAAGTGAAATCCATGCCTCTTGTCACTGAGAGCAATTTCAATCCAGGCCAGTGAGTATTACTTCTAAGGTACTGACGTTTCTCATGGAGCAAGTGGTGTTGGGGGTGAGGAAAAGGGCAGAGTTCACTAGAAAGAAGTAATAGTCCTTCTGTTACTGAAAGCTGCCCTCTCAAAATCCACGTGTGCTGCCTTGATTAAGGAAAGAGCTTCTCTAGGAGGGCTCAGGAGTGAATCCTGTTTTAACCTCGGTAGAGGTAGAAATTAGATTATTACACTGTGTTGGAAGCCTTGACTTAACCATGCACCTGGCTCCCAGCATCACCCTTGTGTCTGACCACTTTGCAGAAGAAAAGCCAATCAGGGCCGGGCGCAGTGGCTCATGTCTGTAATCCCAGCACTTTGGGAGGCCGAGATGGGCAGATCACTTGAGGTCAGGAGTTCGAGACCAGCCTGGCCAACATGGTGAAACCCCTTCTCTACTAAAAATACAAAAATTAGCCAGGCATGGGGGTGGGCGCCTGTAGTCCCAGCTACTCGGGAGGCTGAGGCACAAGAATCACTTGAAGACGGGAGGCAGAGGTTGCAATGAGCCGAGATCGTACCACTACACTCCAGCCTGGGCAACAAAGAGAGACTTTGTCTCAAAAAAAAAAAAAAAACCTATCAGAGAAATGTGTTCCTCTTCTTGACTGTGTTTTGGGCCTTTTCTAGATCCTGAAGGACACAGCCCTGCAGAAAGTGAAGCGTGGCCAGAGCTGCCTGGAGCCCTGCCTGCGCCAGCTCGTCTCCTGCCTTGAGTCCTTTGTGGTGGGAAGCATGAAACTGTCATACCAACTTAGGCTTTGGTGTTTTGTTTCATTTCTTTCTCCCTAAAATCATGGGTTTTCTGGTTTTGTCATACTGGGTCTTTATTTTGTAGTTCAGCTTTAAGACAGGTTGTGGTTTTTAGCTTGTGGATTTTTAAATTTCAGAACCAGGAAGACAGCGCTTCCAGCAACCCGTTTGCACTCCCCAACTCTGTCACTCCCCCCTTACCGACGTTTGCGCGGGTGACCACGGCTTACGGGTCGTACCAGGACGCCAACATTCCCTTTCCTAGGACTTCTGGGGCCAGGTTCTGCGGAGCAGGTGGGTCTCTTTGGTTCTTTGATTCTAGATTTCGAGAGGGAGCAGCTAAGAATGTCATAGATTCTGTATAAACATCTTCATCAGAAAATGTTTGCTTTTACTCCCGAGAACTCAAACGAGACTTTCATGGTAGCGTGGTAGGGTCTGAGGCCCAGTCGGTGTCTGTGGACTTATCCTAAGAGGGTGCACCAGAATGGGGGTCTTAACTTTCTTCATTCTGATGAGCTTGGATTTGAGTCTTTACTCAGAGCCCTGATTCTTAGCAGGGGGCATTCGCCTGGTAGGGAGGCTTAGAGTCCTGCTGATGACTCTGCCCAGTCCACATACATCCTCTCTCCTGGATCCTGGAGCGCTGACCTTTGTTCCTGGTAAGGGTGACTGCAGTCAGGAGTCTTGCAGCTTATGAAAATGTGTCTTACCCTCAGGTGTACAGAGATAGAAGAAAGACTGGCCAGTCCTGCCTCAGGATTTCCCACGGCCAGCTTGTTGACACTGATGGCTCATGTGATGTCTCCTCCTTTAGGTTACCTGGTATATTTCACAAGGCCCATGACAATGCATCGGGCGGTGTCTCCCACAGAGCCTACTCCGAGGTGAGTCAGGGAGATGCAGAAGCCGCTCTACGTTCCCGGGGCCAGAAGTGGCCAGAGACCTGGGAAGGACCACTGAGTTTGCTTTTGGACAGTGCATTTCAGTTCTTCAGTAAACTCCCATTATAAGATTTATTTGAGAAAGATTGAAGTCAATTAAATTGCAAAAAAGCTGTGATTTCTGCTGTATGGTTATTACCAAACCATTAGAAGAGGTAGCTTGATAAAAGCTATTGTCAAAACAAGGCAAATTCTTTTTAAATGTGCCTTTCCCCTATTGCTAGCATATTATTTATTATTTGTTTTTAATTATTTTATTATTCAATTTAACTAACATTAAATAAAACTGGAAAAATAACAAAAGACCATCTGTAGTTTCACAGCACTAATATGCCACTTCTAATATTACCAAACAATATGTAATTTTAAAACATTCCATAAGTAGTACATTGTGAAAACACAAACGTGGAAGTTTTTTTCTTTTTTCTTTTTTTGAGACAGGATCTGGCTCTGTCACCCAGGCTGGAGTGCAGTGGCATGATCATAGCTTACAGCAGCCTCTGCCTTCTGGCTGAAGTGATCCTCCTGCCTCAGCCTCCCAAGTAGCTGGGACTACACGTGTGCACCACCATGTCTGGCTAATTTTTATAATTTTTTGTAGAGATAGGGTTTTGCAGTGTTGCCAGGCTGGTCTCAAACTCCTGAGCTCAAGCAATCCACCTGCCTCAGCCTCTCAAAGTGCTGGGGTTACAGGTGTGAGCCACCATGCCCAGCCTGGAAGTTTTAAATTACAACGCAAAAGCCCTTCTTTTCATTTTCCCTGTTTTAGAGAGAATCATGTTTAACAACAGAACATGTTTCTGTCTAGTCATTATTTTTCTGTGCATTAAAAAAAGTTTTTCTTTATAGGCAATCTATTGTAGCAGATAGGAATATAGACTTCAGAGCCAACGTGCCCAGATCCAGATTTTGGCCCTGTCATTTTATGACCTTGGGCAAGTTATCTAAACTTCAGCTTCAGTTCCTTCAACAGTAACATGGGGATCATCATAGCACTTACCACCTGCAGTTGCTGGGAAGATTAAGTCCCTCTAAAAATGTTTAAAACACCACCTGGTACATTGGAAGTGCTCCATGTTTCCTGTTTTGATTACTGGTTTTTAAAGCTTTAGGATTATACAGTAGACTTCTGGTTCCGCAGTCTGGTGACCAAGATATAATAAGTTGCAAACCTCCCTGCTGCAAACCCCTGAAGGCGCTGGATACAGTGTAATCAGCATAGACATTGTATTAGTCCGTTCTCACACTGCAAGAATTGCCCAAGACTGGGTAATTTATAAAGAAAAGAGGTTAGTTGACTCACAATTCCACATGGCTGGAGAGGCCTCAGGAAACTTAAAATCGTGTTGGAAGGAGAAGAGGCACTTCTTACATGGCGGCAGGCGAAAGAGAGTGTGTATGTGAAGGAGAAACTGTCAGATCTTATAAAACCATCAAATCTCATGAGAACTCACTCACTATCATGAGAACAGCATGGGGGACGCCGCCCCCATGATCCAATCACCTCCCACTGTGTCCCTCCCTTGACATGTGGGGATTGTGGAGATTACAATTCAAGATGAGATTTGGGTGGGGACACAAAGCCTAACCATATCAGTTATGAATGAATAGCTGAGCTAACAAGAAAGAGAGAGAACTGGATGAGAGAACTGTGTGAGCAGACACTGCTGTTTTGCCAAGAGGTGGCCAATCTCTGCAGTAACCTGGGCAGATGTGACCTGGGCCCCATGGGAACTGGGGTTCAGTACTAGGGAACACCTACATTACACCCGATTCCTTATTGGAGTAGAAAACAGTCCTGTATTCTCAAAGGGAAAGAAGGAATAACTGTATCTGGACTTTGGATTGGAGGGGAAAATGTTCCTATTAGAATGTTTTCCCACTGACAGTCCTTTACTGAGATAGTTTACGATACACAAATATGAAGTGTATGGCTTGGTGACCAACACTCATATCAAGATATAGAACACTGTCCTCACCCACAAAGGTTCCCAGTCCCTTTTCCCCGCCCTTCAGCACCCAGAGGACACCACTCTCTTGACTTCTGTCATGGTAGTTTTGCCTGTTCTTGAACTTCATTGAAGTGGAATAGTGCGGCATGACCTGTTTTATGTCTGGCTTACTTTGCTCAACTTAATGTTATTGACATTGATCCACATTGCTGCATGTGTCAGCAGGTCCATTGTATGAATGCAACACAGTTTGTTTATTCGTTGTCCTGTGGATAGATAGTTGCATCCTTTCCAGTTTTCGGCCATTATGAGCAAACCTGGACACATATGTTCATAAAAAGACTTGTATATTAATTTCTGCACCTGAGGAGCAGAATTCCTCAGTCATCAGATAGATGTATTTTTAACTTGAGAAACTGTCCAAAAGTTTGTGCACAGTGGTTGTGCCATTTACCCTGTCACTAGCAATGTTTCAGAGCACTGGTTGCTCTGTATCCACTCCAAAACTTGGTATTGCTAGTCCTTTCAACTTTAGCCATTCTGTTGTGAGTGTCCTAGTATCTCACTGTGGGTTTTTTTTTTTTTGAGACGGAGTCTTGCTCTGTCGCTCAGGCTGGAGTGTATTGACTGGATCTCAGCTCACTGCAAGCTCCGCCTCCCGGGTTCACGCCATTCTCCTGCCTCAGCCTCCCGAGTAGCTGGGCCTATAGGCGCCCGCCACCACGCCCGGCTAATTTTTTGTATTTTTAGTAGAGACCATGTTTCACCGTGTTAGCCAGGATGGTCTCGATCTGCTGACCTCGTGATCTGCCTGCCTCGGCCTCCCAAAGTGCTGGGATTACAGGCGTGAGCCACCGCGCCCGGCCGTCTCACTGTGGTTTTAATTTGCATTTCCATGTTGATGATGAATGATGTCGAGCAGCTTCTGTGTGCATATTGACCATTTGGGTATCTTTTTTTGTGATGTGCTTGTTAAGTATTTTGCCCATTTTGGGGGAACTGTATCTTATTTGTTTCTGGTTGTTATCTATTTTGGTTGCAAATTCTTTGCTAGATGTATGTATTGATTTTCTCTTCATCTGTGGCTTGTCTTTCTCCCTCTTTAATGTTTTTCAATGAACAAATTGTCCTAATTTTGATGATGTCCAGTTTATCACTTTTTAATTTTATTTATTTTATTTTATTTTTTTATTTTTTATTTATTATTATTATTTTTTGAGTCAGAATCTCGCTCTGTTGCCCAGGCTGGAGTGCAGTGGTGCAATCTTGGCTCACTGCAAGCTCCACCTCTCAGGTTGATGCCATTCTTCTGCCTCAGCCTCCCGAGTAGCTGGGACTACAGGCGCCCGCCACCACGCCTGGCTAATTTTTTGTATTTTTTAATAGAGACGGGGTTTCACCATGTTAGCCAGGATGGTCTCGATTTCCTGACCTCGTGATCTGCCTGCCTCAGCCTTCCAAAGTGCTGGGATTACGAGCGTGAGCCACCGTGCCCGGCCTATTTATTTTATTTTTTATTTTTTGAGACGGAGTTTCGCTCTTGTTGCCCAGGCTGGAGTGCAATGGCGCAATCTCAGCTCACCACAACCTCCGCCTCCCGGGTTCAAGTGATTCTCCTGCCTCAACCTCCCGAGTAGCTGGGATTATAGGCATGCGCCACCACGCCTGGCTAATTTTGTATTTTTAGTAGTGATGGGGTTTCTCCACGTTGGTCAGGCTGGTCTTGAACTCCCGACCTCAGGTAATCTGCCCGCCTTGGCCTCCCAAAGTGCTGGGATTATAGGCGTGAGCCACCGCACCTGGCCTTGTGTTTTCTTTTAAAAGCTTTATAGAAAAATAAATAAAAATGAAAGCTTTATAGATTTAAATTCCTTATTTGAGGTCTGTGATCCATTTCAAATTAATTTTTGCATGTAATGTGAGTTAAGGGGTCAAAGTTCGTTTTATTTTGTAGAGAAAAATAGTTGTTCTAGCACCATTTATGAAAAGATTTCCTTTCTTTGTTGAATTTGTATTGATGCCTTGGTGAACATCAATAGACCATATATTTGTGGTCTTTCTGGACTCTCTTTTTTCCTTTGATCTATTTATCCTTTATGCCAACACTACATTCATAATGTACTTTTCTATAGTTAAGTGTTTAAATCTGATAGGTCAAGTCCTCCAATTATATTATTCTTGTTTAGTTCAGGTTGGCTGTTCTAGGTCTTTCAATAAAATTATAAAATCAACTTATTAGTTCCTACTAAAAAGCCTGCTTGTATTTTGATTGGAATTGTGTTGACTCTGTAGATCAATTTAGAGAAAATTGATGTCTTAAGAATATGGACTCTTCCAATCCTTGCGTGGTATATTTCTCCATCGTTGTATGTCTCCTTTAATTTCTCTCATCAGCATTTTGTATTTTCACGCACATTTTCAAAAATTAAATTTATTCCTAGGTATTTGACGTGTTTTAATGCTACTATAAATGAGCTTTTAAAATATTTATTTTCCAAATATTTGTTTCTAATTGATAGAACTATAGTAGATATTTGTAGGTTGACCTTGTATTCAAATTCACTTATTCTAGTAGTTTGTAGATTCCTTTGAATTTTTTATGTCTGTAATCATAGAAGCATTCTATGCTTGTGCAGATAAAGCATTTTTCAGTGTTAAAAGTTTTATTGACTTCTTTTTCTGGAGTTTCCATCTTCTCATTTTGTCTTCTCCTTTTGGTATCAAGTGCTAAGAATAGCACCACTTGGAAATATGACAGGACTGCAGCCAGTGTGGATAATTATCATTTTCAACTACAGATCTCTCTCAGCCTTGTCTGCTTATCACACTGGCTTGATCGCGCCCATGAAGATCCGCACAGAGGCCCCTGGGAACCTTCGTTTATACAGTGGGAGCCCCACTCGCAGCGAGAAAGAGCAGGTCTCCATCAGCTCCTTCTACTACAAGGAGCGGGTAAGTGCCAGAGCCGTAGCCTTTGATTCTTACCCCTTCTCCTGGATTCTTGTTCCTCATCTCCTGCCTGGCGCAGCAGCTAGATTAGTAATCACCCTGTAGCCTTTCACTTTCGTAATCAGTTTGTTCAAGAAAGTCATTACTTTGTTCCTTTCAGTTGGTTTTACCTGCTATAAATTGTGTGTGTATGGGTCAGGGGGCCGTTCTTATGGTCCGTAATCTTTACTCCCCATTTAGCCTTGTCCTTGTAATCTCCACTCGTAATCTCCACTCCCTGAGTTGATTCCCATTATTTCAGGGTAGAATACCTTAGCTTCAAGTCTTCCATGGTATTCTGATGTTTCTCAGCAAATTAAGGAATGCCTCTGGAGTCTTGGGATCTCAATATATTTGGAACTTGATGGTTGTGAGAAGTCTTAAAGTTAATGTCTGAAAGGTTTTTTGTTTTTTTTTTTATACTAAGTCTACATGGAAATACCTATCTGAGTGGACCAGATGATACAAAAATCACCTGAGCTTGTCCTTATGTGCCTAGTTTCTTAAATAACTCATTGTCCCTAAAGTAGTTATCATTAAGCTGTCAGAAACCCTTGGTGCCAACCATGTAGAGAAAGTTGGCAGAGAAAGCTTTCTGTGTTGACAGATTGCAGGTCTGGCTTAAACAGACTTCTAGCTGACATGATGTTTTAAACAGAGTTACCACTGAGCACTGCACAAACTCAGTCCTTAGGAATTCTTTGTTGTTATCTCTCGCTCAGTGGGAAATAATGGATTGTAATTAATATTTGTTTTTAAAAAATTGAATTATTTTGGACAAAACACCCATTTCTAGGAAGTATTAGAAGTTCCTTCAGTTCGATTGCAGTAGAATGTCCAACCTTCTTGGTTTACACTGAGAGTTGACCATCTCTGACTTTATTTTAGGGTTGTATGTGACTAAAATGAGTGGCAGCAACTGGTGTTTGAGACCAGACCAGTCTTGAGCAAAACCATTTAGTTGAATAGGGAAAATGATTTTTTTTTTTTTTCTGGACACTTTCCTATAGTCCCCTTCCTCACATCTCTGATGGAATTCTGCCCACTTGGCTAGTACAGACCTCCTTGGAACACCCACTAATCTATATCATTTCCAAGTCCTTTCCATTCAAAATTGTTGGTTCTTTTTTCCCACATGTTTGCAGGTAACTGGAGAGATGATTTGATAAACAGGTTGGAACTAAGACATTTTGTTGAGATGAAAGCCAGGCTCATGGTTGGGTACATGTGGGGTTTTCTTTAGTGTCAGGGCCAGGTCAAGGAGGTCTTTCAATCCAAGAGGCAGTTCTGAATTCCTCTCCGATTTGTGTCGTGTGCCACCCATGCTTGGGTTCAGATTGGGCAGAATAGATTGACTCGTAATTTTCACTTTGTGGGGGTGTGTAAAGCCCACTCTAATCAAAATAACTCCAGTTCCAAGATGAGGCCTCTTTTAAGCCTGTGTCCATGTTTTTGATGGTATGGCCTTTTTTACTACAAACACCGTAATTATAAAGAGGAACCAAGAGCACGTGGATAATTCTCTCATCAGAGAATATCTGATAGTATCTGCAGGGGAGTGGAGAAGAGTTGTGAAATTTCAATTTGGGGTGGTTCCCAGTGTTCTGTTCTGCACAGAAAGTGGGTGGTTCGAGCCCCGTAATAGACATAGTAAGTGGCCTTTTATGTTTTATTTCAAATAGTGACCAAATAAACTGGGGTGATGCTTTGATTATAATTTCATATGAAACTCTTATATTGATATATACCAAATACACAAAAGTTCACAAATCAAAGTTGTGTATAGTTCAGTGAATTAATAATCACACAGGTCAAGAAATAGAACATTTCAGGAACCTCAGAAACCTTGGATTATTGGCTTAAATCATACGAAATTGCTGATATTTGACCATTTTTGACCTAAACAAAGATTCATGTGGTTCAACTTAATAGGTTAACAAGATAAAAATGAATAAGTCAGTCATTTTGTGATGAATTTGACATAAATTTCTCTCTCCTTGAAGTTTGTTCACATCCATCCCGTTTATGTAGGGGCCAAGGGGGGAATTACATAAGCGTGATATGGCCATGATATCTTACGTGGGCTGCTTTACCTCCCTTACAAAGGTCGATAATCCTTGAGGAGCATTTTCTAATCCTCAGCTGCCTAGTTTCACATGTCAAATGATGTCACTTTTGTTGCTTTTGTTCTGGAAATGATTCCAGTCTACTAAATTTCTGTTTGTGTTTTGTGGTTTTGGAATTTTTTTTTTTTTTTTTAAGAGATGGGGCCTCACTCTGTTGCCCATTGCCCAGGCTAGAGTGCAGTGGTGTGAACATGGCTCACTGCAACCTCAGACTCCTGGGCTCGAGTGATCCTTCCACCTCAGCCGCCTCCTGAGTAGCTAGAACTACAAGAGTACACCACATCACCCAGTTAATTAAAAACAAATATTTTTATAGAGCTGGGGTCCCGCTATGTTGCCCAGGCTGGATTTCTCTGTGTTTAGGTCTTCATTTTTAGCCCAAATTTTTCTCCTACATATTTTTATTCCATGGTAGATCTCTGCCCCTGAGAGCTTTAAATGAGTGAGAGTAACAGAATGGAATGTAACTGCCTTAAGGCATAGCAATGAGGGAAGTATAGTGGGTTTTTGGTTTGGGGGCTTTTTTTGGTCTGTGTTTTGTAGAGATGAGGTCTTGCTATGTTGCCCAGGCTGGTCTCAAACTCCTGGGCTCTTGCAGTCCTCCCACCTCAGCCTCCCAGAGTGCTGGGATTGTAGCCATGAGCCATCTCACCCAGCCAGTATAGAGTTTTTTTGTTTTTTGTTTTGAGACAGCATTTTGCTCTTGTTGCCCAGGCTGGAGTGCAAAGGCGCGGTCTCTGCTCACTGCATCCTCTGCCTCCGGGTTCAAGCGATTCTCCTGCCTTAGCCTCCCAAGTAGCTGGGATTACAGGTGCCCAACACCATGCCCGGCTAATCATGGTTTCACCATGTTGGCCACGCTGGTCTCGAACTCCTGACCTCAGGTGATCCACCTGCCTTGGCCACCCAAAGTGTTGGGATTACAGGCGTGAGCCACTGCACCCGGCCCAGTGTAGTGTATTTTTGAGATAACAAAACATCTTTTAGAGCCATTTAGAGATTATTGTTTGTTTCTCTTGTGGCTTTGTGTGTTTTTAACCTGCCCTACTTAGGTTATATTGTTATGTTCACCCAAATATTCTCTAGATGGAATGCCAAGCTTTGCTCCTAAAAATTTTAAAACGTGTGACGCCTCAAAAGCCATCAAATTGCTAACATTCATTTGACAAGTGAACCGACTCTTAATAGCTGATGAAATGTTGTTCATTCCTAGGGTAGATCAGAAGGCCCAGAACTTAGGATAAGCTTTAGGTATTGCCTTGCATACATTTAAACATTGTTGCAACCTCCCACTCTTGCTTTAGTTTATGTTACTAAAATAGCTCTCATGTAAATAACTAGAGAGATCTTTAAGTTAATAGAATAATTTCTGATCTCCGTAAACAGATACTCATATTGTTAGCAAAGGTGCTTTCAAGAAGGTCTCTCCTCAGCATTAGCCCCTTCCTTCCCCCCGTTTCTCCAGGGTTCCCATTTCCCCATGGTGTCACTCTGAAGATAGTCCTGCAGGCCCAATGTCAAGACACCCAATTCCCTCATCACCCCCCAAACACTTACCAGAAAAAATTTGGTATTGAGCCTATTCAAGAATGTCTTCTTTTTAGGAATGAGTATGTGCTCTCAATATATGTTCTCCTTCTTACCTCCTACAGGGGAAAACAGGCTTCTGCCTATTTCTCCACTTGCACAATGATCTCAGTGTGTGTTAGTGTTCCTCAAACCTATTTGTAGTTCCTTTGTCAGAACTGTGTTGATGTCAGCCTCCATATACCTTGAAATGTGACTAAAAGAACAATGAAATTGAAGCTGTGTTTGGAGTGTGATGGGGTGGGAGGGAGGTGAGGGAAGCCGAATTCCGCTGTGCTTAGGTTCAGATTTTTTAGTCGTTCCCATCCCAACTGTACAGTGTATTATGGTACATTGGAATCCATCGGATGTGTGGGAAGCTTTCATTTTATTCTATATTTTTCCCTTTTAATTTTCTTGGTGTTTTTCTTCCCTCCTCCTGGGTGTAACGTTTTCATGCACAGATGTCTCCTCGCTCTGCCCGGCGGCGTTGGTCCATACAAGCAATTAACGACTTCCCGGTACTGTGCGCTGTGCAAATGCTCTCCTTAACTAATCCTGTCTCTACCCGAGGCCCAAGAATAAAATGCCACCTGCCTGGCTTTGAGGAACCTGAAATGACAGGCGAGCTGTTTTCAGGACCAGCAACAGTCAATTTTTTGCTTGGGGGAGTTCAGACACCAAGGGCTGCCTCCTTGTCCAATCACAGAGTTTCAAATGGCTAATATTGTCAGGGATCCTGAATGGACTCTTTTGGCAAAGGAAAGTTAATGCTGGGTTTCTTGGAAAGAACCCTGATTGTAAGCCGTTAGCTTACCCAATTTCACTTGGAGCATTTGTGTAATTTTTTGGAGCTTTCAAAAGCCTACCTTTGGCATGGGGGGAGCAGAGGAAGATATAAGAGGCTTCCACTATTTTGTCTCTGCTTTTACAGTCCTGGTCTAGTTCACAGAGGGAGGTGCCCACCTGCTTCATTGGCATAACACGGAAGCTAGCTTTTATCCTTTGGGAAGTTTCTGAAACAAATTTTTTTCCTTACCATCAATATTTTGTGTAGACAGTAAAACCTCCGCTGTGGACATCCTCTTTTCCTTTTCTTTCTTTCTTACTCCTATTGGCCATTTCCCCTCTTCTGTCTTCCTCTCCCATCCCTTCATGTTTCAGTAGTGCCAAGGTGACCTCACGCTGTGCAAGGCAGCCGTGAGGCTTTGTATAAATTTCATTTGGTATAAAGAATATTCAGGGGAATCATCCTATAGCCTTGTCATAGAAAACCAGTTGGAATCAGAAGCCCCGATTAGCAAGTACCACTGCTGCCAACAACTTGTAGGTGGAGCCACCAACGGGGCCACCTTCCAAAAGCCTGTCCCAGCCAACCCGACTGCTGAATTTCCACTGATTGTCCAAAAGTCCCTGCTCCCACTGCTATTTAAATAGGGACTCATTTAGACTCCCTGCCCGCTCTGCGGATTATGCATTGCTAATGGGGTTTCTGCGAAGCAGTTGGTGGCTTATTCTTGGGCTGCTTTTACATTCAACCCATTTATTGGCATCAATGTTGCCTCTGATCGTAGCAGTAACACTGGTGGTACAGTCGCAAGCTGGCTATTGGTTGTCATTCAGTGCTATTTGCACCAATGCCTCCCTCCTGCCCCCCAACCCCCACCCCACTCCGTTCTTCCTTGTCCTCTTTGCCATAACTCCATGAACACCTTCTTGGTTTGTTCAGAGGGGCAGCCTGGTGCTCATCATGTAATAATTTGTCTGTCTTGCTTTGTCTCTTTTCCCTCAATTTCTTCTCATGAAATCTGTGGGGACAGGACATTTTCTATTGATGGAGCATTGAAAGGATCAAATCCTTTTCCTCCCAGAGGTACTAACTTTACTGCATAGAGAGGTATCCATATTTAAGCCCGTCAGAGTGGGACTGGAGCAATGCAGGAGGATCAGGGGCTTTTAGACCATGGCGCCCTTCCCCAGTGCAGAAAGATCAACCACACCTTAGCCTCATGTGTCAGTATGCTCTGGAACCAGAGGATCATAAAAGAAATCCATATGTTATTACCTGGCAGTTGCAGAGACAAGAGAGACTCCAAACATTGCCAGCAAGATATTAAGGGGAAAATTTCTTAGGAGAGAAGTGGATGGAACATGAGTGGTTCTTATTGCCAGAGCACTGGGGAAAATACCCTGAAAAGATGTCCATCTACTCATTAGCTAGCAGCAAAGGCCTAAGACCCCAACTAGTATCTGACCTGATTTGAGATTTCACCTCTCCAGCTAGACAGCCTCGTTAAATTAGAATCCCCAGAGTAATTGGCCAGCAGGCAGGATTACCAAGTGACCCCTGAAGCCTGAAGGGGAGATATTTATGTTTAAAAACCACTAACCAACACATTATAAAAAACCGACAGTGACAGTATTTTGCAGCCCCTTAGAGATTTTTGACAATGTTTTGCAGTTATTTCTTGCTGGATTAAAAAAATTTACAGCACTGTCCCGTAATTGCTTTTACAGTTTGGTTCCGGTAGCAACTCTAATTAGGGTGATCCTTTGTTGGGGAACCTCCCTTATGGCAGGCTTAAAGGCAGCTGAGTGAGGTTTCATAAAGCACCTCTTATCCATCCAATACGGATCAAACAGAAGGACCTAGAAGCCTGGTGTCTCAAGAAGTCCCAGGAAACACAGACTGTGATTTTCATAATTCATTGAAGAATCATTGCAAAAAGTTGCAAAGACCACTGTCTATATTTGCATCAAGTATGGATGGGTCACGTAGGTTTGTTTCTACCGATCTTTGTAACCCAAAGCTGCAAATGGGGGAAGAGTCCCTAAGACATCTCTTTAGACTCTTAGTTTTCTTCTGTCTGAATGTGCCTAATCCTAACAAACCCCAAAGCCTAAACACTGTGAGGTGCCCGGCCTGAAATGCAGCATCTTGGTCTGAATCTGGCCTGCCCCGCTATGAAGCCATGTAGCTGCAGGAACTGCAGATCTTCAGTAGACACTTGGGCTGAGCAGAACAGAGTCACGATGCTGACAGAAAGTGACTAAAGAAGTGAGTCATCGTAGAAGGGTGGAGCTGGACAGGCATCGCTGGAATCCAGTGCCAATCTCCTTCATGCAGAAATGGATCCATTAAAAAATGGACCAAGCAATTTCCATATTAACAGGGAGCTTAGAATTTATTTATTAGTTTTTAATATAAAATTATATACTGAAAATCAAGTTAACAAGAATGAGCTTAGCAGCCTGACAGGCCTGTGTTCAAATCTCAGCGCTGATGGCTGTGACCTAGAGTAAGCCTCATGTCCTCATCTGTAAAGTGGAAGTAGTATCCCTCATCACAGAGCTGTCGTAAGTGAGGCTTATACTAGCACAGAATGAGCAATCCAGGAGCAGGAGCTGATACTGTAAGTCCTCAGTCAAACATTTGTATACTTGGACTTGTGTCATTTGTCAATTTCAAATGGGCTAGTCTGTTTTGCAAATGAACTGCTTTGGGCATATGAATCTTAATTAATAATATGCTTTTATTAGGTTTGTTTTAAAGGTCAGGAAATTGTGAATTTTTTTTTTTTTTTTAGGCAGGGTCTTGCTCTGTTGCCCAGGCTGGAGTGCAGGGGCGCGACCTCAGCTCACTGCAACTTCTGCCTCCCGGGTTCAAGCAATTCTCCTGCCTCAGCCTCCCGAATAGCTGGGACCACAGGTCCACGCCCCCATGCCCTGCTAATTTTTGTATATTTTGTATAGACAGGGTTTCACCATGTGGGCCAGGGCCGGGCTGGTCTCGAACTCCTGGCCTCAGGTGATCTGCCTGCCTTGGCCTCCCAAAGAGTGGGATTACAGGTGTGAGCCACTGCACTTGGCCCATGGTTATTTTCAGTGTGTTCTGTAAGCTAGTAGACCTCATCCTTCATTGAGGCCTTCAATTCAGCTGTGTAGTTAAACTGAACGATAGTGAATTGCTCAATTGTTTAAGTGCTTCTCATTCTCTTTTTGGAATAAAGAACCAGAGTGACTGCCTGGATCGGTGTTTTAGAAGCCTTCCACCCTATCCAGAAGACCAAATTAGATGGATCATATTCCATTCTAGGTGGAATCTTTCTGGCATAGATTTTTTTTTTTTAATCCAGTGCCCTGAGTCTCACTTGAGATGACCAGTTATGTGGGGCCTGTGGGTGTGTTGTTTCCTGGGCTTTTTAAAGTCCTGGAAACCTGAATGAAAATCACAGTGAATGAGCTTGTGTACCTTGTAATTTCCCTGTTCTCGTTAAGCCCCTTGTGCTGTTCACTGTCACTGCAGGGTAGACATAGGCTAAATGACCCTCCCTAAAACAGGCCCTGCCATAGTATTTAGTGCACATGTGACTACGTCTGTCTTAGGTCAGTAACACTGCCTGGCTCCAGCCCATTCTGACAGGTTATTTGCTCTTTAACGTATCCTCCCCTTACTTACACCCATGTCAGGATGATTGTGTCTAAAAGGATAGCACTTTTGTGTGTATGCACATAATTTTTTAGAAAACCAGGGCAAGTAGGAATGGAAGGGCTACCCCATAATAATTGATAAAGCTTCCCCTTGTATTGCAGAATAATGACTTGGGTATGGATAAATGGTAAATAGTCACTGAACTGCTTCTTAAGATCAAATGGGGCCGGGCGTGGTGGCTCATGCCTGTAATCTTAGCATTTTGGGAGGCCAAGGTGGGTGAATCACTTGAGGTCAGGAGTTCAAGACCAGCCTGGCCAATATGGTGAAACCCTGTCTCTACTAAAAATACAAAAATTAGCTGAGTATGATGGTGCATGCCTGTAATCCCAGCTACTCGGGAGGCTGAGGCAGGAGAATCACTTGAACCCCGGAGGCGGAGATTTCAGTGAGCCAAGATCACACCACTGCACTCCAGCCTCAGCAACAGAGCAAGACTCTGTCTCAAAAGAAAAAAAAATAAAAAGATCAAACGGGTTAAAGTTCCAAATTGATAGTGTAACATGCATTTACAAATGATGATAAACAGTTCACAGATACTTCAGCTAAACTTCTTCATTTACCTGCCCTGAACTAACTCCACATGTCCTGAATTTAGTAGGTTCCAAGACACATGATAACCCTATAGGAAGTTACATGCATTGGACAACTTTAGGTATTAAATGGGATATCAGTGGTCAGAAACCCTTTATGGAAGAATGATTGTATAAAAATCACTTACAGAAAATGAATTTATTTGTGAGTAATCTAAATAATGGTCCAATTTAAATTCCTGAGAGTTTATATACATTCATAATAGTTACATGTTTCTAGAGTACACTTTTCCATTTAATTTGCACCCCTGCCTCTTCATTGTACGCTCATTAATCTTGTGAGATTGGAACAACAGAGGTCATGATTGGCCATAAGTTGTCAGTGAGCAAACAAAGTCACATGCCTTAGACTAAATTCATAACAAATAAAAACTTGCCGAGGGTCCTGCTGAGCCAGTACATGTAGTAGTAAGACCTGGAAATCTTGATTTTCTAATTCCAAATTGGAGGCCTTTTTACTAGCTCCTTTTGCCTTTTTTTGTTAATAAATATGTCACTCCTTCCTTAGTTGAATCACTTTGGTGACCCCCTTTTTAACTTCTGGCAATAAAATGGAATCCTGCTCCTTGGTTTGTCATTTTAAAGATTCCAGATGGGGCTGTGCTCTGATAATTCAAGTTTTTCAGGACATCTCTCATTTCACACATACAGGCTCCTCACACATGTAGCCACCCATAGGTAAGCCTGGGGAAATCGAATACTTGCCCACAATCTTCCATGTCTGTTACCCAAGCCCCTTGAATCAGGTATTTTTGACATTGAGAACGATCACTTTTAGAAATAATTCAAGTCTGCCAGAAAAACGGGGTAATTCTCCTCAAGGTGCAAAGTTTCTCTGTTTTCCTACCATATAGATTAAGGTTTGCAGAGCCCACACTGCTATGTCTGCAATAAATTTTCAACAAACCCTGTTCAAACTGCCTAAGGAAAAAAATTTTGATGAGTTTCAGGCAGGAATTTTGAACCTAGGACTGAATTCAATCTAAAAATTGTTCTCCCACATTTTTGTGGCCTTTACTAACTTATTTACTTGCTGTTTTCAAATTCATTAATTAATGTATTAATCCTGGCTTCCTGATATGTGTTTTTGAGCACCTGCAGAATGTATCTAGCCTGGCAGTAGGTGCTTATTTTCCTGTTAGGATTTTTGGAACAAGAGCTCATCCTTTTATTTCCTACAGATGCTGATTCCCATAATTGTGGGCATGATGTAATTTTTAAAAAGTGCAAATTGCCAATGACCCCAATATGATGAGCTCTGCAATTGTTGGTTTCCACTTGTCAAAGTCCCCATTAGTTACATCCTGTCATCTACCCCTAGAAATCAAGACGATGGAAAAGTAAGCGTGAGGGATCAGACTCTGGCAATCGACAGATCAAGGCTGCTGGGAAAGTCATCATCCAGGATATTGCTTGCCTCCTGCCTGTTCACAAATCGCTGGGAGAGCTGTACATGTAAGTACAAAATTTCAAGTCTGCTGCACTCATCATTTAGCCAGGATTAGCAAAACTTTTTTTTTTTTTGAGTGTGGGAATCCTTTCTTCAAAAGCAGTTTTAGGAAAAGCCCAATGTATTAGCTTTCTGTTGCTGTGGACAAATTCCCACAAACTTAGCAGCTTCCAACAACATTCATTTCTTATCTTCCAGTTTTTGTGGGTCGCGAGTCTGGACACAGCTTTTCTGTGTCCTTGCTTAGGGTCTCAGCAGGCTGAAATGGTGTTGGCCAGGCAGTGGTCTCATCCGATGCAAAGCTCCTCTTCCAAGCTTGTTCAGGTTGTCAGCAGAATTCAGACCCTTGCAGCTGTAGAACTCATCTGTAAATTTCGTCTTGAGACCAGCAGGAATGGCTCACACATGCTTTACCTTCCCTCTAAGGCCTCACCTGATGAGGTCAGCCCCACCCAGGATAGTCTCTCTGTAGGTGACTTCAAAGTCAATTGCTTAATAACATAATCACAGAAGTGATATCCCATCAATATTCACTGGTGTCACCCACATTCAAAGGGGGTGGAGTATTGTACAAGGCATGCTACTTTACAAAGCAGAAGAGCTGTTATGCAAAGCAGGGCTACTTTTGTTTGGATGGAAGTGAGAGGTGAGTAATTGGCATGCAGAGGCCACCTGTAGTTCCCCTGCCTCTTCCTAAACTCGAACTCATAACAGAAAGTGTTTCCTTTGTAGTCTACACACAGCACACTACTCTTTCTGTTAGGAACCATAGTCAGTGTCGCATGTATTTCAATTCATTTTTATTCAACCCTCACGGCTTGGGAACTCCATAGAAAAGCTGGTTGGTAAATTGGTATTTGAGTATGGCCTGCCCTCCTGACTTTAAAGAGGTGTGCAATTTCAAGTTCCCCAGGCTGGAACCCACAGATGTATTAGCTTCAGCTCTAGTTAAGCTTTTCCTCTGAGTCAGATAGAAAGGGGGCCCAAGGCCAACGCGGAATAAAACATTTTGAGTGATAACCAAAGAGTCAGGTTCTCATCTGTCTGTTAAACTGGGAGTCGTTGATTTGGGAAGTTACACTAGAAAGAAATGTTTAATTCTTTTTAAAAAATTTCAGATTGAATGTGAATGATATTCAGGAAACATGTCAGAAGAATGCCGCCTCTGCCTTGCTCGTTGGAAGAAAGGATCTTGTCCAGGTATTGTCCATCCCTTTTGGTGGAGATTTGGATTTTTCTTCAGGAGCAAATTGTTTTTACTTTGTCATTGGCATTTAATGACATTTTCAAAGTGTGTGTCTTAATTTGGAATTCATTTTCCATTTTCTTTGCCAGTCTGTAGGGTTAGAGTGGCTTTCCAAATGCTGGAAATTTTTTCTTTTTGGTGCTCAGTTGGGAAGGTCCTAAAGCATCGATGAATTTTTTTAATTATACATCTCTTTTCTGTTCCAGTATCAGTGATTGCTGTGTAGCTAAACTTGCATGTCTATTTCTTTGTCATTTGTTCCTTCTTTCTAAAATGCTTCATTTTATGAAATATTTACCAAAGTGCTCCTTTAGATAGAGATGTTCAGTTTTAAAATATGATTTAACATGACAAATATTTAAATTTTCTTCATCTTTGCAGCAACATATCAGTGTATTATAACAAATTATCTCTGTATTTTTTTAAACGGCTTAACTGAGATATAGCCCATCTACCATGCAATTTGCCCATTTAAAATACACCATTCAGTGGTTTGTTTTTGTTTTTGTTTTTTTTGATGGAGTTTCACTCTGTCGCCCAGGCTAGAGTGCAGTGGCACGATCTCAGCTCACCACAACCTCCGCCTCCCGGGTTCAAGCGATTCTCCTGCCTCAGCCTCCCGAGTAGCGGGGATTATAGATGCGTGCCACCAAACCCGGCTAATTTTTGTACTTTTTAGTAGAGATGGGGTTTCACCATGTTGGCCAGGCTAGTCTTGAACTCCTGGCCTCAAGTGATCCTTCTGCCTTGGCCTCCCAAAGTGTTGGGATTACAGGCGTGAGCCACCACACCCAGTCTTTTTGTTCTTTATGCTCATGTTGAAGATATGTTTACTGTTTTGCAAAGAGTTGCAGAAGTAAATGCAAGAGTCACTGTTTCTGTTGAAGGCATTCAGGAAATGTGTATTATCAGTGAGGAAATAACACGTCTAAATTGTCAGCCAGGGTAGTAAACATCTTATCTCATCCCAGAAAGTCATTAACTTCCTCTAGTGCTGATTCACTAGGTTATTGATTATAGAGATGAATGTGAACTTCAAGTTTCTCCTTTTCGACAATACCTTCTGTATATTTTTCAAGTATGTTGGTGCCACGTGATTTAATTGATTTTGCATGCCTAATGCTTCTCGACCTGTTTCTCAGTATCTTTGTTTGCTTATTCTTTCTCCTTAGATTGTAAACTCCTTGATTCAAAGTCCATATCTTCTTTCTTTTGAGCATCTCAGAGTCTAGTATGTTTTCCAGTTAATGGGCATACAATGCTGTGCTGCTACTGAGAAAGGTTTTCCAGAAAATAGTATTTGATTTTTTTTTTTTTTTTTTTTTGAGACAGAGTCTCGCTCTGTCGCCCAGGCTGGAGTGCAGGGCGTGATCTCGGCTCACTGCAACCTCTGCCTCCCAGGTTCAAGAGATTCTTCTGCCTCAGCCTCCCAAGTAGCTGGGACTACAGGCGTGTGCCACCATGCCCAGCTAATTTTTGTATCTTTAGTAGAGACAGGGTTTCACCATATTGGCCAGGCTGGTCTCGTACTCCTGACCTGGTGATTCGCCCACCTCAGCCTCCCAAAGTGCTGAGATTACAGGCGTGAGCCACAGGGCCCGCCGTATTTGATTTTTAAAGGTATTGAGGGGGTGGGAACTTTGCTTATGACATGATGGGTTTAGCCTGTGCCTTGGACTTAATAGACACTTAGAGGCTATTGGTTTCTGCTCAATGGCTCCAGGCCCCATGGGATTTCAAGTCGGGGAGGTATTCCTCAGATTTGGTGTCAACAAAAAGAAAGCCAAATCCATTTTGTCTTGGCCTATTGTTATTATTGTTACTTTTTAGCTTCAGAGAGGATACTGAAACTTTTATAATGAAGGCAACAAAGTCTTTCATTATTTAGGAAAAGAGGGACAGATCTTAAATGTGTTATAGACTGCCTTTTTTTTCCTCCCTGCCAACCCAACTTACTGATGAAACAGCATTTTAAAAAGTCATGTGAGGCCGGGTGCAGTGGCTCACACCTGTAATCCCAGCACTTTTTGGGGCTGAGGCAGGTGGATCACTTGAGTCCAGGAGTTCCAGACCAGCCTGGCCAACATGGCAAAACCCCATCTCTACTGAAAATACAAAAATTAGCCAGGTGTGGTGGCACATGCCTGTGATCCTAGATACTCGGGAGGCTGAGGCAGGAGGATGGCTTGAACCCAGGAGGCAGAGGTGGCAGTGAGCTGTGATTGTGCCACGGCACTCCAGCCTGGGCGACAGAGCGAGACTCTGTCTCAAAAAAGTAAAATAAAATAAAAAGTCATATGAGTTAGTGGTTAAGTAGATGACCCACTGAAATTATTACACTGTGTCATTTCTCTGATGTTTGCTTAATGAAAAATTTTTAAGCCTAGTGTTTCTCAAACTTTAGAGTGCACATAACTCCCCTAAAGAGTTGGTTAAAGTGTAAACGCTGATTCAGTAGGTCTAAGTGGGGCCTAAACTTATGCATTTCAATAAGGATCCAGCTTTTGCTGCCCCCAATGTAGCAAGGCATCAGGTTTTATATGGAAGACAGGTGGGATTGCTTCATGGTTTCGGTTCTTGTCCTTGCCAGTTTGAGTTTGTATTTCTCTTTGATCTGTCCAGGTTTGGTCGCTGGCTACGGTAGCTACAGATCTTTGCCTTGGTCCGAAATCTGACCCAGATTTGGAAACACCCTGGGCTCGACATCCATTTGGGCGGCAGCTGCTGGAGTCCCTGTAGGTTTTGAGAGCTAAAAATGAGAAAAATGAGTGATGTCCATTTTTGGTCTGTAAACACTTGAAATGTCACCACCTAAGAGAAAGGTGCAGAGGCCCGAGGAATGAAAGGAAGGAGTAGGATCTTTCCTTTCAGTGCTGAAATAATTTCTGTGCAGAACAAACTTCTTATAGCAGACAGAACCATACATTACTTGTCATTTATAACAAGGATTTGAGACCCCTGAGACTCATGTATCCTTTAGAGATTCATGCTTTAGTCCATAAATCACATCAGTCTGAATACAGGAGTTTGAGCTCATGAGATGGTAAGTTTCTTCTTGAAAGCTCTAGGGTCTCACCCTTGAGAATGGATTAGAGAATTGCATGTTGGTGTTCATGTTTGCCAAAGACCACGACGCTTTCACCCTGTTAGGCAATTTGAGAAAACATTGCCTTTGCGTTCAGTTTATTGCACTGACATATGGAAAACTAGGGTATACTATACAAAATAATTTAACACCAAGTAAAACCACTTGAATCTCCATAACTTGGAGGCCCAGGGCCTGGGGAGAGAAACGCTCCTGACTTCAAGTTGAAGTTTGCTTAATTTATGCATTAAGGCCACCCCTGGGACACGTGTTCGTGCTTCCGTTTCCTTGTCACTAACACAGGGATGATAAGGTTTACTCTACTTATTTCGTGTAAGACTCAAATAAGATAGTGAGTGTGAAAACACAAATATTAGACATTGAGTGATAGGAGGACATTAATATTATTCATTCTTAAAGGCAAAGCCCCTCTGATTCCTTACTCACATTCTAGCATAATCTTCCTGAAAGGACAAAGGGGATATGAGTACCTAAAGGACAGAAACACTCCTTGTTGTTCTTACCTAATAGCTCATCTTCATAACTGCACCTCCAGAGTCGATTGCCTGCTAGCATGCTGTGGCGGTCCAGTGTCCTCTGAGCTCCTTCATGTAGCTTTAGGTTATATAAATGACATGTGTGGGAATCCCCCAAAAGCAGTGTGATTCTTCCTTGGAGCTGGGAAGACAGAGCATGTATTGGCTCGCTCAGATGTCAGGTTAGTCCACTTAGTTCTTGGAGAAGCCACATTCATGTTTAAGCCCATGCCTGAAAGTTAGCCAGAGGCTTTGAGATGCGTTCTGTAGATCATTTGTAGTACGTGGATGCCTTATATTCCAAAACAAGTTTAGGCAAACTCAAAGTAGGTCAAACTGCCGGATCTGTAGAAAGCCCCATTTCCTGATGGGTTTTTGAGGCAGAATCAAGACTCCTCCCTTCCCACCCCTGTGGCAGTAACACGCCATGACTGTGACCGCTTTCCTCCTCAATCCCTCCTCCTGACTTGTTTTCTTTCCTCTTATCTTTTCCTCAGGTTGGCTCACTATTGCCGGCTCCGGGATGTTCAGACACTGGCGATGCTCTGTAGCGTGTTTGAAGCCCAGTCTCGGCCTCAGGGGCTACCAAACCCCTTTGGGCCTTTTCCTAACCGTTCTTCTAATCTTGTGGTGTCCCATAGTCGATATGTAAGTTTGTCCTTTTCTGGTTTTGTCTGATTTTTTTTTTTTTTTTTTTTTGAGACGGAGTTTTACTTTGTTGCCCAGGCTGGAGTGCAATGGCATGATCTCAGCTCACTGCAACCTCCGCCTCCTGGGTTCAAGCAATTCTCGTGCCTCAGCCTCCTGAATAGCTGGGATTACAGGCATGCACCACCACTCTTGGTATATTTTTGTGGTTTTAGTAGAGATGAGGTTTCACCATGTTGGCCAGGCTGGTCTCGAACCCCTGACCTCAGGTGTTCCACCTTCCTTGGCCTCCCAAACTGCTAGGATTACAGGCATGAGCCACCGTGCTTGGCCTGCTGTTTTCTTAATGTGAACTGTCATGGGGAATGGTATTCTCATGCTAGTCCTGTTGGTTCTTCTCTTCCCTTCTGTAGCCTAGCTTTACCTCTTCTGGTTCCTGCTCCAGTATGTCAGACCCAGGGCTCAACACTGGCGGCTGGAACATAGGTTTGTATGGAAATGACTTAGCCCACGCTGGATTTTTAGTTCTCCCAGAGCTGTGCATATGTAACCTTTAGTTGATGCTTAGTCTCCATATTTTTTCTTATTTCTTATTTCTCTTTACATTTACTGTGATAGGGATACTCTTGCTGGAGGCCTGACTTTGCATGTTGAACAGACCACGTTCTGGGGGTCTTTGTGCCTTGCTGTGTTGCTTTTCATCTCTTAACCTTGAGAAACTGACAATGGGACTTCCCACTGTTCACCCCCAAAACCTAACCCTTATCCTTTCTCCTTCACATGCTCTTTCCATGTTCATCTGCCACCTACCGCTTCCCATGAATGCTTTCAGTGTAGACAAATACAGCTGGGCCTGACTCCAGTTGATCATAAAGCTGTTTGCTGAGTAAGGTGTATTTGTGTTTCCTGGATTTAAAAAAAAAAAGGTTTTTAAAATGATCTTAATTTTCCTGATATCAAAAGTAGCTCATGCCCAGTGAAGAAAAGCAAGCAAAAAGTATTAGAGAAGAAAATTGTAATTATTGATCTCCCACCTAGGAATAGCGTCCATTAACATTCTAGAACATTTGCATCCATTCTTTGTGTGCAGGAGTGTGGTCATTTGATATATGTGACTTTGTGTTCTATTTTTCATTATATCATGAGCAAATATTGTTCAAAAAGTCCTCGTAAATAATGACTATGTAATGTTCTACTGTATCTCTGTGCCATCATTTGCTTTATTTATTTATTTTTTTTAGTTTTTTGAGATGGACTCTTGCTCTGTCGCCAGGCTGGAGTGCAATGGCATGATCTCGGCTCACTGCCCCCTCTGCCTCCCAGGTTCGAGCGATTCTCCTGCCTCAGCCTCCTGAGTAGCTGGGATTGCAGGCACGCACCAGTACGCCCAGCTAATTTTTGTATTTTTTTAAGTAAAGACATAATTTCACTATGTTCGTCAGGCTGGTCTCAAACCTCTGACCTCAGGTGATCTGCCTGCCTGGGCCTCCAAAAGTGCTGGGATTCCAGGCATGAGCCACAACGCCCAGCCCATCATTTGCGTTAGCATCATGTGTGTGTACTTAGTGATCAAGTTCTCTTAGTAATAAATACCTGCGCAAAAAGGCAAGGGTAGGAGAGAGTTCTATTTAGTTATATTTCTCAGAATATTCAGCCTCGCTTAACATTTCTTCTGGGAAATCCATTGGCCACGTGCTGTCTTATGAGACTCTTCAGATATTTTCCATGCCTTCTCTGATTGCCATCTTCCCTTCCCATTTGATTTTCTTCAGCGGGAAGAGAGGCAGAGCACTTGTCCTCCCCTTGGGGAGAATCCTCACCAGAAGAGCTCCGCTTTGGGAGTCTGACCTACAGTGATCCCCGTGAGCGAGAACGCGACCAGCATGATAAAAATAAAAGGTAACCACCCTCCCAGGTGAGAGCTGCAATGCCAGGACTCCAGGCAGGACTCCAGTTTCTCCACAATCACAACTCTTACTTTTTTTTTTTTTGGACACAGAATCTTACCCGGTCACTAGGTTGGAGTGCAGTGGCGGGATCTCGGCTCTCTGCAACCTCTGCTTCCCAGGCTCAAGTGATTCTCCTGCCTCAGCCTCCTGAGTAGCTGGGATTACAGGCACACGCCACCATGACTGGCTAATTTTTTGTATTTTTAGTACAGACAGGGTTTCACCATGTTGGCCAGGCTGGTCTCAAACTCCTGACCTCAAGTGATCCACCCGCCTCAGCCTCCCAAAGTGCTGGGAGTGACAGGTGTTAGCCACCGTGCCTGGCCAGGACTGTTGCTTTAAGAAGGGTATATTAAGTGCCATTTAGGATGAAGCTTGTTTTTTCTTAAAGGAACTGACAGGAAATCTTTTTAACTTTATCCAGGCTCCTGGACCCCGCCAATACCCAGCAATTTGATGACTTTAAGAAATGCTATGGGGAAATCCTCTACCGTTGGGGTCTGAGAGAGAAGCGAGCTGAAGTGTTGAAGTTTGTCTCCTGTCCTCCTGACCCTCACAAAGGGATCGGTGAGTATGAATTTCTCTCTCTTCCTTTCACTGTCTGAAAGATCCTGTAATTTAATATGTCCACAGCCTCAGACTTGGAATGAAGTTTCAGCTTCTCATTTCTAAGCAGAAATTTCTGAGGCATTTTGAGTCTATTCCAAGCATCTGAAAAGCCCTTGCATTTCGTAACAGGATGAATTTTTTTTTTTTTTTTTTTTTTTTTTTGAGATGGAATCTCACTCTTGTTGCCCAGGCTGGAGTGCAGTGGCGTGATCTCAGCTCACTGAACCTCTGCCTTCTGGGTTCTAACTTCTCCTCCCTAAGCCTCCCGAGTAGCTGAGACTACAGGCGCCTGCCACCATGCCTGGCTAATTTTTGTGCTTTTAGTAGATGGGGTTTTACCACGTTGGCCAGGCTGGTCTCGAACTCCTGACCTCAGGTGATCTGCCTGCCTCGGCCTCCCAAAGTGCTGGGATTACAGGTGTGAGCCATGGCGCATGCCCAGGATGCAGTTTCTATTGCAACAGAAGTAGTTGATATACAGTACTCCAGCGCGGATGAGAGGGATGGATATTTCTTCATTTATTCCACTGTGTGTCCGACTCCTCTTAGGCACAGTGCCCACACATTCCTTCCCCCCATGGAGCTTACAGCTGAGTAGGGGGGAAAATTAAGTAATTTCAAATTGTGATAAATATTCGCAAGCAAACAGAAACGATGTGGGGGCAGGGAGAACAGAGAGGGAGAATCTTAGAAGAGGAATTGAGGTGTGTTGAGAAGGCCTCCAAGGAGCTGAGGTCTGAAGGTTTAAAGGAACCGTGGAGCCATCGGTGCAGAGTGGTGAAAAGAGCATCCCACACTGAGGGACAGGCCCCAGGGAAATGACTGTCGTTGTGAACAAGCGAAGGAAGGTGGCGTGGTGTGGTTGGAGTACAGTGGGGAGAAGAGTGATATCAAATTAGAGTGTAGAGAACTTAGGGTTATATCAGGCAGGGGCTTGTAAGTTGCGGTAAAGAATTTGGATTTGGCCGGACGTGGTGACTTACGCCTGTAATCCCAGCACTTTGGGAGGCCAAGTCAGGCAGATCACTTGAGGCCAGGGGTTTGAGACCAGCCTGGCCAACATGGTGAAACCCCGTCTCTACTAAAAATACGAAATTAGCCAGGCGTGCTAGTGCACACCTATAATCCCAGCTACTCAGGAGGCTGAGGCAGGAGAATCGCTTGAACCCAGGAGGCAGAGGTGGCAGTGAGCCAAGATCACGCCACTGCACTCCAGCCTGGGTGACAGAGCGAGACTCTGTCTCAAAAAACAAAAAGAATTTCAATTGTATCCAAGTCCAATGGTAAGCTTCCAAGGGCATAAGAAGTAAGCAGTGTGCTTTGGGTTGTGTTTTAAGAGGGTCACTGTGGCCTTCCTACGAGGAAAGGATGGGAGGAGGGCAGATCAGAAATAGGAAGCCCGTTCAGAGACGTTGTAGCGGTCAGAGGCAGACAGCCCGGTCTGAGGGTGGCATCGCTAGAGTTGGAGAGAGATGATGGATGGGTTAAAATATATTTTAGAGCTAGACTCAGTGTGACTTGTTTATAACTTGGATGTGGGATCAGGAAGAAAGATGAAACTTGGACGATTCCTAGATTTCCAGCATGAGCAACTGGGTCATTGGCAGTACCAGCTTCCCAGATGGAAACGACTGGAAGAACACTGTGGGCTTAGGTTGGGATAGTCAGTGATGTGTGTGAGATATCGGACTGGAGAAGTTGCATAGGCGGTTGGATGTGAGTTGGGCTCTCAGAGAAGAGATTGGGGCTAGAACTGGGAATTTGGGGATCCCCAGCATGTGGATGGCATTCCAGCTGTGGGAATGGGTGTGTTGACCCTGGAGCTGGGGCTGGGAAGGAAGAGTGCAGGGAGAGGCCATCTGCGCTGGGCCTTGAGAGAAACCAATACCTGGAGCTAGGGTCGTAGAGGAAGAGCAAGGCAGAGAGAGTTAGAATGAGACCCTAATGAGTGTTGAGGAAAAGCAAGACTGAGCAGGGAGAGGTGTTTTACAGAATGAAATGGAAGGCTGCCAAATGTAGTGGACTAAACATACACTGATCTCCTCTTCTCCAGGACCTCACCAAAATGTCTGTACAGAGCTCTTCTGAAAAGCCTAATTGTACAAGAAGTAATGTTGGCAGTAACATTTGGAATCTGGGAAGTGGGTAGCTTAGTGGCAGCTGATTTTGCAGGGCATGATAAAGCTGAACCCTGAACTGTTGTCGGAAGTACAAAACACTGCAGAACCCTCACGTGGCTCAGGGACCTCTGGACGTGGCTTTGACAGTGAGATTAAAAACCGGGGTGTGGCCGGGTACGGTGACTCACGCCTGTAATCCCAGCACTTTGGGAGGCTGAGGTGGATGGATCATGAGGTCAGGAGATTGAGACCATCCTGGCCGACATGGTGAAACCCCATCTCTACTAAAAATACAAAAATTAGCCGGGCGTGGTGGTGCGTGCTTGTAGTCCTAGCTACTCAGGAGGCTGAGGCAGGAGGATCACTTGAGCTCGGGAGGCGGAGGTTGCGGTGAGCCGAGATTGTGCCACTGCACTCCAGCCTTGGTGACAGAGTGAGACTCTGTCTCAAAAAAAAAAAAAAAAAAAAAAGCAAAAAACAAAAAAACGAAAGAAACAGTTAAATAAATGGAAAGGATTTCATCTAGGGAGCGATGGGGTGGGCAGTGGCAGGGAATGCTGGGTTTTGTAATAAGATGCATAGAATGATTTGACTCTTTTAAGTTGTGTAGGTATAGTTTCTTTTCCCTTCTTTTTCTTTTCTTTTCTTTCTTTCTTTCTTTTTTTTTTTTTTTTTTTTTTTTTGAGACAGTGTTGCTCTGTCGCCGAGGCTGGACTGCAATCATGCGATCTCGGCTCACTGCAACCTCTGCCTCCCAAGTTCAAGTGATTCTCACACCTCAACCTCCCCAAGTGGCTGAGACTACAGGCGCCCGCCACCACGCCACTTGTATTTTTAGTAGAGATACTACAATACAATACAATTAATAGGAATTTTTAGTAGAGATACTAAAATACAATACAAATACCACTTGTATTTTTAGTAGAGACGGGGTTTCGCTATGTTGGCCAGGCTGGTCTCGAACTACTGGCCTCAAGCGATGTGCCTGCCTCGGCCTCCCAGAGTGCTGGGATTACAGGTGTGAGACACCATACCTGGTAATTGCTATTTGAAGAAACAAACTAGAATAATACGTAGGTTTAGGTAGTGACTTTCAAGGATTATTTTAATAGGGATTATGTTGGTATACGTACTTGAAGAAATGTAAAGGCACAAAATGCTATTTGGGCAACATATTTTTTCAGAGCATCTAAATGTATGAAAGTATCTCAGGAAAAGATTAATGATGGCCTGGAGCAATTTGTCTTTTAAAAATTAGTTTTCAGGAAAACACCTGAATCATGGAGATACAGAGCTCATGTATCAAACCATCAGTCAGCTAAACCCTTATTGACATCTGCTATTATAAAGTGTCATGCGGGATTCTGTGGGATGTACAAAGAAATACAAAGTGTGGTTTGGTGGGTCAAGATGTCTGTAGTGCAGTCAGAGAGAATGAAGTATAAACTCAGGAAGACTTAATGATAGTTAAGGATGAATAATGTATCCTAATTCCAATAAAACCAATGTCACAAGATTTATAAAGCAGGGCAGGATTGTGAAAGATGGACTCACAGACAAAAGCAGTAAAAGAAGTATTTTCCTTTTTTTTTTCTTTTTTTTCTTTTTTTTTTTTTTTGAGACGGAGTCTTGCTCTGTCACCCAGGCTGGAGTGCAATGGAACAATCTCAGGTCACTGCAACCTCCCCCTCCTTGGTTCAAGCGATTCTCCTACCTCAGCCTCCTGAGTAGCTGGGATTACAGGCATGTGCCACTACGCCCAGCTAATTTTTAAATTTTTAGTAGAGACACGGTTTCACCATGTTGGCCAGGCTGGTCTCGAACTCCTGACCTTGTGATCCACCCACCTGGGCCTCCCAAAGTGCTGGGATTACAGTCATGATCCCCCACACCCGGCCAAGAAGTATTTTCATTTGC
Source organism: Homo sapiens (assembly GCF_000001405.40). Classification (NCBI taxonomy): domain Eukaryota; kingdom Metazoa; phylum Chordata; class Mammalia; order Primates; family Hominidae; genus Homo; species Homo sapiens. The sequence continues at coordinate 74,881,573 of NC_000016.10, read as the reverse complement.
AAAGTTTTACAATGTAGTCCTGACTTTGGAGGAACTGGGCTGCTTCAATACAGGACACAGCAGGTATTGAAAGAAAAGTATAGGCTAGGTGCAGCTGCACACACCTGTAATCCCAACACTTTGGGAGACTGAAGCAGACAGATTGCTGGAGTCTAGGAATTCGAGACAAGCCTGGGCAACATGGAGAAACTGTCTCTAAAAAAAAAAAAATTAAAGAAAAAAAATACCCCAAGGCTGTCAAGGCCACAGGTCTTCTCTTTGCACTGGAAAGGCAGCAGTTTCCTCTGTGGTAATCTTGTCTGCAAGGGTCATCCCATATCCACAGACTTCATCATAGCAAATTTGAGTTAGTTTCATTGGGATTCAATATTTACAGACGGGGCTCATGGTTTCATTCATTTTGTGGGGATATTGCTAGATAGAGTATTCCCTTAAAGAAAGTCTCAGGATATAAGATGATTTTTTGTTGTTTTTGTTTCTGACTGTGGTATATGATGCGCTTGGTCTTAATGGTGGCAGAGCAAAGCGATCGCTTTCCCAGCCACCCCATGGGGAGAATTCCCTCCATAGAGGTAGAGATCTGCTCACCTAAATTTCGTTCAACAGTTTACTGGTTCAGTATATTCATTTAACGTCTTATTTATTTGGCCAGTTTTATTTACTTTTGTGTAATAGGTGATGTTGATTAATACACAAAACTTTTTGTTGTATGGTTAACAAACTGGAGCTGTATGACCCTGCACCTTTGGAGTTTACTTCCTCCTGGAAGTTTTGAAAAGCCTTGGAATCATACTTTGATTGTTCTATGTGCTGGGAGTATTTTTATGGTCTTCATTAGTTTGTCCGTTAGGACCCAAGAATGATTCATTTCACCTCTATCAAGTTTCACCTGCAAAACCTATCCTGTCGTCCTGTGCCTCTTACCTGTGATCCTCAGGGTAGTCAGTGTTTCTGGCCTGTCAGGAAATGACATCTGTACTTTGTGCAAGGCTGGGATTCCCTAGGCCAAAGAAGTTTCCTGGGAGGACTTGTGGGCTTCATGTCCACATATGAAGCCATCTCCTCCCCTTCATAATGGCTTATCATACCTAACTTATTTTTTTAATTAATTAATTTATTTATTTTTGGAGACAGAGTCTCACTCTGTCCCCCAGGCTGGAGTGCAGTGGCGCGATCTCGGCTCACTGCAAGCTCCGCCTCCCAGGTTCACGCCATTCTCCTGTCTCAGCCTCCCGAGTAACTGGGACTACAGGCGCCTGCCACCACTCCTGGCTAATTTTTTGTATTTTTAGTAGAGATGGGGTTTCACCATGTTAGCCAGGATGGTCTCGATCTCCTGACCTCATGGTCCTCCTGCCTCGGCCTCCCAAAGTGCTGGGATTACAGGCGTGAGCCACTGCACCCGGCCGTATCATACCTAATTTAAATGAGATTTGAATCTAAATGTGACATTTTGGGCATGACCTTGGCTGTAAATCTGATCTATCCATGTATATCATGATAAGGAGGAAGGCAGCTTCTTTTATTTTTAATTTTTTAAATTTTTATAAAATAGAAACAGAGTCTCACTTTGTTGTCCATTGTGGTCTCAAATTCTTGGCTTCAAGTGATCCTTCCACCTCAGCCTCCCAAAGTGCTGGGATTAGAAGCATGAGCTGCCACACCCAGCCCCAGCAGACTCTCACTGAACCTGTATATTTTGTCATGAAAAGAAAAGGCCTTTGTGTGGTACTTACCCATTGTTCTGAGCATTTTTGCAGATGAGGTTAATCAACATATGATATTTCCTATGGGGTTATTGTTCTAAGGTTTTCCTGGTGATTTGATATCTTATAATCTATATTAAGATCTTTTTTGGTTTTTTTTTCTCCTGAAGGTAATTAGAACAAGATACTATTTCCAGAGTGTTTCATTTCAATGTATATAACGTGTTAAACTGAGGGTAGAGATGGAGCAAGAAAGAAGAAAGAATGTTTTCTCCTTTCTAGTAGAAAATAGATCATTAGCCAGAATTAAATTTTTCCATCAGTTGTATTCAGTCCCTGCTAAGTAATTCTTGTTCTAATTGTCTTGGATTCTCTACCCATCTACTTTGACTGAAGTCATCTGCTTCTGAACCAAAAAGTCCTAGAAATCCTGATCCATTCCACAGTCTGACAAGTGTCTCCTGGTGGTAATGCTGTCAGCTTATTTGTTTGGCTTGTTTGTTTGTTTTTTGAGACAGGGTCTCACTCTGTCACCCAGGCTGCAGTGCACAGGCATGATCACAGCTCACTGCAGCCTCGACCTGCTGAGCTCAACAATCCTCCCACCACAGTCTCCTAAGTAGCTGGGACCACAGGCATACACCATCATGCCCGGCTAATTTTTAAAAAAATGTTTTTGTAGAGATGGAGTCTTGCCATGTTGCCCAGGCTGGTCTCCAACTCCTGGGCTCAAGCGATACCCCCACCTCGGCCTCACAAAGTGCTGGGATTACAGGCATGAGAAGCTGCTCCTGGTCAGTGTCAGCTTATTTGGAAAGTTGGTATTCAGGAATCTCTTCAGTAATATCAGTAGTGAAGAGTACCTTTAATAGTGCCTAAAGAGGCTTTATTTTGACATGTTTTCTCTAAGTTTCTATTTCTGGCCTATAGTTTATAGGAAGCGACTTTAGGCAAGTGTGAGGCAAAAGCCGAAACCGGCAATTGGCAATAAAGCGAAATGGCTCTGGCTAGTTTATGATAACAATATCCTATGGAGCAGAATCATTTCCTAAGGATTCAGTCAGTGATTCCCCAACACTAAAATATTTTGGACACTGAGGACGTTGACAAATCTCCAGGCTCTTTTAATTCATCCCGTAAAATGTTTGTAAGGTTATTGCCAAACGAAAGGAGTACTATATTTTCTTTTTACTTTTGTTTTCTTTTTTTTGGCGAGGGGGTGGGAACAAGGTCTCTCTCTGTCACCCAGGCTGGAGTGCAGAGGTACAGTCTTGGCTCACTGTAACCTCCACCTCCCAGGTTCAAGCAGTTCTCCTACCTCAGCCTTCCAGGTATTACAGGTGTGCGCCGTCACGCCCAGCTAATTTTTGTGTTTTTAGTAGAGATGGGTTTTGCCATGTTGGCCAGGCTGGTCTCGAACGCCTGGCCTCAGGTGATCCACCCACCTTGGCCTCCCAAAGTGCTGAGATTACAGGCGAGAGCCACGGCACCCGGCCAAGTACTGTATTTTTATTTTAAACATAAAACAAATTTAAAAAATAAATTTGTTGAAAGATATGCCAGTCTTTGTAATAGATATGAGTATCCTTCAATTGATCTTGAAAGAAGTTGCTGAAAAATTCCCATTAATAATCTTGTACTTGAATACAGTTCCCCAGGGAGGTTGAACTTCCCTATTTGATTTCTTACATTGTGGGTTTAATAGATACGAGAGCTCTTACAATAATGCTAAACCAATTAAAAGTATAGAGAATACAAGACATTCCCAGTCATGTCTGGCTTCCTCCTTCCTATAGTGAGGGAACAAATCTGTAGTGTTGGCCACTTGTCATTTGGGGAGTTATACAGGTAGCTGACGTTTATAGTAGAGAGTGAGAGCTTTATTCTTCCAAATTTGGGAAAGGGCAGTTTGAGAAAGAGTTGTCAGAGGTGATTGGATATAAGCATAAGTTATTACATGCCTAAAGACAAGACATTGCAACATACTTGGTTCAGAATGATGTTATTTAAAATAAACACAGCAGGCGGGGCGCGGTGGCTCACGCCTGTAATCCTAGCACTTTGGGAAGCCGAGGCAGGTGGATCACCTGAGGTCAGGAGTTCGAGACCAGACTGGCCAACATGGTGAAACCCCCTGTCTACTAAAAATACAGAAATTAGCCGGGCATGTTGGCAGGCGCCTGTAGTCCCAGCCACTCAGGAGGCTGAGGCAGAAGAATCGCTTGAATCAGGGAGGCGGAGGTTGCAGTGAGCTGAGATCGCACCATTGCACTCCAGCCTGGGTGACAAGAGCGAGACTTCGTTTCAAAATAAATAAATAAAAATCAATCAATCAATAAATAAACAGAGCAGTAAATAATTAAGAACCCTAGACTTTTCAGAAGTAGACTTTTGTTTAATGTGATTCAAAAGCATGACAAAAAACACCAAAAATTAACCAGCTGTCAAGTGAGATAATTTTGGTGCTGTAAGGAACCTCTCTTATCCAGGCACAGAATCACATTTGACATTTTCTTCGTCACTGAACAGTTTTCTTTGGAATTGTTGTTTTTTTCCTCTTAAAGTGTATATCGTTTAATTTTGTTTAAAAATGTTAAGATACCTTTGTGTGTTTGTGTGTGTGTGTGTGTTTTGAGATATACACAAAACCAGCAAATTTAAATCTTTTAACTTTAAAATATACTGACTTATCAGCACATTCAGTAAGACAATACCCTCACCGCGTTGATTGATCGTTTTAATAAAACTGGAACATTTCCCTTGATGAACTAATAGAACACATCAATTATCTTGAATACAGATTCATATCTCATACTTGCAAGTGGTATCTGCTTTGCAATTTGTATCTAGTGTAGCCCCAGCCTCCCAGAGTCATTCTTCTTCCCTCAGAGACCCAGAGAAAACCTGGAACCATTAGCGACCGGCACGATTAGTGGATTGTCAGGGATATTCCAAAGGCAGCCAGGTGTGAGACACCTTGCCAGCTCTGTTTTTGGGAACACATTCCACATCCCTTTGTATGCCCTGAAGTGGTGAGAGGAAGCACGCACCAGCAAGGCCCACGGGCATCTGCCTATCCTTCTCAATCGGTTCATACGCTGAGCCATTCCATTGTGTATATACAGGGCAGAGGCAAGGGAGAGCGTCCTGGGGCTTTTATGTTTTCTGTCTTTGTGAATTTAGATCTCCTTAGAAATTGTCCAGATCCCCCCAAAGATCATTCGCTAATTAACGAAATGAAATATTAGTTCAGGGTCTTAAAGTTAATAAGGATCTTGAAAACTATATTTAATCCGATTCACTGTAGAGAAACACAATTATTAATGATACTGTGAGATGACATTTTAATAATTTTACCCAGATAGATATGGAGAATAATTAAGTTTACAGTTATCTCAAGTACCAAGGAACAAACCCTTTTAAACATTAGAATTAAATTTACCTGAACACACAATATTTACATTCTCATAATGTTGGCCAATAAAACCAGTAATGAAAATTTGAGAGTTTTCAACTAATTAGGCTTTTCATGAGAACATAACCAAAGTTTGTACATAATATAAAAAATTATGCTTAGAGGGAGAAGACATAGCTATTTTTAAACCAAAATTTTCAAACCAGTCTGATTTGTCTCAAGATTTGCCTTAATTGGAACTATCATAAAATATGCCCTTAGGTACCACATATCAGAGGAGTTTTTATTGGCCTTTTTTTTCTGACCACCAGTTGTCATTCAACAGAGCAGCCAGTTCTGCTAGAAGAAAGGACCCTCCCTCTGTTGTAAGAGGGAAGGAGAGGTGGGAGATTGGAAGATGCGTGGTGTAACGACGAAGGGAAGTGAGAGACGAGGCTGGCAGGTGCAGGAGCCGGGAGAAAAGGCATGAGGGAAGAGTTTGCAGAACGTGGTGGAGGCCCGAAGTCACCATCTCGGGGACAGAAGGGAAACACAGGCTCCGCGCAGGGCTAGGTGTTGTGTCCGTTGGTGATCGCGTGTATGAAGTGAGATGCATTTCTTGAACATGGGCCTTTCTCCAGGATTGCTCAGCCTCTTGTGGGCAGGCATGGAGTGGGCAGGTGATATGGGTCATCCAGGGTAGAGGTTTTGCCAGGTGGTGCAGGAGATGGGCAAAGGAATTGAAGGCATTTGCAAAATAAGTGATTATAAAGTGAGTCCATGTAATTCAGGTTGGCCAAAGGGCAAATTGCAGCTAGAAAGGGGCAGGTGGACTGAAGGGTTAGTGGTGATGGGTTAGGGATGAGGGCAAAGACCTGAATGGCCGGGTGGGCACTGGGTTAGTGGTGTAGGTTTGGGAGACCTCCAGGATCATCTAAGAACTGGGGTAGAGAGAAAATTGAGAGCCAAGAACAAGTCTTCAGTGAGTGGGGGTGTGTCTCCAGAATGTCCTCAGATGACACAGAGAAAAGGGGGAAAGGCTGGTGAAGCTGGATGACATTGGCCTCCAGCAGAAAGGTCAGTCTGGAGGCAGCGATGGGACACAGTCCCCACCCACTGCCCCTGCAGTCAGAGGACTTAAGCAAGAAATGGCCTTTCATCCAAAAGCCAGCAGAGGCAGGAGGGTCAGGTGATGAGGGGACTATTGCCAGCAGAGTAGATAGAGCAGGTTTTACTCAGGGTAGCCCAGTGGAACCAGTCCCCGCCCGGCGGTGGAGCGGCATCCCGGTGTCCTGACTTGGGCCAGTGGCGAGTGGGCAGTAGCAGGCGTTGGTAAAGCCAGTCTGCCCTCTGCTGAAGTGTTACTGCTGAGTCATTCAGTTCTTTCAGCTGATACCTGTTCAACACCTCCTGCGTGCCAGGCCCTGCCAGCCGTCGGGGTGGGAAGAGGCATCAGACGCAGCTGCCCCCTGCTGTAGGGCACTGGGTTTCCATGCGGAGCCCCTGAGAAAATACAGTACTCAGCAGCTGGGTGCAGTGGCTCAGAAGAAGGAGTTCTGGTGTAAAAAAAACAAAAAAAAACAGGCTGGGCACAGTGGCTCACGCCTATAATCCCAGCACTTTGGGAGGCCAAGGCAGGTGGATCACCTGAGGTCAGGAGTTCGAGACCAGCCTGGCCAACATGGCGAAACCCCGTCTCTACTAAAAATACAAACTTAGCTGGGCGTGGTGGCAGGTGCCTGTAATTCCAGCTACTCGGGAGGCTGAGGCAGGACACTTGAATCCGGGCTGTGAAGGTTGCAGTGAGCCAAGATTGCACCATTGCACTCGAGCCTGGGTGACAAGAGTGAAACTCTGTCTCAAAAAGAAAAAATAAAAATAAAAAAAACAGAAAATGAAAACCACTGGTCTAAGAGAATCTGCTAGAGTCTTGAGAGGAAGACTTCCTTCTTCCTGGCAAGCCCCAGTTTCCTTTTTCAGAACTAAACTCATGCTGCCTCTTGTTTTGCCCGTCCCTGCCCATTTCCAGAGTTCGGCGTGTACTGCAGCCACTGCCGGAGTGAGGTCCGTGGCACGCAGTGTGCCATCTGCAAAGGCTTCACGTTCCAGTGTGCCATCTGTCACGTGGCTGTGCGGGGATCGTCCAATTTCTGCCTGACCTGTGGGCACGGTGGCCACACCAGCCACATGATGGAGTGGTTTCGGACCCAGGAGGTGTGTCCCACCGGGTGTGGGTGCCACTGCCTGCTTGAAAGCACTTTCTGAACCTACAGAAGTTGGGTATTGTCTGAAATCCCAGAGGACCCATAAGTGCCGGTGACAAGCTGTCTGTCAGGGGAGAGGCTCCAGAACCTGGGTTCGTCCCCAGTGAGACCGGAGGATGATCCCCCAAGGACTGCGCAGCATCAGCTCTTGGTGGGCCTCTGCCTTCTCTTCTGTTTGGCCACCTGGTGTGGATGTCACTGTGTGAAGATAAGGACAGAAGTGCAGAGCTGCGCTTTGTGTGTTGTCTATGTCGGCTGAGCTACCAAGGTGGAAGTTTTCATGGAGAAAAGCACCTGGCTCCAGGGCCAGTGTTACAGTGTTACCCTGTAAGGTGTTAGCCTTAAACCACCGAGCAGCGTTCTCTTGATGCCAGTGCAGAGACCAGAGTCAGATGCCCGAGGACAGTGGGTAGGAATTTCATCAACAAATGGACCTATGGCATCATGGCTTTAGAAGCTGGTACATTTACTGAGCTGATGGACAGTGGCCTTCTAAAATATGACACTTAAATTGTAAATATGCACTGTACTTAAGGATTCTTAAGATGTATTTTTTTGTTATTTCTCCTCCAGCTGCTATCCCTTGGCTAATAAAATTCTAGTAATTTGAAAAAAAAAAAAAAGAGAGAAAGTTAAACAACATTATGGTGAATCATTTTTTACCCTAATTCTAATTGAAGGTAGCTATTTTGAATAGGACCAAAGTCAGTGCTCCGATTTTTAAAGGAAATGCTGATTTACTTTTGTCATCTGACAAGAGAAAATGGAATTTGACATTTAAGGTTCTTCCTAGCCCCAAGAGTCTTATTTCTTCTAGCAAAAGGAGGACAAGATTGCCGTGCAGCATGGATAGAAAAGTCTCCCTGGCCAGGCCCCATGGCTCATGCCTGTAATCCCACACTTTAGAAGGCAAAAGTGAGGGGATCACCTGAGCTCAGGAGTTCGAGACCAGCCTGGGCAACATAAGGAGATCCCATCTCTGCAAAAAATTTAAAAAATAGGCCGGGCACGGTGGCTCATGCCTGTAATCCCAGCACTTTGGGAGGCTGAGGTGGGAGGATTACCTGAGGTCAGGAGTTCGAGACTAGCCTGGCCAACATGGTGAAACCCCATCTCTACTAAAAATAGAAAAATTAGCCGGGCATGGTGGCGGGCGCCTGTAATCCCAGGTACTGGGGAGGCTGAGACAGGAGAATCGCTTGAACTTGGGAAGCAGAGGTTGCAGCGAGCTGAGATTATGCCATTGCACTCCAGCCTGGGTGACAAGAGTGAGACTCTGTCTCAAAAAAAGAAAAAAAAAATTAAAAAAATAGCCGGGTGTGGTGGCACATGCCTGTGGTCCCAGCTACTTGAGGGGCCGAGGTGGGAGGATCACTTGAGTCCAGGAGGTTGAGGCTGCAGTGAGCCTTGATTGCACCGCTGCACTCCAGCCTGGGCAACAGAGTGAGACCCTGTCAATAAACCAAAGTCTTCCTTGCCTCTGTTCAGATGGGCTGGGTTCCAGTGAGTGCCCTCACTCTTCCTTTAGGCTCCCTCGCAAACTGCCTGTGTTTGCCTGTGTTCTGAGTAGTTATAACATCTGTGTCCACCAATTCTTCAGAATGATTTTCTTTTTTAAAGTTAAATTTTTTTTTTTTTTTTTTAGAGAGAGAGACAGGGTCTCACTCTGTCACCCAGACTGGAGAGTGGTGATGCAATCATAGCTCACTGTAGCCTCTATCACCTGAGCTCAAGTGATCCTCCCACCTCAGCCTCCCGAGTAGCTGGGACTACAGGTGTGCACCACCATGCCTGGCTAATTTCAGAATGATTTTCAACTTCACATTTTGTATGTGCCAGTGAAAAGAAATCTTTTTTATTATTTCTACTGAAATATCTATTTCTGTTTCTTAGAATTTTACAGTTCCAAGTAGATTAGCTTAGGGACTAGGACATGTCTCATAATGGGAGAGCATTGCATATTCATGTGTTTCAAACTCCAGGTCAGGACCCATTAGTGGATTGTGACATTGATCTAGTGCGGAAAACCAGCATTTAAAAAAATGAAATGGTGTAAGAGAAAAATGATCACAATGTACCATACATAGCTAAGGAAAATGTTTTGTGTAACTTGTTTACGTGTGTGCAGCACATGTGTGCACAGGTGTATACCGGATCATAGCGTAAATTCATTTCTTACTGAAAGTTGTAGTCAAAACATTTTCACAACACTGTTTTGGATGAAGCTTATACCTCGTCCCCTGTGTTACTGGGCACAAAACTTCAGGATGTAAGAAAGAACTGAGATCCTGTGCAGTGGAACCAGAGGTTTAGTGCTGGGCTCTGGTCTGAGGTAAGGTGCCAGTGTCTCAGTAGCGTGAGCAGGGCGGGGGAGCCGCTGGGAGGATGACAGGAGAAGGCCCAGCCGGGAATTTGCATACACAAATTCTGTTGTAATGGTGATCACAGAATAGGTTGGCTGATTTACACAGAGAGAAAGGATCTGTTGTGTTCCTCAGTGAAATCACACCATTTGCAGAGAGCAATCTTTTCCTGTTCCCCACTGCTCAAGTTAGTGTAAAAACCTGTCCCTATCTGTCCCCATCAAGAATGAGATGTTTTTCTTGTTTTATTGTTGGAGGAACATTGACTTTCAAAATTGAAAAACCTTAATGGTGTGAAGAAATTTCGAGTTTAAAATATTACATAATGTCATCCTTCAATACGGAAATTCCTTTTGAATTTCCAAGTTACCAGAACAAAAGTCTAATATTTTAAAATATTCATGTTTGGAAACAGGTTGGTTGTCTGGTTGCGGGCCATGGCCGATATTCTCTCAGCCGCAGAATAGATGATTACAAGCACCTGAGTCTTTTGTTTGTTTATTTGTTTTTAAGAGCAATACAAGGCCAAGTGGGGTGGCTCACGCCTGTAATGCCAGCACTTTGGGAGGCCGAGGTGGGTGGATCACCTGAGGTCAGGAGTTCAAGACCAGCCTGGCCAACATGGCGAAACCCTGTCTTTACGAAAAATGCAAAAATTTTCCGGGTGTGGTGGCGGTTGCCTGTAATCCCAGCTACTCAGGAGGCTGAGGCAGGAGAATCGCTTGAACCCGGGAGGCGGAGGTTGCAGTGAGCCGAGATTGTGCCACTGCACTGCAGCCTGGGTGACAAAGCAAAACTCCGTCTCAAAAAAAAAAAATGAATAAAGGCAATACAAGCTATGTTTGAAAGTACCTTTGCAAGAAAACAGGCCCAGCAGTCGTATTTGTGCACCAGAAACAAAAGGTTGCTCAGGCAGGATACTGGAAAGGATGGGGGAAGGGGCGAGCCTCAGGGCAACCACCAGGTTGACTATTTGTCCCTGTCCCTAACCCCCCCAAGACACAAATGGTATAATGCTTTCTTTGGTAATGTCACATAGATAGAATTGATGTTGCTTTAACAATTTTTTTTTTTTGAGACAAAGTCTTGCTCTGTCACCCAGGCTGGAGTGCAGTGGTGCGATCTCAGCTCACTGCAGTCTCTGTCTCCGAGGTTCAAGCGATTCTTCTGCCTCAGCCTCTTGAGTAGCTGGGATTACAGGCGTGTGCCACCATGCCCAGCTGTTTTTTGTATTTTCAATAGAGACGGGGTTTCACCATGTTGGCCAGGCCAGTCTCAAACTGCTGACCTCAAGTGATCTGCCCGCCTTGGCCTCCCAAAGTGCTAGGATTACAGACGTGAGCCACCGTGCCCAGCCAACAATGTTTTGTTTAATTTAATACAAAAATGCATTCAGTCTGAAGACGCCAAGTTCACCTACTGGGAGCTCGTTCCCTTACTCAGTGGTTCCCTGGGTGGCTGGTAGGATTGGGGAGAAAGCCAGCTCCTTTTTAATGGTTTAGTGCAGCAGGAACTCAGGAGAGGACCTAGGCTATAGCCACCCTAGTGTCGGGGTCTTTGAGATGGAGTCTCTCTCTGTTGCCCAGGCTGGAGTGTAGTGGCACATGTGATGTCTGCTCACTGCAACCTCCATCTCCCAGGTTCAAGTGATTCTTGTGCCTCAGCCTCCTGAGTAGTTGTGATTACAGGCGTGCGCCACCACACCCGGCTAATTTTTTTTGTATTTTTAGTAGAGACGGGGTTTCACCATGTTGCCCAGGCTGGTCACCAACTCCTGACCTCAAGTGGTCTGCCCGCCTCGGCCTCCCAAAGTGCTGGGATTACAGGCATAAGCCACCATGCCTGGCCCCTGAACAATTTCTTAAAGGGTTGGTTTTGCTAATTGTGGCAAAATAGTTCAGCAAACAGGGTGACAAATCACACCCTCTTTTTTATGGCTCATCTTTGCGTGCCCAGCCTCAAGGTGGCGCCAGCCATGGGGTATGATTCACGCATCCAGTGGCGGGTCCTGGGCGTGGGGGAAACACACTTGGCTTTCTGCATCCTTCTTAGAATCTAATGGCTTTGTCAGAATCAGAACTAAATCTCCCATGTTGGCATTCTGTCACATTGGCAAGTTTATGTCGCCACAATATCACTAATTTAGTATTTCTTCCTCAAGTCTGAGAAGGTCTGATACAATTCATCAAGTACTGGACATGAGAATAGACACTTGGGCAAAGATGAACCATACAGAATGTGGTCTCTGGCCTGCTGGAGGCGGAGTCTAGTAGGAAACTTAAACATGTAAGTGCTTACACCAAAATGTGCTGTTGGCCTCCGAGGAAAGAAGGAACTCCACCAAGGGCCAAGACTGCACAGAGGACAGGGGTTTGGCTGAGTTCATATGAAGGGTGTTTTCAATGAGGAAGAGCGGGAGGGCACAGGGAAGGACCGTGCCAAGGACAAGACAGCATGGCATTGGGGGTGCTGTGTAGAGTTTTTTAGTGGAGCCTGTGCTGCCCCCCACTTCAGATGCCAGTCTCAAGTCCCAGGTTGTAACGCCATCTACCTGGAGATGGTGTCAGATCCCACAGGCTGAGGGCTCACCCCCACAACGCTGCCCCCCACTTCAGATGCCAGTCTCAAGTCCTAGGTTGTGTGACCTGTGCCTTCTGACCTACCGGCTCTAAACTGGGGGTTCCAATGACATCCTACTCAGGTTTCACTAGGAGACGTGCCGAATTTCTTTCCTTTTTTTTTTTTTTTTTTTTTTTTTAATTGAAATGGAGTCTATGTTGCCCAGGCTGGTCTTGAACTCGTGGGCTCAAGCAGTCCTCCTGCCTCAGCTTCCCAAAGTGCTGGGATTACAGGCATGAGCCACTGCACGCCACTGCACCTCGCTACTTATGTATTATAAAGGGTCTTACAAAGGATACAGGTGGGCAGCCAGATGAAGAGATACATTGGACAGTCACACAGGGTTGGTTCCCCTGGCAACCAGCCCCCATCCTGAGGCTGTCCGGGAGCCCACGAAGAGCCCACTCATTAGAACAAAAGCTGTTCCTCTCACAAAATTCCAAGGGATTTAGTAGCTTTGTGTCAGACACTCATCACTCAGGAAATTACAAAGGTCGTAGGAGCTGTGTTAGGAACCCGGATCAAAGACTAAATAGCAGCCCTATTGCTCAGGAAATGACAGGGTTGAGGAGTTCTATGTCAGGAACCAGGGCAGAGACCGGATATACGTTTCTTTTTAAATCACAGTAGCACACCCAGAAAAGGAAAGCAGTGTCTCAACTCACACTCAGGTCTATCTGACCCACACATTTTTAAGAAAAGATTTTTATATCTTGATTGTTTTTTCTAATTATAGAAGCACTTTAAATATTGTTACTATTTTGTTCTGTCTGCCTTGATTCCATATGATTTCCATAAGTAGGGCTTATTTTTATTTTCACAAATCAGAAAAACACAGACACAAGCCAAAACGAGGTGAAAGCCATCTCCTTATGAAGAAGGTATAGGGAGCCTCAGCGCTGCTTCCCAGGGAGAGAAAGCAGCTAGAGTTAAGCAAAAGCACAGGAGGCTGGGCACGGTGGCTCACGCCTGTAATCCCAGCACTTGGGAGGCCGAGGTGGGCAGATCACTTTAGCCCAGGAGTTCCAGACCAGTCTGGGCAACATAGTGAGATCCTATCTCTGTATTTTAAAAATATGTATTCAAAAAGAAAAAAAAGCATAGGAGCTTATATGTGAGGGCAAGTCTTTCTACCCACAGGAAGGCAAGACAAAAGAAACAGAAGAACAAGAAACACAGGAAATAAACAGAAAACAAAGACTAAAACGGCAGATTTTAATAGCCCCAAACTGAAATTCTCTTACGTGTCCTTCAGTAGGCGAATGGTTAAACAGACTCTAGCCTCTGTCCTGCGGAATGCTACTCAGCAATAAAAGGGAATGAACCCCAGAAATGAAGCGGTGTTGTGGTCCCGGGCGTGTCTTGGCATGTCATTGCCTCATGCCAAGGAAATCAAGGACACGGACACACATGGGGTGAGGTTAAGAGCGGAGGTTCAATAGGCGAAAGAAGGAGAAGAGAGAATAGCTCTCTCTCCTGCGAGAGAGAGGGGCACCTGAGTGGGAATTCTGGCCCGAGGCTGAGTGCAGCAGATTTTATAGACAGGATTGAGGAGGCAGTGTCTGATTTACGTAGCGCCCACGGATAGGGTGGACCAGGTGTGACGTTTAGCACAAGAGGAAGCTGGGCACCCCACCGTAATCTTATTATGGAGATGGGGTCTTTGCCTGGCTGGCGCCATGCTGTCTCTTCCTTACTGTATGCGTGGTTTGGCAAAGAGAAGGGAAGATGGAGCCGCCATGTTGAATATGCCTAGTCCCAGGTAGCTTTTTTTTATTGGCACAGCTGCCGGCATTCACCTGTGCAAGCTTCTAGTTTGCTTATCTATGTCTGCAGCTCGATTCTACAGGCTGCTCTTTATTAGAAAACAAAATGATTTGGGAGCTGCTTTTCATTAAAAAGGAAACCTTACTGAGGACTCCCATACCCTCACTATCTGCCTTAGTAATTTCTTCTTCACTCCTATATCATCAGATACACATAGCAATCTAGATGACTCTCAAGCGAATTACGCTGAGTGAAAAAAAGCCAACCCCAGAAGGTTACCTTCCACATGACTCTTTTTCTTTTTTTTTTTTTTTTTTGAGATGGTTCACTCTGTCGCCCAGGCTGGAGTGCAGTGGCACGATCTTGGCTCACTGCAACCTCTGCCTACCGGGTTCAAGCGATTCTCCTGCCTCAGCCTCCCCAGTAGCTGGGATTACAGGCACATGCTGCCACGCCCAGCTAATTTTGTATTTTTAGTAGAGACGGGGTTTCACCATGTTGGTCAGGTTGGTCTCGAACTCCTGAACTCTTGATCCACCCGCCTTGGCCTCCCGAAGTGCTGGGATTACAGTCATGAGCCACTGCACCCAGCCTAATTTTTGTATTTTTAATAGAGACTAAACATACAAAAATTGGCCAGGCTGGTTTCCAACTCCTGACCAAGTGATCCGCCTGCCTCAGCCTCCCAAAGTGCTGGGATTACAGGCGTGAGCCACCAGGCCTGGCCATCTTTTCAGGTTTTTGCATTTCTGACTATTGATGGGTCCGTTCCTACCAGCCAACCAGTCCTGTGACCCCACCCAGAAGCAGACTCAGCATGCACAAGGACCATGTTCCACACCCCTAGGATTGCACCCCCAACTAATCAGCAGCACCTTGGCCTGCCAAACTATCCTTGAAAAACCCTAGGCTCTGAGATTTTGGAGAGACTGATTTAAGTAATAAAACCTCAGTCTGCTGTTCAACCAGCTCTGTGCCAATTAAATTCTTTCTCTATTACAGTTCCCCTGTCTTGATAAATGGGCTCTGTCTGGGCAGTAGGCAAATGAACCCGTTGGGTGGTTACGGCTGGAGAAGAGTTGGGCGGTCAGCGGTCGGCAGGGGCAGGAGGTTGGGAGGTGTGGCTATAAAAGGGCAGCACAAAGGACCCTTGTGGGGATGGGACCTTTTCATATGTTGATCGTGATGGTGAGTCCATACCTACACGTGATAAATTGCACAGAACTAAATACCCACAATGGAGTGCAAGTAAAACCGGGGAAATCTGAGGAAGATGGGTGGATTGTCTGAATGTCAATATCCTGAATGTGACACTGTACTGTAGTCTTGCAAGATGTTACCATTGGGGGAAACTGGGCAAAGCGTACACAGAGTGTCTGCCTGCCTGCCCACCCACCCCCTCCCTCCCTCCCTCCCTGCATGCTTGCTTCCTTTCTTCGTTTCTCCCTCCCCTCCCCTCCCCTCCCCTCCCCTCCCCTCCCCTCCCCTCCCCTCGCCTCCCCGCCCCTTTCCTTCCCTTCCCTTCCTTTCCCTTCCCTTCCCTTCTTTTTTTTTAGACAGTTTCGTTTTTGCTGCCCAGGCTGGAGTGCAATGGTGAGATCTCGGCTCACCACAACCTCCGCCTCCTGGGTTCAAGCGATTCTTCTACCTCAGCCTCCCCAGTAGCTAGGATTACAGGCATGCGCCGCCATGCCCAGCTAATTTTGTATTTTTAGTAGAGATGGGGTTTCTCCGTGTTGGTCAGGCTAGTCTCAAACTCCCAACCTCAGGTGATCCGCCTGCCTCGGCCTCCCAAAGTGCTGGGATTACAGGTGTGAGCCACTGTGCCTGGCTGTCTGTATTATTTCTTAAAACTGTATGTGAATCTACAATTCTCTCAAAATAAAAAGTGTAATTATTTTTTAAAAGCTGGATACTGTGGGCGAGGCAT